>NC_000023.11:112462542-113068760 GCF_000001405.40 Homo sapiens
AGTAGGGGCCAACAGATACCTTATACAGGCAGGTGGCCCTCTGGGACAAAGCTTCCAGAGGAAGGATCAGGCAGCAATATTTGCTGTTCTGCAAACTCCACTGGTGATACCCAGGAAAATGGTCTGGAGTGGATCTCCAGCAAACTCCAACAGACCTGCAGCTGAGGGGCCTGTCTATTAGAAGGAAAACTAACAAAAAGAAAGGAATAGCATCAACATCAACAAAAAGGACATCCACACAAAAACCCGATCCTTAGGTCACCAACATCAAAGACCAAAGGTAGATAAAACCTTTGGTAGATGAGTAGAAACCAGATGGGTAGAAACCAGAGCAAAAAGGCTGAAAATTGCAAAAACCAGAGCACCACTTCTCCTCCAAAGGAACACAACTCCTTGCCAGCTAGGGAACAAAACTGGACAGAGAATGAGTTTGATGAGTTGACAGAAGTAGGCTTCAGAAGGTTGGCAATAACAAACTTTTGCGAGCTAAAGGAGCATGTTCTAACCCATCACAAGGAAGCTAAAAACCTTGAAAAAAGGTTAGACGAATAGCTAACTAGAATAACCAGTGTAGAGAAGAGCTTAAATGACCTGATGGAGCTGAAAACCACAGTACGAGAACTTCATGAAGCCTATACAAGCTTCAATAGCCGATTCAATCAAGAAGAAATAAGGATATTCAGTGATTGAAGATCAACTTAATGAAACAAAGCAAGAAGACAAGATTAAAGAAAAAAGACTGAAAAGAAATGAACAAGGCCTCCAAGAAATATGGGACTATGTGAAAAGACCAAATCTACATCTGATTGCTGTACCAGAAAGTGACGGGGAGAATGGAACCAAGTTGGAAAACACTCTTCAGGATATTACCCAGGAGAACATCCCCAACCTAGAAGGCAGGCCAACATTCAAATTCAGGAAATACAGAGAACACTACAAAGATATTCCTTGAGAAGAGCAAACCCAAGACACATAATAGTCAGATTCACCAAGGTTGAAATGAAGGAAAAAATGTTAAGGGCAGCCAGAGAGAAAGGTCGGGTTACCCACAAAGGGAAGCCCATCAGACTAACAGCTGATCTCTCAGCAGAAACCCTACAAGCCAGAAGAGAGTGGGGGCCAATATTCAACATTCTTAAGAAAAGAATTTTCAACCCAGAATTTCATATCCAGCCAAACTAAGTTTCATAAGTGAAGGAGAAATAAAATCCTTTACAGACAAGCAAATGCTGAGAGATTTTGTCACCACCAGGCCTGCCCTAAAAGAGCTCCTGAAGGAAGCACTAAACATGGAAAGGAACAACCGGTACCAGCCACTGCAAAAACATGCCAAATTGTAAAGACCATTGACACTATGAAGAAACTGCATCAACTAACTGGCAAAATAACCAGCTAACATCATAATGACAGGATCAAATTCACACATAACAATATTAATCTTAAATGTAAATGGGCTAAATGCCCCAGTTAAAAGACACAGACTGGCAACTTGGATAAAGAGTCAAGACCCAGTGGTGTGCTGTATTCAGGAGACCTATCTCACATGCAAAGACACACATAGGTTCAAAATAAAGGGATGGAGGGAGATCTACCAAGCAAACGGAAAGCAAAAAAATGCATGGGTTGCAATCCTGGTCTTGATAAGGCAGACTTTAAACCAACAAAGATCAAAAGAGACAAAGAAGGCCATTATATAATGGTAAAGGGATCAATTCAACAAGAAGAGCTAACTATCCTAAACATATATGCACCCAATACAGGAGCACCCAGATTCATAAAGCAAGTTCTTAGATACCTACAGAGAGATTTAGGCTCCCACGCAATAATAAAGGGAGACTTTAACACCCCACTATCAATATTAGACAGATCAACAAGACAAAACATTAACAAGGATATTCAGGACTTGAACTCTGCTCTGGACCGAGCAGACCTAATACACATCTACAGAACTCTCCACCCCAAATCAACAGAATATACGTTCTTCTCAGCACCACATCACACATTTTCTAAAATTGACCACATAATTGGAAGTAAAACACTCCTCAGCAAATGTAAAAGAACAGAAATCACAACAAACTGTCTCTCAGACCACAGTGCAATCAAATTAGAACTCAGGATAAAGACTCACTCAAAACTGCACAACTACATGGAAACTGAACAACCTGCTCCTGAATGACTACTGGGTAAATAATGAAATGAAGGCAGAAATAAAGATGCTCTTTGAAAACAATGAGAACAAAGACCCAACTTACCAGAATCTCTGGGACACATTTAAAGCAGTATGTAGAGGGTAATTTATAGCACTAAATGCCCACAAGAGAAAGCAGGAGAGATCTAAAATCAACACCCTAACATCACAATTAAAAGAACCAGAGAAGCAAGAGCAAACAAATTCAAAAGCTAGCAGAAGACAAGAAATAACTAAGATCAGAGCAGAACTGAAGGAGATAGAGACACAAAAAAACCTTCAAAAATTCAACAAATCCAGGAGCTGGTTTTTTGAAAAGATCAATAAAATAGATAGACTGCTAGCAAGACATATAAAGAAGAAAAGGGAGAAGAATCAAATAGATGCAATAAAAAATGATCAAGCGGATATTACCACTGATCCCACAGAAATACAAACTACCATCAGAGAATACTATAAACACCTCTACACAAATAAACTAGAAAATCTAGAAGAAATGGACAAATTCCTGGACACTACACCCTCCCAAGACTAAACCAGGAAGAAGTTGAATCTCTGAATAGACCAATAACTGGTTCTGAAATTGAGGCAATTATTAATAGCCTACCAACCAAAAAAGCCTGGGACCAGATGGATTCACAGCCCAATTCTACCAGCGGTACAAAGAGGAGCTGGCACCATTCCTTCTGAAACTATTCCAATCAATAGAAAAAGAGAGAATCCTCCCTAACTCATTTTATGAGGCCAGCATTATCCTGATACCAATGCCTGGCAGACACACAACAACAAAAAAGAAAATTTTAGGCCAATATCCCTGAAGAACATCAATGCAAAAATCCTCAGTAAAATACTAGCAAACCGAATTCAGCAGCACATCAAAAACTCATCCACCACGATCAGATTGGCTTCATCCCTGGGATGCAAGTCTGGTTCAACATACACAAATCAATAAAAGTAATCCATCACATAAATAGAACCAACAACAAAAAACACATAATTATCTCAATAGATGCAGAAAAGGCCTTCGACAAAATTCAACAGCCTTTCATGCTAAAAACTCTCAATAAACTAGGTATCCATGGAACATATCTCAATGTAATAAGAGCTCTTTATGACAAACCCACAGCCAATATCATACTGAATAGGCAAATCTGGAAGTATTCCGTTTGAAAACTGGCACAAGACAAGGATGCCATCTCTCAACACTCCTATTCAACATAGTATTGGAATTTCTGGCCAGGGCAATCAGGCAAGAGAAAGCCATAAAGGGTATTCAAATAGGAAGAGAGGAAGTCAAATTGTGTCTGTTTGCAGATGACATGATTGTATATTTAGAAAACCCCATCATCTCAGCCCAAAATCTCCTTAAGCTGATAAGCAACTTCAACAAAGTCTCAGGATACACAATCAATGTGCAAAAATCATAAGCATCCTATACACCAATAACAGACAGAGTGCCAAATCAGGAGTGAATTCTTATTCACAATTGCTACAAAGAGAATAAAATACGTAGGAATAGAACTTACAAGGGATGTGAAGTACATCTTCAAGGAGAACTACAAACCACTGCTCAAGAAAATAAGAGAGGACACAAACAAATGGAAAAACATTCCATGCTCATGGATAGGAAGAATCAGTATCATGAAAATGGCCTTACTGCCCAAAGTAATTTACAGATTCAATGCTATCCTCATCAAGCTACCATTGACTTTCTTCACAGAATTGGAAAAAACTACTTTAAATTTCATATGGAACCAAAAAAAGAGCCTGCATAGCCAAGATAATCCTGGGCAAGAAGAACAAAGATGGAGGCATCACACTACCTGACTTCAAACTATACTACAAGGGTACAATAACCAAAACACCATGGTACTGGTACGAAAACAGAACTTTAGACCAATGGAACAGAACGGAGTCCTCAGAAATAACACCACACATCTACCACCATCTGATCTTTGACAAACCTGACACACACAAGCAATGGGGAAAAGATTCCCTATTTGATAAATGGTGTTGGGAAAACTGGCTAGCCATATGCAGAAAACTGAAACTGGACCCCGTCCTTACACATTATACAAAAATCAACTCAACATGGATCAGACTTAAACATAAGACCAAGGACCATAAAAATCCTAGAAGAAAATCTGGGCCATACCATTCAGGACATAGGCATGGGCAAAGACTTCATGTCTAAAACACCAAAAGCAATGGCAACAAAAGCCAAAATTGACAAATGGGATCTAATTAAACTAAAGAGCTTCTGCATGGCAAAAGAAACTATCATCAGAGTGAACAGGCAACTTACAGAATGGGAGAAAATTTTTGCAATCTATCCATCTGACAAAGGGCTAATATCCAGAATCTACAAAGGACTCAAATAAATTTACAAGAAAAAAGCAAATACCCCCATCAAAAAATGGGCAAAGGATATGAAAAGACACTTATCAAAAGAAGACATTATGTAACCAACAGACGTATGAAAAAATGCTCATCATAACTGGTCATTAGAGAAATGCAAATCAAAACCACAATGAGATAACCATCTCACACCAGTTAGAATGGTGATCTTTAAAAAGTCAGGAAACAACAGATGCTGGAGAGGTTGTAGGAAAATAGGAATGCTTTTACACTGTTGATGGGAGTGTAAATTAGTTCAACCATTATGGAAGACAGTGTGGCGATTCCTCAAGGATCTAGAACTAGAAATACCATTTGACCCAGCAATCCCATTACTGGGCATATACCCAAAGGATTATAAATGATTCTATGATTAAGACACATACACACATATGTTTATTGTGGCAGTCTATAGCAAAGACTTGGAACCAACCCAAATGTCCATCAATGATAGACTGGATTAGGAAAATATGCCACATATACACCATGGAATACTGTGCAGCCACAAAAAAGGATGAGTTCATGTCCTTTGCAGGGATATGGATGTAGCTGGAAACCATCATTCTCAGCAAACTGTCACAAGATCAGAAAACCAAACACCACATGTTCTCACTCATAAGTGGGAGTTGAACAATGAGAACACGTGGACACAGGGAGGGGATCATCACACACCAGGGCCTGTGGGGGGTGGGGGACTAGGGGAGGGATAACATTAGGAGAAATAGCTAATGTAGGTGACAAGTTGATGGGTGCAACAAACCACCATGGCACGTGTACACCTATGTAATAAACCTGCACATTCCTCACACGTAACCCAGAACTTAAAGTATAATAAAAAAAGAAAAATAATAAATATAAAGATGTAGTTGGAATATGATGTAATAAATTCATATTTTAAACCTGACATGGAAGTTTTTTTCTTCCTTCTTAGTGCTCTCACAAGATTTTCCTATAGTTTTCCCACACTGGCTTGCTTAATAATAATTATAATAATAAGTAGCAACTACTATTTATTGACCATTCATTACATGTTGGGCATTGTATCCTTGGATTTATGGTTACTTTCTCTTTAAATTCTCACTACCTTCTTAGATAGATGCTATTATTATACCTATTAAGCTGATGAGAAAATTGAGTCTTAGAGTAGTTAAGGAAATTGCCCATGGACACAGAGTTAGTACTAGAGGCAGGACTCAAATGCATATACATCTATCACCAGAGACCATACTCCTACATAGTACCTTACTATCTATCTACAACAGGAGTCAACAAACTATCATCTATGGGCAAAATCTAGCCTACTGCCTATTTTTATAAATAAAATTTTATAGCAACACAGCCACACCCATTTGTTTATATATTGTCTATAGCTGCTTTCATACTATGACATTATATGCCCACAAAGCCAAAAAATTTGCTATCTGGTTCTTTACAACTTTCCTGACCTTGAGTCTATAATATATTAAAGTATTAAATCAAACCTGGGACATCTGACTGTCTAGATTTCCTGTTTCAAATGGCCCATTTGTCCCTAGTTTTTGTTTCCTGCTTCTAAATTAGTTCTATCTATATGATGAATTGATGGGATCAAATAGTCTTGGTTTAGAGACTTATCCAGAACATTTTTCATAGATTAGATAAATGTTTCTCTGGCGCTATTTATCAATACCCATACTTTCTGCATCAAACAACTCTAATAGATTGGCCAGGTATGGTTGTGGGAGACATTTGCTGTTTGCTTCCTCACCAAGCATTCTACTTTTGGCAATGGTTTCTAATTTTCATGTGGAAATCTAACTTTTTTCCCACTTTAGTCCACCTTCCTGGGTGACATTCCACCTCCAGACCTGGTACCCAGGCATAAATAAATCATCATATGGGTTTTGCCTGGCCACTGCGACTATTCCAAGAGTGAAATGAATTTTATGACTTTTTGGGAGAGGGCTCTGATTTTTTATTTATTGGAATGGGATATAGGAGTAGCTCTGATTGCTGATGACAGTCATCTTTCGATTAGGAGAGGAGACCCCATTTGATTAGAGTGGAGACATCCTGAGAAAACAGAACTGATGGGTAGGGAGAAAGAAATCAAATCCTGATGATGGTTTCGTGAATCACTGAATCCAGGTGCACCTGAAGGTGTTTAGCCATGTGTGCTAATGAAAATTTTTTTATAAAAGGAATCTTTGTAGGGTTTTCTCTCTTTTGCAACCAAAGAGTCTGATACATTGATTTTCGCTATCAAAACTACAATATTTTTAGCCGAATTGCTTGTAGCAACTTGAGTAGTGACAGCAAAAAGTTGTTGGATCCTAGTAACAGAAACAAAGTTCCCACATTGTAGTAGTGGTATTAGGCAAAAACTGTCAGTATTATGCACTCTGCCCCACTTTTAATCCTTTAATACAGAAATTCTCAGCTTTACTGCCAGGAGAAGCTTTTCAGAGTCTTCTGGATTCATGAGTTTTTGTTTGGCCCACTGGGGATACAAGCTGACCCTGTGTAGGCCAATCACCCTCCAAAAGGATTACAGGCTTCTGCTCCAAAGTCCTGTCATTACTTAATAAACAAATGTAAGATGGCTGCATAGGGTTTGTGGGGCAAGTTGTGGCCCAGGATCTTTCTCATGATCAACACCTGAACCTTTGCCAAGTACATGGCAAGATAGCAAGATATAGTGGTTAAGGGTGGGGAACTCTGCAGTCAGACTGCCTTCGTTCAAATGCTGGCTCTACCTCTCACTTACCACATAACCATTTGCCATGTCCTTAACCTGTCTGTTCCTCAGTTTCCTATTCTGTATAGAGCTGTTATGAAGACTAAATGAATTAATATTTATGCAAACTTAAAATAGTGCCTGGCACACAATAAGCACCATGTGTTTGTTATATTAAAAAATTAATAAAAGGCATACGAAAGTTCTACAGACATTTTAAAGATATATGCAGAGGTTCTGTCAAAATATACATGGTCCCACGCCATATAACATATGATGGAAATAATAACACAGATATCTTTGGATAAGAAATGATGTTTAACTTGATACTCAGAATAAGTTATTCTTGTCAAACTCTCAATCCCATTACATGGATTCTTCTTTTATCTCTTGGGACTTATTGTAGACATGGTCTTGCTTGGAGACTACATATGGATAGAAGTCAATATGAACATATAAATGTCTCTCCCTTTCTCAACCAGGGATGCATTTCTGTTTCTCTCCCTTTACCCCAAAAGACATGAATCTCAATTTCAGAGATGTGCTTTTGCTTCATTTTAGCACCTAGGAAGGACTAGGTTGAAGATTCTTAAATTTCTTCTGATGTCACCCATGTTTCTTGCGCTCCTTTAAGCCCATGACAATCCCAACTCAAATAATCTTTGAACACTTAGATAACCCTGGGCCTAGCACTATGCCACAAAATATAAGGGATGCAAAGAAGTGAAACGCAAGGTCTTGAGACTTGAAAATCTTACAATATGATTACGAAGACAAGAAGGAAACAAAGCAAACAATGCAAGGAAATAACTGGTTTTGTTTCTAAACTTTCAAGGTCATCAAGGTCCCCTGTGAGACTTTGCTCAGTTCCCAGGCTATGCAGCCCTTGGCTCTCCTGTAGGGGTCTCTTGTCCTCCCATATTCAGGCCTGCATTAACCAATACTGACCACAGAAAGAAGAGGTTTAAAGAAATCTATCCTAATGCCACAACTCCTTCAACATTTTAGCTGGTTGTACAATTTGTGGGAACAAAGACAAAGTAAAGATATGGAGCCTCTAGTTTAAAAAGCAGGGGGAGAAAAGTATCATTAAAGGTACTACATAATTTGTTTCTCATGTAGTCTCACTCTTATCCTATCATAGTAAGAGATTTTTTTCCATTAAAAAAAAATTCAAACCTACAGAAACCCTGAAAGAAAGTGTGGTGTAAACCTGGTATACATTTGTATTAGTTTCCTGTGGCTGTTGCAACAAATTACTACAAATTTGATGGCTTACAAGAACAGAAATTTATTTTTTCACTGTTCTGGAGGCTGTAAGTCTGAGATTAAAGTGGTGGTAGAGCCAAGCTCCCTATAAGAAAGAAGTATCTTTCTTTTCCTCTTCCAGCTTCTGATGACTCCTGGCATTCCTTGGATTGTGGCAGTAAAACTCTAATCTCTGCTTCTGTCTCTACATGGCCTTATTCTTTGTGCCTCTGTGTCCTCTAATTCTAAGGACACAGGTCATTGGATTTAGCCACCCTAAATCCAGTATAATATCATCTTGAAATCCTTAATTTAAATATATGTACAAAGACTGTACTGTCCAAATAAGTTCACATTCACAGATACCAGGAATTAGGACTTGGAAATATCTTTTGGGGGGCGTTGAGGCAGGGGACACTCTTCAACCCACTACAACCCTTTAGCTAGATTCACCAATTTTTAATATTTTGCAAGATTTTTTTTTTGCTTTCTCTGTCTCTACCATTCTCTCTCTCTCTCCCTCTCTCTCTTTCTCTGAAAATTGCAAATATCATGGCACTTCAACTCTAAATATTTCAACAGGCACCTCTAAACATAAGGGATTTTTCCACATGATACTTGGGAAATTTAACATTAATACAACAGTATCATCTGCTATTCACTTCATATTTTATTTTTCCATTTCTCCTAAAATTGTCTTTAATAATTTTGTTTATGATTCAGGATTCAGTTGAAGTCCACCTACAGCATTTGGGTTGTGAAGTCTCTTTAGTTTATTTTAATCTTGATTAGTCTCCTGCTATTTTTGTTGCTAGTTTGATTTTCATGACATTGATAGTTTCCAAAAGCTCAGGTCTATTCCATAATGTATAATATTCCACATTCTGGAATTTTCTGATAGTTTCTTCATGATTATATTCAAGTTAAATGTTTTGAAAAAGGTCACTACATAGGTAATGCCCAGATTGTTCGTTTGTCCCTATATTGCTGATTCTGGGTTTGATCCCATGGTTAAGTCATGAATCTATCAGATCTCTACATTGTAAATGTATCCTTTTTCTTTAACAGTTAAAATTAAACGTGGGGTGATACCCTGAGACCTTTTGACTATCTATCCTAACAACTCTTTACCCAATGGCTTTAACCTCCAGTAATGATCTATGCTTATACTTGCTATTACACTGGGGTGATGTAAAATGATAACTTACTAATTCTACCATTCTTTCTACATTTATTAGCTGACATTCTTCCATAAAGAAGAAGGGCTTCCTCTCTTCTTCTCTCTTTCTTTACTATTATTGTAGAATTAATAATTATTTTACTATCCAATGCAATATTATTTTCCTTCCTGACATTCCAAGATGTTCTTTTATCATTTTCTCTCTGTTTCAATAACTTCTTGAAACAGAAAAGTTCTATTATGGTGGGTCTATTAACAACAAGTTTTCTTTGTTTGTCTTCATCTAAGAATTTTGATTTCCCTTTCATTCCCGAAAGATAATTTTGCTGGATATGGGACTTATGGTTGATAGCTTATTATCATTAGTCAATAAGTCTTATGCCACTTCCCTCTGGCCCCATGATTTCTGATGAAAAATCTGCTGTCATTTGATTTTTTCCCCACTCTAGGTAAACTGTTGATTGTCTCTTACTGATTTCAATATTTTTTCTGCCTTTCATTTTCGAAAGTTTGACTACGGTGTCTCTTGGAGTGAATCCCTTTGGGTTTATCCTGTTTGGGATTGCTAAACTTCTTGAATATGTACTGTAATATTCTTGCCAAATTTAGAAAGTTTCAGTCATTATTTCCTTGAGTATATTTTCAGTTCTGCCTCTTTCCATTCTCTGAGACTCCAGTAACATGGATATTAGATCTTTTGCTATAGTCTCACAAGTCCCTGAGGCTCTGTTCAGTTTTTAAATTCTGTTTTCTCTCTGTTGTTCAGGTTGGTTAATTGCTATTGTTCTATCTTCCAGTTCTTTGATTATTTCCTCTGTCCCTTCCGTTGTGCTACTGAGCCCATCCATTGAGTTTTTAAAAAATATTTGGGTTATTATATTTTTTAATTCAAAAATTTCCATCTGATTATCCTTTACATTTTCTATGTCTTTGCTTAGGCTTCCTTCACTATTTCTATTTTTTCATTTTTATATTTATAATTGCTTATTAGTGCATTTTTATTATGGCTATTTTAAAATTCTTGTCAGATAATTCTTACACATCTATCAACTTGGTATTGTTGATCCGTCTTCTTATTGAATTTGAGATTTTCCAGTTTCTTGGCATAAGAGGTGATTCTTTTTTTTACTATATTCTGGACATTTTGGGTATTACATTAGGCAACCCTGGGTCTATTTAAGCCTTCTGTTTTAGCAGGCCTCCTCTGATGCTGCAACAGTAGAGAAGAGGGGTGCTTTCATGTTACTGTACAATGGGGGTAAAAGTCCAGGTTTCCCCTTTGCTCCTCTGATACCTTGTAGGAGAAGAGTGCCTCATTACTGCTGCGCATGAGTGGGAGTTTAGGCTTCCCACTAAACTTCCACTGCTACTACCCTGGTTGAGAAGAGGAGGAGTGCCTTGTACTCTTCCTATATGGTCTTCACTGATACTGAGAGGTGAGGGAGAAACTTCATAACCACTGAGCAGTGGTGAAATTCCTGGCTTGCCACTTGGCTGTCTCTGACACCACCTCACTGGGAAGGGAGGAGGACTGTCTTATTATCATTGGTTTGAAGTGCAAGTCCAGGCTTCCCGCGGAGGTTCATTACCTTATTTGGCCCTCTCCGACACCATCCCAGCAGGTGGGCAATTAGGTATCTGGTGAGGTTGGAGGACACACTGCCCATTCCACCTTTGCTGGCATGGGAGGATGGGACCACAGTTTTGTTCTATGGTGTGTGGCTGGAGTAGAGCATTAATTGTCTAAAAGTTTTCTGTCTTGCTAGGCTGCTTCTTTTCTAGTCCTTTGGCTAGAGAGAGTAGGGTTTTTTGTTCGGACTTTTTGTGTCTGCGCCCATTGGTGTTTCGGGGTTATTGTTACTGAGTTGGCATTTTCTCTAGCAGCCAGTCCAGGATATATAAGGCAAAAAGGAAACCCAGGGAACTAACTGCCACATAGTTCCTCAGGTCCTGAGATCCCTAATTGGTCTGCAGTCTTCTTTCACCTTTCAGAGTCGTAAAAAAATTAAAAATATAATATACAAGATTGTTAGCTGACCTTATTGGGAAGAATAGGGAAAAATGCATCTATTCCATCTTTATCCAGAACTGAAGTCCACTGTCATGGTATTTTTTTCTATTCTATTTAATATCATGCTTTCTTGGGCATGGGAATAAATGCCAGGTGAATGAAAACCTTCTCACAGTGCTTAGGGACCCAGTCCCATGAGGTTTCTCCTCCCACCAGCCACCAGGCTGACATGCTGTGCCATATCTGGGGACAGAAAAGTCTAACTTCTCTTCCCACAATCCTGCCATCCCAACCCACAGTGAATGGGTAATCCCAAGGGATTGCAAACTTCCATAGTGGGACACACTTCGTACCTGGATTGAGGAAGGTAGGAGGTTTACTCCCACCAAATCACCTGCCAAATGTGCCATGAAGCTGCCACATTGGAGTGGCATGCCCTTGTCTAGGACACTGCTGAACACATGCCCCGTCTCTGACTCTAGGCATGTCTGTGCCAGGCCCCCACTGGGGATGGAGAAAGACAGTAGTCATTAAGCAGGGGTGGGGAAGGAAAGGCCAGGTGGGGCCTGGGGCACTAGAAAGCAGAGGAACCCTTTCCAGGGAGGTAGAGAGGTGGCAGGAGATGAGAGCACATGTAAGCCACGGCTGTAGCCCACCAGCACATTCTTCATTGTGCCATCAGGCTTATTTTAGAAAACACAAGCTCAGAAGTAAAATTAAGAATTTCAGGACAGCAACTGCAAAGCATTAAACATCAAACATGGGACTCTTCTGAGTGTGGTGCCAAGTGAGACTGCACTGGTTGCATGCCCATGAAGCCAATCTTATTTACAACCCATCCAGTGGATATTTGTTCTCAAGGAAACCTCCAGCAAAAGTATGTTTTCAGCTTCATCCAGTGGCTTTCTTTCACCGTAATTCTGTAATACCATTTTCATTCACAGACCTTTTTGATACATGAAGTTAGGAAACTAAACAGTAGCCCCTAGAAATATCAGCATATGTCAAGATTCTTCTTGGCTTCTCCTAAAGTTCATCTTAGTTTTGTTTAATTGCTGTCTACTTAAAAACACTGATATCCATTAAAGCATCTCACTATGTTTTGTAACAAGAGAAAATGAGATGGTGGCCAAGGAAGAACCTTGTCCCCCAGAATCCCTTTCTCCACTCCCGAAATTCTAGTTAGCATGTCATTCCTTTACATTGAATCCAGTGACCTCTAGGTAAATGCAAATGCCCCTGGTAAAGGCCCACATTAAGCTATATCATTTATTTAAGTGTGGATGACTAGAATGTGCATGCAAACATTTCTTAAGAAAACGGATCTTATATCAAGTGTTCTTACCACAAAAAAGGGACATAGGAAAGTTTTAGAGGTTATGAATATGTCTATTACCATAATTGTAGTGATGATTTCACAGTTACATGCCTATATCCAAACTCATCAAATTGTATACATTAAATATGTGCAGTTTTTGTATATCAATTATACATTAATAAAGCTGTTTCTCAAAGCTTATTTTTATATCATGTTAATTTTACTTCAATAATTTTTTAAAGCAAAAGAAAATTAAGAAATGTATCACCTCATGTGGGATTGGGGTGTTGGTCAGACAAAGCATACAGAAAGAGGAGACAAGAGTTGAGGAAAGCAAACTCCCCGCTTCCTGGGTTTTGCTGTTGGCTTTGAGTACCTAGAGGCTTGACCTTTAATTAGGATCCCAGATTTTGTGCTGATTGCTGCCGAATTGACAAGGGTTTGGATGCTGCCCCCACAGCCATCTTTCACTGGCTGTCTATCCCATTTATCCTCCTGAGGAGAGTGTTAAATAAATCAATGGAAATAGCCAAGTCCAGACATGCTGGGAGCCTCTGTACAGTGGCGTTTTATTAATATAAGCAATGAGATTTCTAAAATACAGTACATTATTCCCAGGCTAACGTATCCGTTTCTCAGCCCAATTCAGTGGTGAATCAGGAAAAATGGTTGCCAGCTTTTGAATGCCCTTTTTATTATCTGTGCCTATAAAAGACTGAAACTCTGGCCTTTAGACTTTCTAGTCCTTTAGATTTGAATCTAAGCACAATCTCTTAGCAATTTAGACTTGTTGAAACAAGCATTTTGAAATACCACCCCAGTGGCAATTTCTTTCTTCAGGAAAGAAAGAAATGCACTATGTATTTGTCACAGGTGAGAATTTTAATAGAGCTACTATTCATTTGGAAAATGTAGACAGATTAATTTGGAATCACCCCAAGGCTGGTATACTTACCACATATATCATGCCATTTTTGATATATGGCACTGATTAACACCCAGATGCCTTGAGATGCAGGCAGTGGAGAGTGTGAGGTAAGGCAGAGCTTGACATCTGTGTCCCTGCCATGAGCTTCAGTTTTGGGGTGAGAGGTTAAAATTAAAGCAATTAATGCACATTGAGAGCTGACTATGTACCAGGCATGGTGGGAATGCAGAAATGGCTGAGACACAGCCCCTGTGTTCAAGTGGCTTAAACATGGCAGGAAAGATGTGTCCTCTGGTGATGATGATAGCTATGATGAAGATGACAATAGCTACCTTTAACAAGTGCTTACTATTTGCCCAGGACTGTGCTTAGTGTTGTACAGGCATTATCTCATTTACACCCTGTAAGAACCCTATGAGATATGTACTATTATGTCCAATTTGTAGATCCAGAAACAGAGGCTCAGAGCCAGTAAGCAATAGGACTGGGTTCACATAGTCAAGAATCACACTCAGGTTTCCCTGAGTCTGAATCCTCTCGTTGTAACCACTGTGACATAAATAATTGAACCACAACACAGAGGGAAAGTAAGATCCAATATGTGTAAAATCTGGGTGAGATCTCCAAAGGTCAACCAGTTCAACTGTTTCTCAAACTGGAGGAACTGGGAAGAGTTGGAGGCCAACTAGAGATTCTAAAATCAAAGACTGCCAGATGGCCGTGATGAGGAAGCCACTGCAGGGAGCAAAGCAAGCTAGCCTTTCTGAAATCATGTTTCCAGTGCCCTCTCCAAGTCATCTTCTCCCACCAACAAGGAGATTGGAATCCACATGAAACACTGGCTGATGTCAACACTGTCGGAAAAATAAAACTTCAGCTTCGAATTTGGCAAACAAGACCTTCCACCTCACTTATATCTATTCTTTGAGCATTTTTTATTAACCAACTGTAGGCAAAACACTGTGCTAGGCATGTGGGGGACTATAGCGATGCATAAGACATGGCCCCTATACTTAGAGAGATTATTTTCTAAGGCAGGGATCAACACACTTTTTTCTGTAATTACCCACATAGTAAATGATATAGGCTTTGCTGGATGTATGGTCTCTGTCACAGCTACTCAACCCTGGTATTGTGGTGTGAAATTAGACATAGACAACACATAAATGAGCCAATAGAATTTTATTTACAAAATAGGCAATGAGCGGGATTAGACTTCTGGGCCAGAATGAAGGTGTGAATAGGTACCCTGGGAATGTAGAAAAATTAAGAATTGGTTTAAATTGGGGAAATCAAGTTGGTCTTCCTGGAGGAGGTGGCACATGACCTAGCAAAGGAAGAAAAGGACAATTCAGGGAATAGCAGGGTATTATTACTACTACTACTCTTAATCATATGCCGAGTGCTTCTCTAGGTACTTTATATTCATGAAGGCACTGAATCTTCACAACTCTCTGAGGTAGGTATTGTTATTATTGTCATTATATGGAAGAGGAAACTAAGACTCAGAGTCATACAGCTAGGTAAATAGTTGAATGGCCAAACTGCTGGTGCAGATAGATATAGATGTGTGTGTGTGTGTGTGTGTGTGTGTGTGTGAAGGTGAAAAGGTGGAAAGTAAATCATGAGAACAATAAACAAAGACTACAAAATAGTTACCTCTTGCAGCAAGGAAGTGCATAAAGGGATAAGACAGATTAGGATAAAACAGATCTAAGTTTGTTGGTAATGTACTTTGTTCATTGAGTGGTAGATTAACAGGTGTGTTTATCATATTGGGTTTATAAATACATAAACAAGGCCATTTAGGAGCCAGAGATAATAGTGTATTATGAACCCAGGAGTATAAATATTCCAACTGTGTACACCAGATGTAAAAAGAGAGTGACAAGAAAGAAAGGGAGAAAGGGATAGGAAAAGAGACAGAAAAGATTGGAGAATTGGAAAGACTTAGAAGATAGTTATTTAATTTACAATGCTCCTCACTCACCCTTGGCCCCTAACAACTCTGTACCAACTCTACTTGTCCTACACAGTCACCCCAAGAGTAGTAGTATCAGAGGCTCATCTGGGTTTCATGTTCTCGGGAGGGCATTGTGCCTTTAGGAATTGGCATTAACTCCAAGAGGCTTCAGGTATGGGGCAAGGCGGAGGAGCAGGAGTGGGTTCTCCCAGGCTGATTGTATTAGCACGTACTTCCTCTTTCCTCCCACCATCATTAAGACGAGGTCCAGGAAGGGTGGATAGTAACGTGACTTTCTATGGTCTCCCACCTCCACCTTTCTTTTCCCCTTCTTTGCACTCTTGGCTTATCTTTAAAAAATCATAATTATCTGATTCCTTGTGGAGAAACAAAGGAGACATTGAGGAATTATCTTTTGTGTTAGAAACAATCCAATTTTATGCTTTTAATTATTTAAAAATTTACAATTAAATTATTATTGACTAAAGTCACCCTGATGTGCTATCAAATACTAGGTCTTAGTCATTCATTCTAACTATTTTTTGTACATATTAATCATTCTCATCTCCTCTCCAGCCTCCCACTACCCTTCCCAATCTCTGGTAAACATTCTTCTACTCTCTATGTCCATGGGTTCGATTTTTTTAATTTTTAGATCTGCTACTAAAAAAAAAATGCTAACTGTGTGCATATGTGGGTGTGTGTGTGAGAGAGAGAGAGACAGACAGACAGAGACACAGAGAAGTGGAGATATACCAGGGGATAGAAAACACAAGATAGGAAAGTATGGGGGATGCTATGCTACAAGGGATGGGAACAGGAATCTTTTAAAAGAGAGAGAGAAAAGGAAGACAGGGAACTGTAGAGACACTATGGGGAACAGTTTTCTATTTTCCTTCTTTCTTTTTTTTTTTAAAAAAATCTTGTTCCCATCTCCTTTAGCATGGCACCACCCAGACCTCTCTGTCTTGGGTTTTCTATCCCCTGGTGTACGTCCATCTCTCTCTTTCTCTCTCTCTCCACACTTTTTAGCAGCAGAACATCTCCATTCTCCGTATTTCCTTTCCTCTTCCCAGTCCCTAGCTTCTCTCATTCAAATTAAAGTGAATGGAAGCCCATTCCCTTAGACTACTAATATGAGCTGGGAGAGGTGGAGCAGCCAGTCTAGGAACTACTTCTACTGGAATCTTTAGGTGATTATATTTTAGCAACAGGCACACAAGTAGATGTGTAGGTATGTGTGTCAAAGCCATATTGTGGGTGGAGACTGCTGGACTGATAGTGCTCCCCTAGGCTTGGCTTATCACTAGGCTCAAAATGGTGGATCTGGAGCCCATTCCAGGCCAAATTAGGCCATTGAAGAGATTTCCCTGAGATAGAGGCAGGCAGCCAGTAAGCCAAAACAAAGGGCAAATTAATTCCCAAGGAAATGATGGCAGAGTAGACCATTTTTATGGCGAGGCTGGGGCAGGTCAGCCAGCTCTGCAAGGGAGAGCAGCTGGTAGAGAGGGAATACATGCAGCCACCCTTGGTCAGCATAAGAGCCAGGCCTGAAAATGGCTTGGTTTCTAAATAAAGTATGTTTGACCCTGTAGCTATAGCTCTCGCATTTAGGAATTCCATGGCATGTGCGCACTAATTGAGCACTGATCATGCAAATTAGAGGATTATTATATTAGTCTAAAATTTTAATTGCTGTAACAAACAACCTCAACATTTTAGGGATTTAACATAGTAAAATGTTTATTCCTCATTCACATCATAGTCCAATCAGGTGGTCGACAAGAAACCTCCCACATAGTAACTCTGGTGTCCAATCTCCTCCAATCATTTTCTAGGGCCTTGGTATTTTTTACTCCACTTTCTGCATCCAAACTGGAGACCAATGCAAAGAGGACCTCAGGGGAGATTTTATGAGCCCAACCTGGAAATCACGCACATCCCTTCCACCCACATCCCAAAGGCCAGTATGTAGTTACATGCCCCTACCTAACTGCAATGTAGAATACCAAAGGGAAAAACATGGATGATGGTGGAAAATTAGCAAGTCTCTGACACAGAGATATAACACAGGAGACTGCACATGTGTGTACATGTATGTGCATGTGTATTTTTAAGCAGCAAGTTCACAATGACACAGAATGGAAGTGGGAGCCACAGAAAGTGTTAGTAATTGACAGATTCAGGATTTTAAAAGAATAAATTTCACTATGTACATTTAAGGTATACAACACAATGTTTTGAAATACATATAGATAGTTAAAAGCTTACTATAGTGAAACAAATTAACCTATCCATCATCTCACATAGTTACCCATTATTTTGTGGGAGTTTTTTTGGCAAGAGCAACTAAAATCTATTCATTTTACGTAATTCTTAAATACAGTGCAATTTTTTTTTACCTGTAGTCTTCATGATGTACAATAGATCTCCAGACTTGTTCATTCTATATATCTCCTACATTGTTTCCTCTGGTCCACACCTCTCCATTTCCTCTTCAACCCTACCCTAGTAACCACTGCTTTGTTCCCTATCTCTGTATAGAGTTGTCCCTCAGTATCTGTGGGGGATTTGTTCCAGGACCCCTGTGGATAACAAAATCGACCAATGCTCAAATTTCTTATATAAAATGGTGTGGTATTTGCATATAACCTATGCACAGCCTCCTGTACACTTTAAATCATCTCAAGATTACTTATGATATATAATACAATGTAAACACTATGTAACTAGTTGTTATGCTGTATTGTTTATTATTTGTAGTACTTTTTAGTATTTTTTACTGTGTATTTTCTGTTTTGTCCAAATATTTTAAAACTACGATTCGTTGAATTTGTGGATGTGGAAACTACAGATATGAAGTGCCACAGTGTGTTTGATTGTTCTTTAATATTCCACATGTAAGTGAATCACGAATTATTTTTCTTTCTGTATTTAGCTTATTTCACTTAGCATAATTTCCTCCAAGCTCATCCATATTATGGCAAATGACAAGATCTCATTCTTGTGTGTGTAAATGACAAGATCTCATTTAAAAGTATGTGGCACCTCCCTGCCTCCATTCTCTCTCTCTTGCTCCCATTCTCGCCATGTGATGTGCCTGCTCCCCCTTTGACTTCTGCCATGATTGGAAGCTTCCTGAGGCCTCCCCAGAAGCAGATGCCACTATGCTTCCTGTAAAGGCTGCAGACCTTGAGCCAATTTCTCCCTTTTAAAATTGGAGCATTCACCCAATGCCTGTACCCTCATTGTGTCTTGGAAGTAACTAACTTGCTTTTGATTTTACAGGATCCTAGGCAGAAAAGACTTGCCTTCTCACAGATAAAACTTTGGTCTTGGACTTCTGGGTTTAGCCTGAAATGAGTTAAGACTTTGGGGGACTGTTGGGAAGGTATAATTGTGTTTTGAAATGTAACAAAGATGAGATTTGGGAGGGGCCAGGGGTGGAATGACTTACTCTGGCACTGTGTCCCCACCCAAATTTCATCTTGAATTTTAATCCAAATTGTAATCCCCACGTTTTGGGGAATGGACTTCTTGGAAGGTGTTTAGATCATGGGGGCAGTTTCATCATGCTGTTCTCATGATAGTGAGTGAGTTCTAATGAGATCTGATGGTTTTATAAGGTGCTTTTCCCCTCTTCACTCTGCACTTCTCCTTCCTGTCACCAAGTGAAGAAGGATGTGTTTGCTCCCCCTTCTGCCATGATTGTAAGTTTCCTGAGGCCTCCCCAGTCCTACGGAACTGTGAGTCAATTAAATTTCCTTCCTTTATAAATTACCCAGTCTTGGGCAGTTCTTTATAGCAGCATGAGAAGGGACTAATACAGTATGTCTAGAAGAGGAAATGCTGAATCACATGGTATATCTATTTTTAATTTCCTTAGAAGCCTCTCTACTTTTTGCCATAACAATTGTACCAATCTACATTTCCACCAACAGCGTACAAGAGTTCACTTTCCTCAACACCCTCGCCACTATTTGTTACCTTTTAACTTGTTGATAATAGTCATCCTAACGGATGTGAGATGATATCTCATAGTGACTTTGATTTGCGTTTTCTTGATGATTAATGATGTTGAGCATGTTTTTATGTACCCATTGATCATTTGTATGTCTTCATTGAAGAAATGTCTATTTAGATCATATGCTTATTTTTATGATTATATTATTTGTTTTTCTACTATTTAGGTGTATGAATTCTTAATATATTTTGAATAGTAACCCCTTATCAGACATATGGCTTGCAAATTTTTTTCCAAATGATAGGTTGCTATTTTATTTTATTTACATATGTATATATATATTCTGTAGAAGAGCTTTATCCTTATGTTACCTTGTTATCTTCTAGAAGTTTTAAAGTTTCTAGTCTTAAATTTAGGTCTTTATTCATTTTTACTTAAGTTTTGTGTTTGGTGTAAGATAAGGGTCCAACTTCATTCTTTTGCATGTGTAAGTCCAGTTTACCCAGCACCACTTATTGAAGAGATAGTCCTTTCCCCATGTGTCTTCTTGGTGCTCTTGCAAAAAATTAGGTGACCATATATGTTTGGATTTATTTCTGGGCTCTCTATCCTAATCCACTCATCTATATGACTGTATTTATGCCAGTGCCGCACTGTTTTATTACTATAGCTTTGTAATATAATTTTCAATTAAGAACTGTGATACCTCCAACTTTGTTTTTCTTTCACAGAATTGTTTTGGATATTTGGGGGTATTTTGTTTCTATACAAATTTCAGGGATTTCTTTTCCATTTTTGTGAAGGATAGCATTGAAATTTTGATAGTGATTGCATTGAATCTATATATTGCTGTGCCTAGTATGGACATTTTAACAATATTAATTCCCCCAATCCATGAGCACAGGATATCATTCCATTTATTTGTGTCCTCCAGATCTACAATTTGAACTTAGTTTCACCAGACCCCAACTACCACTACTAATGGAAAATATTATAATAGCTAATATTTGCTATATTGACTAATAAAGTTAATAACATCCAATAGCTATAATAATAGCTAATTATGACTTAGAATAAGGCATTATCTTAAGTGCCTTACATATGCATTAAATCACTTATCCTCACAAAATCCTAATGTGGTAAATGTTACTATTAGCTCACAATTTATGAATTCAAAAAGAGACACAGATGAGTTAACTAATAAAGATGTCCATGGTCATAGAGCTGATAAGTGATGAAGCTAGGATTGAAATTCATGTTCTTAAACAATATTTTGTACTAGACATTAGTCTATGTGTGTCTAAGGACATATGAGAAATAAGAGAGTTAGTTATGGCCCTGGAAGGACTTGATAAGGTTCTAGTTTGAGAAAGTAAGCATTCACATATGATCTTCTTAAATAAAATAGAATACCCTAATCCTTTTTAAAAATTTAATTCAATTTAATTTAAAGTTCCAGGGTACATGTGCAGGATGTGTAGGTTTGTTACATAGGTAAACATGTGCCATTGTGGTTTGCTGCACCTATCAACCCATTACCTTGGTATTAAGCCTCACATGCATTACCCATTTATCCTGATGCTCTCCCTCCCCTGGCATCCCCCAACAGACCCCAGTGTGTATTCTTTCCCCCGACATGTCCATGTGTTCTCATTGTTCAGCTCCCACTTATAAGTGAGAACATGCAATGTTTGGATTTCTGTTCCTGAATTAGTTTGTTGAGGATAATGGCTTCCAGCTCCATCCATGTGCCTGCAAAGGACATGATCTCATTCCTTTTTATGGCTGCGTAGTGTTTCATGGTATATAGGTACCACATTTTATTTATCCAGTCTATTATTGATGGAAATTGGGGTTGATTTCATGTCTTTGCTATTGTGAATAGTGCTGCAATGAACATATGTGTGCATGTATCTTTATAATAGAATGATTTATATTTCTTTGGGTATATACCCAGTAATGGGATTGCTGGGTCAAACGGTATTTCTGGTTCTAGGTCTTTGAGGAATTGTCACACTGTTTTTTGCAATGGTTGAACTAATTTACATTCCCACCAAGAGTGTAAAGGCATTCCAATTTCTCCACAGCCACACTAGCTTCTGTTTTATCTTGATTTTTTAATAATTGCCGTTCTGACCGGTGTGAGCTGATATCTCATTGTGGTTTTGATTTGCATTTCTCTAATGATCAGTGATGTTGAGCTTTTTTCATATGTTTGTTGGACACATAAATGTCTTCTTTGAGAAGTGTCTGTACATGTTCTTTGCCCAGTTCTTAATGGAGTTGCTTGTTTTTTTCTTATACATTTGTTTAAGTTTCTCGTAGACTGCATATGAGACCTCTGCCAGATGGATAGATTGCAAAAATTTTCTCCCATTCTGTACGTTGTCTGTTCACTCTAATGGTATTTCCTTTTGCTGTGCAGAAGCTCTTTAGTTTAATTAGATCCCATTTGTCAACTTTTTCTTTTGTTGCAATTCCTTTGGTGTTTTTGTCATGAAATTTTTGCCCATGCCCATGTCCTGAATGGTATTGCCTAGATTATCGTCTAGGATTCTTATAGTTATGGGTTTTATATTTAAGTCTTTAAACCATCCAGAGTTATTTTTATTTCATAAGTTAAAAAAATTAACAGGAATATTTGGTTACATGAGTAAGTTCCTTAGTGGTGATTTGTGAGATTTAGGGGCACCCACCACCCGATCAGTATACAATGCACCATATTTGTAGTCTTTTATCCCTTGCCCCCTTCCACTCTTCCCCCTAAGTCCCCAAAGTCCATCATATCATTGTTATGTGTTTGCGTCCTCAAAACTTAGCTCCCAAGCATCAGTGAGAACATACAATGTTTGGTTTTCCATTCCTGAGTTACTTCACTTAGAATAATAGTATGCAATCTCATCTAGGTCACTACAAATGCTGTTAATTCATTCCTTTTTATGGCTGCATAGTATTCCATCATATATATATATTCTCATATATATATTCACATATATATATTCTCATATATATATTCACATATATATATTTTCATATATATTCACATATATATATTTTCATATATATATTCACATATATATATTTTCATATATATATTCACATATATATATTTTCATATATATATTCACATATATATATTTTCATATATATATTCACATATATATATTTTCATATATATATTCACATATATATATTTTCATATATATATTCACATATATATATTTTCATATATATATTCACATATATATATTTTCATATATATATTCACATATATATATTTTCATATATATATTCACATATATATATTTTCATATATATATTCACATATATATATTTTCATATATATATTCACATATATATATTTTCATATATATATTCACGTATATATTTTCATATATATATTCACGTATATATTTTTTCATATATTCACGTATATATTTTTTCATATATATATTCACGTATATATGTTTTCATATATATATTCACGTATATATGAAAACATATATATGTGAATATGTATATATGAAAACATATATACGTGAATATATATATGATGGAATACTATGTATATATGGAATATATATTCACATATATATATTTTCATGTGTGTGTGTGTGTGTGTATATATATATATATATATACACACACACACACACACACCACAGTCTCTTTATTCACTGATTGATTGATGGGCATTTGGGTTGGTTCCATGATTTTGCAATTGTGAATCATGCTGCTATAAACATGCATGTGCAAGTATGTTTTTCGAATAATGACTTCTTTTCCTCTGGGTAGATAACCAGTAGTGGGATTGCTGGATAAAATGGTAGTTCTACTTTTAGTTCTTCAAGGAATCTCCACACTGTTTTCCACAGCAGCTGCACTAGTTTATATTCCCACCAGCAGTGTAGAAGTGTTCCCTGTTCATGTTCACACCAACATCTGTTTTTTGATTTTTTGATTATGGCCATTCTTGCAGGAGTGAGATGGTATTGCACTGTGGTTTTGATTTGCATCTCCCTGATCATTAGTGATGTTGAGCATTTTTTCGTACGTTTATTGGCCATTTGTACATGATCTTTTAAGAATTGTCTATTCATGTCCTTAGCCCACATTTGGATGGGATTGTTTAGTTTTTTCTTACTGATGTATTTGAGTTCATTGTAGATTCAGGATATTAGTCCTTTGTCAGATGTATAGATTGTGAGGATTTTCTCCCACTCTGTGGGTTGTCTGTTTACTCTGCTGACTGTTCCTTTTGTCATGCAAAAGCTCTTTAGTTTAATTAGGTCCCAGCTATTTATCTTTGTTTTTATTGCATTTGCTTTTGGGTCCTTGGTCATGAAATCCTTGCCTAAGATAATATCTGGAAGAGATTTTCCAATGTCATATTCTAGAATTTTTATAGTTTCAGGTATTAGGTTTAAGTTTTTAATCCATCTTGAGTTGATTTTTGTATAAAGTGAGAGATAAGAATCAAGTTTCATTCTCCTACATGTGGCTAGCCAATTATCCCAGCACCATTTGTAGAAAAGGGTGCCCTTTCTGCACTTTATGTTTTTCTTTGCTTTATCAAAGATCAGTTGGCTGTAAGTATTTGGATTTATTTCTGGGTTCTCTATTCTGCTATTCTCTATTCCACTGGTCTATGTGCCTATTTTTGCACTAGTACCATGCTGTTTGGGAGAATCTGGCCTTATAGTAGAGTTTGAAATCGGGTAGTGTGATGCCTCCAGATTTGTTCTTTTTGTTTAGTCTTGCTGTGGCTATGCAGGCTCTTTTTTGGTTCCATATGAATTCTAGAATTGTTTTTTTTCTAATTCTGTGAGGAATTATGGTGGTATTTTGGTGGCGATTACATTAAATTTGTAGATTGCTTTTGGCAATATGGTCTTATTCACAATATTGACTCTACCCATCCATGAGCATGGGATGTGTTTCCATATATTCATGTTGTCTATGATTTCTTTCAGTGCATTTTGTAGTTTTCCTTGTAGAGGTCTTTCAACTCCTTGGTTAGGTATATAGGTATATTCCTAAGTTTTTTGGTTTTTTGTTTGTTTGTTTTTTTTTTTTTTTTCAGCTAATGTAAAAGGTGTTGAGTTCTTGATTTGATTCTCCACTTGGTTGCTGTTGGTGTCTAGAAGAGCTACTAATCTTGTATCTGGAATCTTTGCTGAATTTTTTTTTATCAGTTCTAGGAGCTATCTGTAGGAGTCCTTAGGGTTTTCATGGTAAATGTTGATATCGTCAGCAAACAGTAACATTTTTGACTTCCTTTTTCCTGATATGGATGCCCTTTATTTCTTTCTCTAGGCTGATTGCGGTGGCCAGGACATCCAGTAACTACCATGTCGAAGAGGAGTGGTGAGAGTGGGCATCTTTGTCTTGCTCCAGTTCTCAGAGGGAATGCTTTCAACTTTTCCCCATTCAATGTTATGTTGGCTGTGGGTTTGTCATAGATGGCTTTTAATACATTGAGATATGTCCCTTGTATGCCAGTTTTGCTGACAGTTTAAATCATAAAGGTTGCTGGATTTTGTCAAATGCTTTTTCTGCATCTATTGAAATAATAATGTGATTTTTGTTGTTAATTCTCTTTATGTGGTGTATCACATTTATTAACTTGCGTATGTTAAACCATCCCTGCATCCCTGGTATGAAACCCACTTGATCATGGTGGATTATCTTTTTGATATGTTGTTGTATTCAGTTAGCTAGTATTTTGTTAAGGATTTTAGCATCCTTGTTCATCAAGGATATCTGTCTGTAGTTTTTTTTTTGTTTTTTTTTTTTTGGTTATGTCCTTTCCTGGTTTTGGTATTAGAGTGATGCTGCCTTCATGGAATGAATTAGGGAGGGTTTCTTCTTTCTCAATCTTGTGGAATAGTGTTAAAAGGATTGGCATCAATTCTTCTTTGAATGTCTGGTAGAGTTTTGCTGTGAATCTGTCTTTGAATTAACCCAATCCAACAAAGACAAAGAAAAAAGAATTAGAAAATATGAACAAAGCCTCCAAGACGTCAGGGATTGTATTAAAGAACCTAACCTAAGGATAATTGTTGTTCCTGAGGAAGAAGGGAAATCTAAAAGTTTGAATTATTTGGGGGAATAATCGAGGAAAGCTTCCTTGGCCTTGCTAGAGAACTTGACATCCAAATATAAGAAGCACAAAAAACACCTGGGAAATTCATCACAAAAATATCATTGCCTAGGCACATTGTCATCAGGTTATCTAAAGTTAAGGTGAAGGAAAGAATCTTAAGAGCTGTGAGACAAAGCACCAGGTAAACTATAAAGGAAAACCTATCAGATTAACAGCAGATTTTTCAGCAGAAACCCTACAAACCAGAAAGGATTGGGGCCCTATCATCAGCCTCCTCAAACAAAATAATTATCAGACAAGAACTTTGTATCCAGCAAATGTAAGCATCATATATGAAGGAAAGATACAGCCTTTTTCAGACAAACAAAAACTGAGAGAATTCACAACTACTGAGCCACCACTACAAGAACTGCTAAAAAAAAGAGTTCTAAATCTTGAAACAAATCCTGGAAACACATTAAAACAGAACCTCTTTAAAGTCTGAATCACACAGGACCTATAAAACAAAACTACAATTTAAAAAGCAAAAACAAAAAACAAAAAAACCTAGGTACACAGGCAACAAATAGCCCAATGAATGGAATGGTATCTCACATCTCAATACTAACATTAAATGTAAATGACCTAAATGTTCCACTTAAAAGTTACAGAACTGCAGAATGGATAAGAATTCACCAACCAACTATCTGCTGCCTTCAGGAGACTCACCTAAGACATAAGGACTCACAGAAACTTAAAGTAAAGGGGTAGAAAAGGGCATTTTATTCAAATGGACAGCAAAAGCAAGCAGGCGTAGCTATTCTTATATCAGACCAAACAAACTTTAAAGCCACATCAGTTAAAGAAGATAAAGAGGGACATTATATAAGGGTAAAAGGCCTTGTCCAACAGGAAAATATTACAATCCTAAACATACATGCACCTAACACTGGAGCTCTCAAATTTATAAAACAATTACTACTAGACCTAAGAAATGAGATAGACAGCATCACAATAATAGTGGGAGACTTCAACACTCCACTGACAGCACTAGAGAAGTCATCAAGACAGAAAGTCAACAAAGAAACATGGATTTAAGCTATACCTTGGAACAAATGGAGTTAACAGATATATACAGAACATTTCATCCAAAAACTGCAGAATACACATGTATTCAACAGTGCATGAAACTTTCTCCAAGATAGACCATGATAGGCCATAAAATGAGCCTCAATAAATTTAAGAAAATTGAAATTATATCAAGCACTCTCTCAGACCACAGTGCAATAAAACTTGAAATCATCTCCAAAAGGAACCTTCAAAACCATGGAAATACATGGAAATTGAATAACTTTCTCCTGAATGAGCATTGGGTCAAAAATGAAATCAAGTTGGAAATTAAAAAATTATTCAAACTGATTGACAGTAATGACATAACCTATCAAAACCTCTGGGATATAGCAAAGGCGGTGCTAAGAGGAAAGTTCATAGCCCTAAACACCTACATCAAAAAGACTGAAAGAGCACAAACTGACACTCTAAGGTCACACCTCAAGGAACTAGAGAAACAAGAAAAAACCAAACCCAAACACAGCAGAAGAATGGAAATAACCAAGATCAGAGCAGAACTAAATGAAATTGAAACAAACAAACAAACAAAAAGCAATACAAAAGATAAATGAAACAGAGCTGGTCCTTTGAAAAGATAAATAACATTGATAGACCATTGGAAAGATTAACCAAGAAAAGAAGAGAGAAAATTCAAATAACCTCACTAAGAAATGAAACAGGAGATATTACAACTGACACCACTGAAATACAAAAGATCATTCAAGGCTACTATGAACACCTTTACACATATAAACTAGAAAACCTAGAAGAAATGGATAAATTTCTGGAAAAATACAACCCTCCTAGCTTAAATCAGGAAGAAATAGATACCCTAAACAGACTAATTGATGTGTAAGGTGTAAGGAAGGGATCTAGTTACAATTTTCTGCATGTGGCTAGCCATTTTCCCAGCACCATTTATTAAACAGGAAATTCTTTCCTGATTGCATGTTTTTTTCAGGTTTGTCAAAGATCACCTGGCTGCTGATGTGCAGTCTTATTTCTGAGATCTCTATTCTGTTCCATTGGTCTACATGTCTGTTTTTGTACCAGTATCATGATTTTTTGGTTACTGTAGCCTTGTAGTATAGTTTGGAGTTGGGTAGCATGATGTTTCCAGCTTTCTTCTTTTTGCATAGGATTGTTTTGGCTCTACGGGCCCCTTTCTGGTTCCATATGAATTTTAAAGTAGTTTTTTCTAATTCTGTGATAAATGTCAATGGTAGTTTAATGAGAATAGCATTGAATCTGTAAATTACTTTAGACACTATGGCCATTTACACAATATTGATTCTTTCTATCCATGAGCATGGAATGTTTTTCCATTTGCTTGATTCCTCTCTGATTTCATTGAACAGTGGTTTGTAGTTCTCCTTGAAGAGGTCCTTCCCTTCCCTTGTTAGCTGTATTCCTAGCTTTTTATTTTCTTTGTAGCAATTGTGAATGGCAGTTCATTCATGATTTGGCTCTTTGCTTGTCTATTGTTGGTGCATAGGAATGCTTGTGATTTTTTGCACATTGATTTTGTATCTGGAGACTTTGCTGAAGTTGCTTATTAGCTTAAGAAGCTTTTGGGCTGAAACGATGGGGCTTTCTAAATATGGGATTATATCATCTGCAAAAAGAGACAGTTTGGATTATGTCATCTGCAAAAAGAGACAGTTTGACTTCCTCTCTTCCTATTTGAATACACTTTGTTTTTCTCTTGCCTTCTTGCCCTGGTCAGGACTTCCAGTACTATGTTGAACAGGAGTGGTGAGGGAGGGTATTCTTGTCTTGTACTGATTTTCAAGGATACCCTATTCTGAGGAATAAGAATTGTGGGTTCTGTGTTAGTATTATAGGAGGATGTTTTATGAAATTGGTAACATTAGAATGTTATTTAGAAGGTGTTGATGATATTGAAAATTTTAATATTGCTCTAAGTTGCAGCTTATAGAATCATCTTCTAATAAATACGTGCTAAAATTTCCCACTGGGGACATAATGGCAACTGGCCTGAAGGTGAAAAGATGCAGAATGTTATACAACTTTCTAGCAAAGCATACAGGAAAAATATGATTTAATAAAATGTCATAAATTTCAGCATATACTCCAAAGAATTGAAAACGGATGTTCAAACAAAACCTCGTATGGAAGTGTTCACAGCAACACTCTTTGCTATAATGAAGAATTGGAAACAACCCAAATGTTTGTTAACCAATGAATGGATTTTTAAAAAGTTGTATATGCACACAATGAAATAGCATTCAGCGTTAAAAAGGAATGCTAACCTCAAATACATTACACTAAGTGAAAGAAACGAAGACACCAAAGGCCACATGTTGTGTGATTTTGCGTATGTGAAATATCCTGAACAGGTAAATCCATAGAGACAGAAAACTGGTTAGTGGTTGCAAGGAACAAGGGTGAAGGAGGAAAGGAGAGGGACTGCTTAATGACTATAGGGTTTTCTTTTGGGATAATGAAAACATTCTGGAAGTAGATAGTGGTGATTGTTGCATGACATAGTGAATGTTTTAAATGTCAATAGTGGTAAATTTTATGATATGTGTATTTTACCACAATAAAAAGTCATAATTCTCACTCAGATCTATAGGAGGACCTTCAAGAGATTTTAAATAGGATCTGATTGAACATTATGCTAAGTGAAATAATTCAGTCACAAATAGACAAATATTGTATGATTCCACTTATGTGAGGTATTTGAAGTAGTCAAATTTATAGAGACCAAAAGAATGGTGATTGCCAGGGGCTGGGGGAGGAAAGAATTAGGAGTTCTTGGTTATTGGGTAGAAAGTTTTAGTTTTAATAGGATGAAAAAGTTCTGGACATCTGTTACATGACAATGGGAGTATAATTAACACTAATAAACTCTACACGTAAACATGGTAAAGTTGGAAAATTTTATGTTGTACTACAATTTAAAATTATATATACATACATAAAATAGGATGTGTTTCTTTTAATTTCTTATTTTTAATCTTTGTGGGCACATAATAGATTACATATTTATGGGTTATGCTATATTTTGATACAGATAGACAATGCATAATAATCACATCAGGGTAAAAGGGTATCCATCCCCTCAATTATTTATCTTTCCTTTGTGTTACAAAAATTCAATTATACTCTTCTAGTTATTTTTAAATGTACAAAAATTATTGCTTACTATAGGCACCCTGTTGTGGTATCAAATACTAGATCTTATTCATTCTATCTAACTATTCTTTCACACCCATTAACCATTCCCACTTTTCCCCATCACCCCACTACCAATTCCAGATGCTGGTAACAATCATTTTAGTCTCTATACCCATGAGATCAACTGGTTTAGTTTTTAGCTCCCACAAATTAGTGAGAACATGCAAAGTTTGTCTTTCTGTGCCTGGCTTCTTTCACTTAACATGATGAACTCCGGTTCCATCCATATAGTTGCAAATGACAAGATCTCTTTCTTTTTATGGCCGATAGTACTCCATTGTGTGTAAGTACCACATTTTTTTTATCCATTTATCTGTTGATGGACACTTAGGTTGCTTCCAAATCTTAGCTATTGTTAACAGTGTTGCAACAAACAGGAGTGCAGCTATCTCTTTGATATATTGATTTCCTTTCTTTTGGGTATATACCCAACAGTGAGATTGCTGGATCATATGGTAGCTAAATTTTTATTTTTATTTTTTTGAGGTACCTCCAAACTGTTCTCCATAATGATTGCACTAATTTACATTCCCATCCACAGTATACGAGGATTCCTTTTTCCCCACATCCTTGCCAGCATTTGTTATTGCATGATTTTTGAGTATGAGCCATTTTAACTGGGATGAGATGATATCTTACTGTAGTTTTTATTTGCATTTATCTGATGATCAGTTATGTTGAGCACTTTTTCATATGCCTATTTGCCATTTGTATGTCTTCTCAGAAATGCGTACTTGAATCTTTTGCCCATTTTTTGATCCGATTATTCCATTTTTTCTGTAGAGTTCTTTGAGCTCCTTATATATTCTGGTTATTAATCCCTTGTCAGAGGGATAGTGTGTAAATATTTTCTCCCATTTTACAGGTTGCTTCTGCACTTTGCTGATTGTTTCCTTTACTGTGCAGGAGATTTTAACTTAATGTGACCCTATTTTTCCATTTTTGCTTTGGTTGCCTGTGCTTGTGAGGTATTATTTAAGAAATCTTTGCCCAGTCCATGTCCTTGAGAGTCTCCCCAATGTTTTCTTTCAGTAATTTCATATTCTGAGGCCTTAGATTTAAGTCTTTAATCCATTTTGGTTTGATTTCTGTATATGGTGAGAGACGGGGATCTAGTTTCATTCTTCTGCATGTGGATATCCAAGATTCCCAGCACTATTTATTGAAGAGACTGACCTTTGCCAATGTATGTTCTTGGGACCTTTGTTGAAAATGAGTTCACTGTAGTTGTATGGATTTGTTTCTGAGTTCTCTATTGCCTACCATTGGTCTATGTGTATGATTTTATGCTGGTACCATACCATTTTGGTGACTATAACTGTAGTATAATTTGAAGTCTGGTAATCTGATTCCTCCAGTTTTGTTCTTTATGCTCAAGATAGCTTTGGGTATTTTTGGCCTTTTGTGGTTGCATACAAATGTGAGGATTGTTTTTTCTATTATTATGAAGAATGTCGTTGGTATTTTGATGAGGATTGTATTGGATTTGTAGATTGCTTTGGATAGTATGGACATTTTAACAATACTGAGTCTTCCAATCCACGAACACAGAGTATCTTTTCATTTTTTGTGCCCTCTTCAATTTTCTTTTATCAGTGTTTCATAGTTTTCATTGTAGAGATCTTTCACTTCTTTGGTTAATTCCTAGGGGTTTTTTGTAGCTATTGTAAATGTGATTACTTTTTTTACTTTCTTTCAGATTGCTCACTGTTGGTGTATATAAATGCTACTGATATTTGGATGGGGATTTATTATCCTGTAACTTTACTGAATTTGTTTAACAGTTCTGATAGTCCTTTGTTGGGGTCTTCTGGTTTTTCCAAATATAAGATCTTATCATCTGCAAACAAGGATAGTTTGACTTCTTCCTTTCCAATTTGGATGCCCTTTATTTATTTTTCTTTAAGTGTAAGCAAGTTTATTAGGAAAGTAAAGAAATAAAAGAATGGCTACTTCATAGGCAAAGCAGTCCCAAGGGCTGCAGTTTGGCTATTTTTATGGTTATTTCTTGATTACATGCCAAACAAGTGGTGGATTATTTATGAGTTTTCCAGGAAACAGGTAGGCAATTCCCAGAATTGAGGGTTCCTCCTCTTTTTAGACCAGATAAGGTAACTTCCTGACATTACCATGGCATTTGTAAACTGTCATGGTGCTGGCAGGAGTGTCTTTTAGCATGCTAATACATTATAATTAGTGCATAATGAGCAGTGAGGATGACCTGAGGTCACTTTCATCACCATCTTGGTTTTGGTGGGTTTTTGCCAGCATCTTTACCACAACATATTTTATCAGCAAGGTCTTTTTGACCTGTGTCTGGTGCCAACCTCCTATCTCATCCTGTGACTTAGAATACCTAACCTCCTGGGAATTCAGCCGAGTATGTCTCAGCCTCACTTTACCCAGCCCCTATTCAAAATGGAATCACTCTGGTTCAAATGCCTTTGACATTTTTTCCCTCCCTTTTATAAAGGAACCCTTAATCCTAAGGGTTATAGAGGAATGAAGATCCATTTTCTGTAACTTCTTCAGGCTGAATAGGGGCAATGATATTCCTGCCTATTATGGTCTCTTGTATTCAGTGTAGAGAGGAACTCAGTCAGAAAGGATTGGTATGTCAAGGACCATTCATAACTCTGAGTTCTGACAAAAGATGATATCTAGGAGATTAATAAGGGTTCAATTTAAGAAAATATTCAGTAAGCTTCTCCTGCATTCCTACTCAAAGAGTATAACAGCAATATATTTCACAACAGTAAAGCAAAATTAGTAAAATTATCTCAAGTAAAATAAATTAGAAGGTTTTCCATGAACTGGTAAACTATTGGAACTAAGCTGATATGGGACTGCTAGCTGATTCCAATATATACCCAGAATTAGAATATTGATCAAGATTTTTACATTACCCATCCCTCTTGTTTTTTCTGAGCTGCAGTCAGAGATCACTGATTGGCTCACAGGAATAAGCAGGGTTAGTCTAAATTGCAAGAAAAAAAAAAATTAAAAACCACTGATGAGACTAGAATCTAGTAACAGGTTACTATAGTTTTTGAAAAGTATTTTTTTCTCTTCAGTCTCCCATTTTTACTAAAGACAAATCATAATAGGACCAGTTCATTTGCAAAAATAAGCCTTAGTCTTACATTTACCCTGATTGTTTGTATAAAGTGCAGCAAGAATAATGTTTCACATAGGCTTTTAAAATTGGCTTTGATGGAGCTCTGTTCCATAAGGAATCTCAGATAAAACTTTTTTAAAAGCTCAGCCCAGCCATAGATTTGTACTCTCAAACACCTATGACTTGGGTAAATTCCTCTACTCTTGGGTCACAAGATAACTTGTGGGTCCTGGGCCAGTCAGAAAGTGACATTCTTTACTTACCCTAGGTCGTATAGACACTGTGTCCACAAGGTATGAGGCCAGTTTTCCCAAGGGGCTTTTATTAGCTCTACAAATCAAGTTTGATTCTTTAAAGGAAAGCATGCCATTCCAATCAAAGCATTTGTAAAGTAACCAGTTTCTCCAATTGTGTCCTGTTGCAAAACACTCTTATTGCACTTATGCAAATAACTATATTGCCATCAATTAAGCATAGTCACAAATAGTTTCCAAATTCTGGAAAAATCAGGTAGAGAGAAACAAATATGCTCCAAATTTTGCTCACAAGAGTATACTTTACTCAATTGTTAAAAGCTGTAAATAGCTCAAAAGAAAAGTTTATTTGACTCTGAAAAATAAAACAAAGGATTAACAACATTTTAAGCAAAAAGTCAGAAAAATACTTCAGTCTTCTATTAGTTCAGTCCATGCTGTTAACTCCTGTTTCATTTGATATTCGTAAACATCTCAGCTCTCCATGAGAGTCCTGAAAGTTTTTCCCTCTATTCTAATGTCACAATCTCCAAAGTTTTTAGCAAACTGCATTCAAGAGCACCTGTCAAAGTCCTATAGCTGATTATAAACCACCTTTTGTAAAGGATCAAAACAAGACAACAATTGTGGATGACAAAAAGTCTTAGGACAGCCACAATTAAAGCCATAATTGAATAGGAATTTTGGTTACTTCTGTGGCATACAACAAGTTAACATAAAAATTACAACTATTAAAGACATACACTAAGTCATATCAGAATTATAGAAGTTTTTCATAATTTTGGAACACATAATATAACAACATATTTAAACAAATACAGTCCAACGTATGTCAAACACCATTTCATATTGACAATGGTTCCTCTATGACTTTTACATCAAATAAGCCAAATATGTCAGTTTTGGACTTTAGGGGACCTAATATTTTAAAGATTAATTTGGTCAGAAAAAGACATAATTTATAATTTGATTTTTGAAAGTTTGTCAAGTATCAAAGGTTTAAGATACTTTATATTATAAAATCAAATCCCAGATTACCATAAGTCATTCATTTAGCCAAAATGATAGCTCAAAAATTTAAAAAGGCAAAAACCTTTACTCATTAAGAGGGAAGAAGTAGCTTTCCAATCTGTCTTTTTTTTCCTTCTTTTTCCTGTAGTTGATTCAAAAGGCAAACTAAAATCTTTAATTTTTAAATGATTACATAAAAATCTTTTTCAAGAGAAAAACCCACATTTCACACTTGCATTAGTGTACTATTAATGTCAACCCAATTTTTACTAAAATCTTACAGGTAAATCTATCCAATCTTAATTACTTTGACCATAAGATAAAATTCTCATAAATCTTTTATAACAGTTTACAATTTTTGTCAAAAGCACATCATTGCTCTCAGGAAACCCTGTTGTGCTTTTACTCCCATGCTCAATTTACAAATAAACTGAATAATACCCCTTTAATTTTAGCCAATATATTCACACATAGAATTTCTTTCATAAGATTAATTTTTCACAAACCTGCCACAACTTGTTCAAACCTTTACCTTTTTCCTATCTAACTGGAAATAACTGTTCAATTCTCTAAACCAGACCAGGAAAAAAAAAATCCACATTCCCATGCCTTCTTATAATTTTTTACCAAAACCACATTTCGCTTTCCTTACACACCTTGCATATAAAATTGTTCTTCTTTCCCAAAGCTTACTAAAGTCACTATAGTTTTTATTCTTTTGACAAAATATTTGATTTAAGTGCTTATTATTTTTAAGCCAATTAATCAGAGTTCTTTTATATGTAAACATCACACACGACACATATAAATACTGACAGAAGATCTACTAGTTGTAAGATTTTCCATTTGCCAGTTTTTAAGTTTCTCTTTAAAGCATGCAGTTTCTATGACTTAATAAGCAGGTGCAACTGGAAGGCAAAACAAATCCCCAAAAATTAAAGGTCTAATTTTTATACTAGATCTTAGATTGTAAAAAAGAGACAAGCAGCCCATCTCTCATGGGAGTCTTATCTCTCAATGGGGCCTGGGGACATTTCTGTACCTTCTAGGTTGCCAAGAGCATGCTTCTCTAATTCAAACATACAAAGAGCTGACTATCTTCTCATAACTGTGATTAGCTATCCCCAAAACTATATTTCCTACCTAGTGATTATACACCAAAGCTCTCTCACAATGTAAAGTAATTTCTGATACCCCTGGAAGTAAAAAATGTCAGATAATGCAATGCAAAACGTAACAAAGCCTTATATTTTGAGAGGGAACTATCCACTTTTAATTCCTGGGGTTCCATGAGGAAAACAGAGATTTTTCCCAAAATGGGGTCTATGGTGCCGCTTATATATTTCCTGAAGAGTCCCAGGCTGTTAGAGCTTGAATATTTGCTTTTAATTAAGCTGACTTTTAACCATAGCACTCTAAAAAAATCCTTTTAAATCTCCTATTGCCCAGCTTTAGCCAGGCCAAACAGCCGATATTTCTAGTTTTTGAACTTTACAAAAGTAGCCTCCCAGGTGCTCAGAGGAAGGAAAATTAAAGATGGTTCATGGAAGGGAAGAGAATCAACAAATTGTAAAGGTCATGCAGATATCAAACCAGAAAGGACTCATTCCCTAAGCTAGGAATTGAACGTTAACCCAGACAGCCAGTGTGAAAAGACAAAGCCTTAACTACTAAGCTACAGCACTGGGCAGTTTCCATTGCTCTTCGAATAAGGAGTCTAGAGTAGCCAATTTTGAGCTTGTAAAGGTTTTTAACTGCTTGAGACAATTTTTAAGGCTATGATGTGAACTCCAAAATTCCTGTTCCCTCAATGGTGGAGACCAAAAAGAAGTACTGCCACGTGGTTACAAGGTTAAGCTCCCAAGAACATAGAACAAGATAAGATAAAAACTTCATCCAGTTTTGTTTGTTTGTTTCAGAGACCTGCAGCAAAGTTTGTTACAGACCAGCTTGCTGGGCTGTCTTGAACAGTGGGCTTATGGGGTCCTCAGCCCATGCTCTATCGTAAGGTGCTCCTCTTTATGACAAAACGACACAGAAAGGCAAATTTATACCACAAAGTACACTAGATTCGCTACAGCTTAAGACACATTAGCCACTCTGCTTAGCACCTAATATTGAACTAGCAAGGCTCGGTCTTGCTCCTGATTGTGACCTGTCATCTTTAATCCATTCAAAATGTATTAAAAGAGTTTCAACATGTGGTCTCTGGGCAAGATGGTCATCCTGAGTAACAGAAAAGGTAAGAAAGGGAAAGGAGAGAAAGGGAAATAATAAAGCATTGCCTGTGGCAGGGTGGTGAAGGCCAAGCATTCCAGGAGACCAGAGAAAGACAACCCACTCATTGCAATGACACTGAGTCAAAAGTTCAGGTGGCCACTTGTCAGTCAGAAGGGATATTGTTCAGCAGTCCCATCAGCTCTCAAGTTTCCCCCTTTAGGAAAGCAAAAGCTCCCCATGTCCTGTGATCCTGTACATGCCGAATCCTGTCACTCACAGCCATCAGCAAAGAATGCAAGGCAGATTAATCCAAAGAGAATAGCAGTTAACATCCCATAATGCCAAATCCCTTCTTAGCCAAGAGGGACTTACTGAGGGGGCCTCTAACCCCTTAAATCTTAGGAAGAACTCCAACCTTCATAAGGTGAGCCTCGAATCCAAGATTGTTCAAGCATTCTTGACTTTTATTAAGAGGGGCCTTTAACCCTCTCTGTCTTAGGAGAGACTCTAACTCCCTTAAGTTGAGCCTCTAACCCAATCTCATACTTTACCCAGGTAAAATGCACCCCACCACTTACCCAAAGTTGGTCAATTGATGCTGCAGCCTATTTCCTTTGGGTTAGGGTCTCCTCAGTATTATTCCTTTGTGGTTTGCCAGGAAGGTGTTACCAAAAGGGAATCCTGATTCAGACTGCAAAAGAGTGTTCTTGCATCTCATGCAAGAAAGAATTTTGGGTGAGTCCATATTGTAAAGTGAAAACAAGTTTATTAGGAAAGTAAAGGAATAAAAGAATGGCTACTCCATAGGAAGAGCAGCCTCATTATTTCTTTCTCTTGCCTGATTGCTCTAGCTAGGACTTCCAGTACTACGTTGAGTAACAGTAGTGAAAGTAAGCAACCTTGTCATGTTCCAGATCTTAGAGGAAAGGATTTCAGTTTTTCCCCATTCAGTATAGTATTTGTGGGTCTGTGATATATGGCTTTTATTATATTGAGGTATATTCCGTTCATACCCAGTTTTTTGAGGGTTATTACCATGAAGGGATGTTAAAATTTTATCAAACACTTTTTTAACATCAATTGAAATGATCATATTGTTTTGTCCTTCAATATGTTTCTATGATATATCACATTTATTGATTTGCCTATGTTGAACCATCCTTGTATCCCTGGAAAGAATCTCACTTGGTCATAATGAACAATCTTTTAAATTTATTGTTGAATGCCATTAGTATTTTGCTGAGTATTTTGGATCAATTTTCATCAGGGGTATTGACCTATAGTTTTCTTTTTTTGTTGTGTCTTTGTCTCCTTTTGATATCAGGGTAATACTGGCCTCATAAAATGAGTCTGGAAGTATTTCCTTCTCTTCTCTTTTTTGAAGTAGTTTGAGTAGGATTGTTAAAAGTTCTTAAATATTTAATAAATTTCAGCAGCGAAACCATTGAGTACCAGGCTTTTCTTTGCTGGGATACATTTTATTATGGCTTCAATCTTGTTAGTTGTTATTGGTAAGTTCAGGTTTTGGATTTTTTCATGATTCAAACTTGGTAGGTTTTTTGTGTCTACAAATTTTTCTATTTCTTCTAGATTTTCCATTTTATTGGCATATAGTTGCACATAGTAGCCATTAATGATACTTTGAATTTCTGCAGCATTTGTTGTAATGTCTTCTTTTTCATCTCTGATTTTATTCATTATGGCTTTCTCTCATTTTTCTTAGTTAATCTGGATAAAGATGTGTTGACTTTGTTTATCTTTTTAAAAATCTAACTTTTCCTTTCACTGATTTACTGTTTTATTTGTTTCAACTTCATTTATTTCTGCTACGATCTTTATTATTTATTTTCTTCTACTAATGTTTGGGTTGATTTGCTCTTGTTTTTCTAGTTCCTTAAGATGCATCATTAGGTGTTTCTTTGACGTTTTTCTACTTTTTTGATGTAGGCGCTTATATCTATAAACTTTCCTCATAGTACTACTTTCAGTATATCCCATAGGTTGTGCTATGTTGTATTTCTATTATCATTTGTTTCAAGAAATTTTCAGTTTTATTCTTAATTTCTTCATTGACCCACTTGCAATTCAGTAGCATATTCTTTAATTTCCATGGGTTTGTATAATTTCTAAAATTCCTTCCGTTACTGATTTCTAGTTTTATACCATTGTCGTCAGAGAAGATACTTGATATAATTTCATCTTTTTGGCCAAGTGCAGTGGCTCATGCCTCTAATCCCAGCACTTTGGGAGGCGGAGGTGGGCGGATTACTTGAGGTTAGGAGTTCGAGACCAGCCTGACCAAAATAATGAAACCCTGTCTCTACAGAAAATACAAAAATTAGCCAGGCATGGTGGTGGGCACCTTTAATCTCGGCTACTCAGGAGGTTAGGCAGGAGAATTGCTTGAGCCCAGGAGGCAGAGGTTGCAGTGAGCTGAGATCATACCACTGCACTCCAGCCTGGAGTGACAGAGTGAGACTACATCTCAATAATAACAATAATAATAATAATAATTTCTATTTTTGTAATTTTGAAGACTTGTTCTGTGGCCAGACATATCATGTATCCTTAAGAATAATCCAGAGAGGAGCCAAGATGGCCAAATAGGAACAACTCTGGTCTACAACTCCCAGCGTGAGCAACGCAGAAGATGGGTGATTTCTGCATTTCCATCTGAGGTACCGGGTTCATCTCACTACGGAGTGCCAGACAGTGGGTGCAGGTCAGTGGGTGCGCGCACTGTGCGTGAGCCGAAGCAGGGCGAGGCATTGCCTCACTCGGGAAGTGCAGGGGTTAAGGGAGTTCCCTTTCCTAGTCAAAGAAAGGGGTGACAGACGGCACCTGGAAGATTGGGTCACTCCCACCCAAATACTGTGTTTTTCCAATGGGCTTAAAAAACGGCACACCAGGAGGTTGTGTCCCACACCTGGCTCAGAGGGTCCTATGCCCACAGAGTCTCGCTGATTGCTAGCACAGCAGTCTGAGATCAAACTGCAAGGCAGCAGCGAGGCTGGGGGAGGGGCGCCCGCCATTGCCCAGGCTTGCTTAGGTAAACAAAGCAGCCAGGAAGCTCCAACTGGGTGGAGCCCACCACAGCTCAAGGAGGCCTGCCTGCCTCTGTAGGCTCCACCTCTGGGGGCAGGGCACAGACAAACAAAAAGACAGCAGTAAACTCTGCAGACTTAAGTGTCCCTGTCTGACAGCTTTGAAGAGAGCAGTGGTTCTCCCAGCACGCAGCTGGAGATCTGAGAATGGGCAGACTGCCTCCTCAAGTGGGTCCCTGACACCTGACCCCAGAGCAGCCTAACAGGGAGGCACCCCCTTGCAGGGACAGACTGACACCTCACACGACCGGGTACTCTAACAGACCTGCAGCTGAGGGTCCTGTCTGATAGAAGGAAAACTAACAGAAAGGACATCCACACCAAAAACCCATCTGTACATCACCATCATCAAAGAACAAAAGTAGATAAAACCACAAAGATGGGGAAAAAACAGAGCAGAAAAACTGGAAACTCTAAAAAGCAGAGCGCCTCTCCTCCTCCAAAGGAACGCAGTTCCTCACCAGCAACGGAACAAAGCTGGATGGAGAATGACTTTGATGAGCTGAGAGAAGAAGGCTTCAGACGATCAAATTACTCTGAGCTACGGGAGGACATTCAAACCAAAGGCAAAGAAGTTGAAAACTTTGAAAAAAATTTAGAAGAATGTATAACTAGAATAACCAATACAGAGAAGTGCTTAAAGGAGCCGATGGAGCTGAAAACCAAGGCTCGAGAACTACTTGAAGAATGCAGAAGCCTCAGGAGCCGATGTGATCAACTGGAAGAAAGGGTATCAGCGATGGAAGATGAAATGAATGAAATGAAGTGAGAAGGGAAGTTTAGAGAAAAAAAGAATAAAAAGAAAGGAGAAAAGCCTCCAAGAAATATGGGACTATGTGAAAAGACCAAATCTATGTCTGATTGGTGTACCTGAAAGTGACGGGGAGAATGGAACCAAGTTGGAAAACACTCTGCAGGACATTATCCAGGAGAACTTCCCCAATCTAGCAAGGCAGGCCAACATTCAGATTCAGGAAATACAGAGAATGCCACAAAGATACTCCTCGAGAAGAGCAACTACAAGACACACAATTGTCAGATTCACCAAAGTTGAAATGAAGGAAAAAATGTTAAGGACAGCCAGAGAGAAAGGTCAGGTTACCCTCAAAGGGAAGCCCATCAGACTAACAGCAGATCTCTCAGCAGAAACTCTACAAGCCAGAATAGAGTGGGGGCCAATATTCAACATTCTTAAAGAAAAGAATTTTCAAACCAGAATTTCATATCCAGCCAAACTAAGCTTCATAAGTGAAGGAGAAATAAAATACTTTACAGACAAGCAAATGCTGAGAGATTTTGTCACCACCAGGCGTGCCCTAAAAGAGCTCCTGAAGGAAGCACAAAACATGGAAAGGAACAACCAGTACCAGCTGCTGCAAAATAATGCCAAAATGTAAAGACCATCAAGACTAGGAAGAAACTGCATCAACTAACAAGCAAAATAACCAGCTAACATCATAATGACAGGATCAAATTCACACATAACAATATTAACTTTAAATGTAAATGGACTAAATGCTCCAGTTAAAAGACACAGACTGGCAAATTGGATAAAGAGTCAAGACCCATCAGTGTGCTGTATTCAGGAAACCCATCTCAAGTGCAGAGACACACATAGGCTCAAAATAAAGGGATGGAGGAAGATCTACCAAGCAAATGGAAAACAAAAAAAGGCAGGGGTTGCAATCCTAGTCTCTGATAAAACAGACTTTAAACCAACAAAGATCAAAAGAGACAAAGAAGGCCATTACATAATGGTAAAGGGATCAATTCAACAAGAAGAGCTAACTATCCTAAATATATATGCACCCAATACAGGAGCACCCAGATTCATAAAGCAAGTCCTGAGTGACCTACAAAGAGACTTAGACCCCACACATTAATAATGGGAGACTTTAACACCCCACTGTCAACATTAGACAGATCAACGAGACAGAAAGTCAGCAAAGATACCCAGGAATTGAACTCAGCTCTGCACCAAGCAGACCTAATAGACATCTACAGAACTCTCTACCCCAAATCAACAGAATATACATTTTTTTCAGCACCACACCACACCTATTCCAAAATTGACCACATACTTGGAAGTAAAGCTCTCCTCAGCAAATGTAAAAGAACAGAAATTATAACAAACTATCTCTCATACCACAGTGCAGTCAAACTAGAACTCAGGATTAAGAATCTCACTCAAAACTGCTCAACTACATGGAAACTGAACAACCTGCTCCTGAATGACTACTGGGTACATAACGAAATGAAGGCAGAAATAAAGATGTTCTTTGAAACCAACGAGAACAAAGACACCACATACCAGAATCTCTGGGACGCATTCAAAGCACTGTGTAGAGGGAAATTTACAGCACTACATGCCCACAAGAGAAAGCAGGAAAGATCCAAAATTGACACTCTAACATCACAATTAAAAGAACTAGAAAAGCAAGAGCAAACACATTCAAAAGCTAGCAGAAGGCAAGAAATAACTAAAATCAGAGCAGAACTGAAGGAAATAGAGACACAAAAAACCCTTCAAAAAATTTATGAATCCAGGAGCTGGTTTTTTTAAAGGATCAACAAAATTGATAGACCACTAGCAAGACTAATAAAGAGAAAAAGAGAGAAGAATCAAATAGACGCAATAAAAAATGATAAAAGGGATATCACCACCGATCCCAAAGAAATACAAACTACCATCAGAGAATACTACAAACACCTCTACGCAAATAAACTAGAAAATCTGGAAGAAATGGATAAATTCCTCAACACATACACTCTCCCAAGACTAAACCAGGAAGAAGTTGAATCTCTGAATAGACCAATAACAGGCTCTGAAATTGTGGCAATAATCAATAGCTTACCAACCAAAAAGAGTCCAGGACCAGATGGATTCACAGCCGAATTCTACCAGAGGTACAAGGAGGAACTGGTACTATTCCTTCTGAAACTATTCCAATCAATAGAAAAAGAGGGAATCCTCCCTAACTCATTTTATGAGGCCAGCATCATCCTGATACCAAAGCCGGGCAGAGACACAACCAAAAAAGAGAATTTTAGACCAATATCCTTGATGAACATTGATGCAAAAATCCTCAATAAAATACTGGCAAACTGAATCCAGCAGCACATCAAAAAGCTTATCCACCATGATCAAGTGGGCTTCATCCCTGGGATGAAAGGCTGGTTCAATATATGCAAATCAATAAACGTAATCCAGCATATAAACAGAACCAAAGACAAAAACCACATGATTATCTCAATAGATGCAGAAAAGGCCTTTGACAAAATTCAACAACTCTTCATGCTAAAAACTCTCAATAAATTAGGTATTGATGGGACGTATTTCAAAATAACAAGAGCTATCTATGACAAACCCACAGCCAATATCATACTGAATGAGCAAAAACTGGAAGCATTCCCTTTGAAAACTGGCACAAGACAGGGATGCCCTCTCTCACCACTCCTATTCAACATAGTGTTGGAAGTTCTGGCCAGGGCAATTAGGCAGGAGAAGGAAATAAAGGGTATTCAATTAGGAAAAGAGGAAGTCAAATTGTCCCTGTTTGCAGATGACATGACTGTGTATCTAGAAAACCCCATTGTCTCAGCCCAAAATCTCCTTAAGCTGATAAGCAACTTCAGCAAAGTCTCAGGATACAAAATCAATGTACAAAAATCACAAGCATTCTTATACACCAACAACAGACAAACAGAGAGGCAAATCATGAGTGAATTCCCACTCACAATTGCTTCAAAGAGAATAAAATACCTAGGAATCCAGCTTACAAGGGATGTGAAGGACCTCTTCAAGGAGAACTACAAACCACTGCTCAAGGAAATAAAAGAGGATACAAACAAATGGAAGAACATTCCATGCTCATGGGTAGGAAGAATCAATATCGTGAAAATGGCCATACTGCCCAAGGTAATTTACAGATTCAATGCCATCCCCATCAAGCTACCAATGACTTTCTTCACAGAATTGGAAAAAACTACTTTAAAGTTCATATGGAACCAAAAAAGAGCCCGCATTGCCAAGTCAATCCTAAGCCAAAAGAACAAAGCTGGAGGCATCACGCTACCTGACTTCAAACTATACTACAAGGCTACAGTAACCAAAACAGCATGGTACTGGTACCAAAACGGAGATATAGATCAATGGAACAGAACAGAGCCCTCGGAAATAACGCCACATATCTACAACTATCTGATCTTTGACAAACCTGACAAAACCAAGCAATGGGGAAAGGATTCCCTATTTAATAAATGGTGCTGGGAAAACGGGCTAGCCATATGTAGAAAGCTGAAACTGGATCCCTTCCTTACACCTTATACAAAAATCAATTCAAGATGGATTAAAGACTTAAACATTCGACCTAAAACCATAAAAACCCTAGAAGAAAACCTAGGCATTACCTTCAGGACATAGGCATGGGCAAGGACTTCATGTCTAAAACACCAAAAGCAATGGCAACAAAAGACAAAATTGATAAATGGGATCTAATTAAACTAAAGAGCTTCTGCACAGCAAAAGAAACTACCATCAGAGTGAACAGGCAACCTATAAAATGGGAGAAAATTTTCGCAACCTACTCATCTGAAAAAGGGCTAATATCCAGAATCTACAATGAACTCCAACAAATTTACAAGAAAAAAACAAACAACCCCATCAAAAAGTGGGCGAAGGACATGAACAGACACTTCTCAAAAGAAGACATTTATGCAGCCAAAAAACACATGAAAAAATGCTCATCATCACTGGCCATCAGAGAAATGCAAATCAAAAGCACAATGAGATACCATCTCACACCAGTTAGAATGGCAATCATTAAAAAGTCAGGAAACCACAGGTGCTGGAGAGGATGTGGAGAAATAGGAACACTTTTACACTGTTGGTGGGACTTTAAACTAGTTCAACCATTGTGGAAGTCAGTGTGGCTATTCCTCAGGGATCTAGAACTAGAAATACCATTTGACCCAGGCATCACATTACTGGGTATATACCCAAAGGACTATAAATCATGCTGCTATAAAGACACATGCACACGTATGTTTATTGCGGCATTATTCACAATAGCAAAGACTTGGAACCAACCCAAATGTCCAACAATGATAGACTGGATTAAGAAAATGTGGCACATATACACCATGGAATACTAGGCAGCCATAAAAAATGATGAGTTCATGTCCTTTGTAGGGACATGGATGAAATTGGAAATCATCATTCTCAGTAAACTATCGCAAGAACAAAAAACCAAACACCACATATTCTCACTCATAGGTGGGAATTGAACAATGAGAACACATGGACACAGGAAGGGGAACATCACACTCTGGGGACTGTTGTGGGTTGGGGGAAGCGGGGAGGGATAGCACTGGGAGATATACCTAATGCTAGATGACGAGTTAGTGGGTGCAGTGCACCAGCATGGCACATGTATACATATGTAACTAACCTGCACATTGTGCACATGTACCCTAAAACTTAAAGTATAATAATAATAAATAAAAAATTGAAAAAAAAAGAATAATCCATGTGCTGAGAAAAAAAAATTGTATTCTGTAGCCATTGGATGAAATGTTCTGTAAATATCTATTAGATCCATTTGGTCTGTAGTACAGATTAAATCCAATGTTGCATTGTTGATTTTCCCTGTCTGAAAGATCTTCCTAAGGCTATAAGTGGGGTTTTGCAGTCTCTAGGTATCATTTTATTGGAGTCTGTCTCTCTTTTTCTCTCTAATAGCATTTTTTTATATATCTGAGTGCTCCAGCATAGGATGCACATATATTTATAATTGTTATATCTTTTTGCTGAATTGACCCTTTTGTCATTATATAATGACCTTCTCTGTCTCTTCTGATAGTTTTTGTCTTGAAATCTATTTTGTCTGATCTAAGGATAGCTACTCCTGCTCATTTTTGGTTTCCATTTGCCTGGAGTACTTTTTCCATCACTTTATTTACAGTGTATGTGTGTCTTTATAGTTGAAGTGTGTTTCTTTTAGGCAACATATCATTGGTTCTTGTTTTCTAATCCATTCAACCAGGTCTTTCGATTGGAGAGTTTAGTCTATTTATATTCAATGCTATGATTGATAAATAAGGACTTGCACTTGTTATTTTGTTGTTTTCTGTTTGTTTTGTGGTGCTCTCTTTCTTACTTCCTTCCTTCCTGTCCTCCTTTTAGTATAGATGATTTTCTCTGATAGTACATTTTGATTTCTCACTTTTAATTTTTTGTATATCCTTTGCATGTTTCTTGGATTGAGGTTACCATAAGGCTTGCAAATAACATCTTATAACCTATTATTTTAAACTGATGACAACTTCACCCTGATGGTGTAAACTAACAAGGAAAGAGAAAACTCATACAAATTCTATACTTTAACATCATCTCTGCTTTTTAAATTCTTGTTGTTTCTATTTATATCTTCCTGTACTGCCTATGTCTTGAAAAGTTGTTGTAGTTATTCTTGTTGATTGGTTCATTGTTTAGTCTTTCCACTTAGAATAAGAGCAGTTTAAACACCACAGTTACAGTGTTATAGTATTCTACATTTTTCAGTGTGCTTACTATTACCAGTATGTTTTGTACCTTCAAGTGACTATTTATTGCTCATTAATGTCATTTTCTTTCTGATTAAAGTATTCTCTTTAGCATTTCCTAAAGGACGGGTCTGGTACTGATGGAATTCTTCAGCTTTTATTTGTCTGGAAAAGTATTTATTTCTCCTTTTTGTTTGAAGGATATTTTCACCGGATATACTATTCTAGGGTAAAAGTTTTTTTCCTCAGCCCTTTAAATATGTCTATGCCACTCTCTCCTGGCCTGTAATGTTTTCATTGAAAAGTCTGCTACCAGACATATTGGACCTCGATTGTATGTTATTTTTTTCTTTTCTCTTGCTGCTTTTAGAATCCTTTCTTTATCCATGATCTTTGGAATTTGATTATTAAATGCCTTGAGTTAGTCTTCTTTGGGTTAAATGTGCTTGGTGTTCTATAACTTTCTTGTACTTGGATATTGATATCTTTCTCTAGGTTTAGGAAGTTTGTTATTATCCCTTTGAATAAACTGTCTACCCCTATATCTTTCTCTACCTCCTCAGTAAGGCCAGTAACTCTTACATTTGTCCTTTTGAGGCTTTCTAGATCTTGTAGGTGTGCTTCAATCTTTTTTGTTCTTTTTTTCTCTTGTCTCCTTTGACTGTATTTTCAAATAGTCTGTCTTCAAGCTCACTAATTCTTGATCAGTTCTGCTATTAAGAGACTTTGATGCATTCTTCAGCAAGTCAATTGCATTTTTCAACTCCAGAATCTCTGTTTGCTTCTTTTTAATTGTTTCAAATTTTTGATAAAGTCATCTGGTAGGATTCTGAATTCCTTCTCTGTGTTACCTTGAATTTCTTTGAGTTTCCTCAACACAGCTCTTTTGAATTCTCTCCCAAAAGGTCACATATCTCTGTCTCTGCAGGATTGATCTCTGGTACCTTATTTAGTTTGTTTGGTGAAGTCATGTTTTCCTGGATGGTCTTGATGCTCCTGGATGTTCCTCAGTATCCGGGTACTGAAGAGTTAGGTATTTATTATAGTCTTCACAGACTGGGCCTATTTATATCTGTTATAATAGGATTTGAATGATGAAACCCTAGGGATTCTGGATCCACTAGAGGTTGCTATAAAAAATAATTTTAAGAAAAACCTTGTGGTCTAGTCTCTTAGAAGAAATATCTTTTGTCTCGCTCCATGTTATTAATATTACCTGTTACTGGGTGGTACTCAGCATTTTCTGGATCTATGTTTTTATTTTTTTTGTGTAGCTAATAGGGAGCCATTGATGATGTCTTAATGGCCTAGTGGAGTCTTAATGGCTAGAATGCCTCCTTCGTTTCTCTTCCTTTCTCCTGTTTTCTATATGTTCACTGACTTATACTCAGATGTTTTTCCTAGGAGAGAAATCATGCATTAAAAAGTCAGCATTATTTCTTATGGAGCATCCTGGTAAGAAATTTAATTGTGAGGAGAGTAGGGTGACACTGTTACTTCAGATTGTGTGTAGATTTCAATAATAGAAGTAGATGGACTCATAAATAATTGCCAACATCCTTCACAAGAAGACTCATCAGAGAGCTGCCAGCCTGTCTGCCAACGATACTATTTTCTCAGGGTCTGTCTCATATTGTAAAGGATGAAAATACTGGTGTATTGCCAAGGATTGAGAGTCTGGAAGGGAAAGTGTACTTTGGAGTCAAACAACCCTGAGCTCAACTGCTTACAATCTGTGTGAACTTGGACCTGTCACTTAATCTTCACAGGCCTCAAATTTCCCATCTGTTAGGGATTGTGCTTTGTGGGGTTGTTTTAAACGTTGCGTGAGATACTACATGTAGCCAGATTCTGGCACATGAAAAGTATGTGATAAATTCTAGTTATTATCAAAGTAAGAAGCTAGCCTTTACCTGCAAGTAGAGGTATTCAGAGGATGTAATACAACTGATTAATTCAGTCCAGAGTGCCTCATTAGTTTCTTCCTACTCTAAAACATTCAATATCCACATTTACCACTCAGCCTGAGTATGAGAACTTTCTTAACTGTTTCTCATTTTATTTCTGCCTTCTCTATTTCATAAAAACAAGTTCTTGTTTCTCTGAGCTATATGTTTTCTCCCCTGAATACATCCATACTCAAGCTTTTCATTTCCTCTTCCAAGCCTTCTTGGAGGAGGAAAGAAAGATTAAAATTTATTTCTCAATATCAAGATTTCTTTCACACCTTTACTTGCCATGTTTTCTGTATCCTTTCATTCTTTTTTTCAGATGGTTTCTATGATTCACTTCCTTCAGGTAGTAAAAACTTAGTGCAAAATCTCTTTGGGCATGATCTTTCCAAATAGGTGATATCCTGAACTTCAAACAGGTTAACCCTCTTCACACTCACTCTCCCCAACCCTCAATTTATTAAAATGTTCCTTCTTTGCTTCAATGAACTTAGGATTGCATCTCTGTGCATTTTCCCCACAATTTTCACAGTGAAAATAATTATGCTATCCATACACATCATTACCATTTGTCTAGATGGTAGGCACCTTAAGAGCAGGAATTATGATTGATGATGTATCCTTTCACAAAAATGAAACAGACCATGATATACCAAGAGAGCCTTCTGTAGAAAAACATCTTTGAGAGCTAGGCAGAAAGTGTGCAGGCATTTTAGGTAAGAAAGGCCAGATAATACCCACTGCCTCCATCTTTTTTTTCCTCTTTTTTGAGATGGAGTCTTGCTCTGTCGCCCAGGCTGGAGTGCAATGGCACGATCTCGGCTCACTGCAAGCTCCGCCTCCCAGGTTCACACCATTCTCCTGCCTCAGCCTCCCGAGTAGCTGGGACTACAGGAGCCTGCCACCATGCCCGGCTAAATTTTTTTGTATTTTTAGTAGAGATGGGGTTTCACCATGTTAGCAGGGATGGTCTCAATCTCCTGACCTCGTGATCCACCCGCTTCGGCCTCCCAAAGTGCTGGGATTACAGGCGTGAGCCACCGCACCCGCCACCAACTGCCTACATCTTAAATCCTCATGCCTTTTTGGCTCCCATCACTTTAGAGACAAAATCAACGCTACAGGCAGTGAATTCGTGATGGGTGTAGAAAATAATCCTATGTCATTTTCCTCCTTCCAGGTTTAATTCAGATGTAATTAGGCAAAAATATCTGTCAGTGTTAAAGGTAGGAGAAGAGATTTCTCTACTAAGCAATTGTATGCTCTTGGGAAAGTCCCTTTGTCTTTCAACTCCCTTCTCCTCCTCTAGTATAAGGATGGTAACAATAGTATTACCTATATTACAAGAGTTGTTGTGAGTCTTAAATGACATGTAAATCAGTTATAACAGCGTGTAACAAATATTATGTACTCAAATAATGTTAATGCTGCTGATGATGATGATATTATCCAATACTTACTTTGCCTTCAAACCTTCTTTAGGAAAGAAAAGCCTTTTATACTGAAAATCACCAACTCGTCAATCACTTCAACCAGACTACATTTTTGCTATGCAGAAATAACACATATGAATCTTGGGACTGGATTTTAGAGTGTGCTTGTGTAGGATAAGCTATCTCCCAGTATCCCTTCTGAGGGATTCTGGCCAGGGGGCGCTATTAAATTTGTTGTCTTACAGGATAGCCAAAAAACAAGATAGCTTCGCTAACTCCCAGATACTCCCTGTTGCTAGCTATGGTACATATTACTCTCCAGTCCTGAGACTCTAGTTTAAGCTAAAGGCAGTAGGCAAATTGTCTCAGGCAAGTAAATTCAGGCCTTTTTAACCACTCACCAAATGCTTTTCTGGGAAAAAAAAAAAAAAAAAAACTAGTATAAGGAAAAATATTTTGCCATTTCAGGTAAGGTTAATATTGTAATAATCAAGGTTAACATAGCAGCTTAATGAGGCATGATCCTAGTCCTTGGAAACTTTCCTTATAAATGGAAAGAGTTCTCTTTCTATCATCTTGGTTTTTTATTTACCTCTCTCTCTCTTTCACTCTTTCTCTCTCTCTCTCCTCTACTATTCTTTATTATTTTGTAAACAATATAAGATTTTAATTATATACATAGGCAATAGCTAAAAGTAAAAAATAAAAATCTGTAGCACATCCTCCCTAAGACAAGCACTACTACTATTTTGCTATGTGGCCTCCCTGAAGCTTGCTTTTGCTATGCAGTGGATTGTTTGCATAGTTGCAATCACATTGAGACAGTGTGATGTAACAGGAGGAAAATGGCCCGGGGGGTCAGACAAAGCTGATTTCAAGTCCTGGCTTTGTAGTCATGAGTTGTGTGTTTGGCCTAATTTCTTAATCTCTCTTGGCTTATATTTCTTTATCTGGAAAATGAAAGTAAGTGATACCAGCTGGGTACGGTGGCTCATGTCTGTAAACCCAGCACTTTGGGAGGCCAAGGCAGATGAATCGCTTGAGTCCAGGAGTTGAAGACCAGCCTGGAAAATATGGTGAAACCTAATTTCTACACAAAATACAAAAAAATTAGCCAGGTATGGTGGCACACACCTGTAGTCTCAGCTACTCAGGGGGCTGAGGCGAGAGAATCACGAGTCTGGGAGGTTGAGGCTGCAGTGAGAGCCATGATCATGCCACTGCACTCCAGCCCAGGTGACAGAGTGAGACCTTGTCAAAAAAAAAAAAAAAGTGATACCTATCTCATAGACCTGTAGTCAATTTTATGGGAAATAACATGCATAAAGATGCCCAGCAGAGACCTTCCAATTCCAAAATGGAAGTGTAGAAACAAGCCCACCCCCACCAACAGAAAACTGTAAACAAATATACAACACGAAGGTTATCACCAGAAATATGCCAAAACTTAAATATGAGAATAAGACAGTCTCAGGGGCCACAGAGAAGTGAGGAAACTCTGAGAGATGATAAGAGCATTCTATATCTGCAATACTCTTCCCCTCAATCTGCTCAGCACCAAGTGCATGGAAAATTTCCTCCCAACTCATGATTTCTACATTAGAAAAATTGAGAGTGAGGTGGACAACCAACTTTCCCACCATCTTGGGTTCCTTAGCAGGAATTCTGCCCTGGCCTCAACCCATGGAAAGCATCACAAGTGCCTGAATGGAGAAATATCCCTGAGGATAGCTGAAGACAAAGTGAAGAGGTCAGTCTATCATCCCCAGCCCTGGAAACTGCTCTGTAACTCAGCCTTAAGGAGATATCAAATGAAAGAAGTTCTAGGAGGTATGTTCCACAGGTTTCCTGGCCATGAACCCCTAGCCAGTCTTCCCATGCTGAAAGGATATTCCATTTGGGGCCTCCTGCATTTAGGACAAGCAGCCCTCTGATCATTTACTTCAGCCAAGACAAACCTTGGCTTAAGGCATAATCTAGTGACAAAAAGGAGGCAGCAATCTAGCAGGAAAAAAAGTAATTCAGCAAGTCAATTACCAGGAATCTTTAAGCAAATATATCTAATAAAGAACAAAACAAGCCAGACAGACTAAAATGAATAACTAATCATTCAATGCAAAGGCATAGACTACATCCACAAGACACACCAGCAAATAGGGAACCAGAATATGGGAAGGTTAAACAAAGCAAGAAGCCATTGACTTACCCTAGTGAGTTGGTGATATGTGAGCTCTCTGACCAATAATTAAAAGTAGCATTTAAGGAAACTCAGTGATCTCTAAGATAATGCAGAAAATTTATGAGATAAATTTAATGAGGGAGTTCAAATAATGAGAACAAGCAAACAAACAGAAATAAGAAATACATCTGTTGAACTGAAAAATGTATTAGAGTCTCTTAACATCAGGATGGGTCAAGAAGAGGAAATAATCAGTAAGCTCCATGCCAGGCCATTTGAAAATACACACTTGGAGGAAAGAAAAAAAAAAGAATGACAAAGAACACAGATCTCATACAAGATATAGATAATTACCTCAAAATACCCAATCTAATAATTATTGGCCTTCAAGAGGGAGTCGAGCGAGAGCAAGGGGTAGAAAAGTTAATCAAGAAGTAACAACAGAAAGTTTCCCAAAACTTGAGAAAGAGATAAATATCCAGGTACAGGAAGAGAATGCCAAATAGATTACACCCTAATAAGACCACCCCAAGGCATATAATAATCAATCTCTCAGAGGTCCAGGACAAAAAGAAGATCCTAACAGCAGCAAGGAAAACAGCAAATAACATATGAAGGAGTGCCAATTCTTCTGGCAACAGACTTCTCAATGGAAACCATGCAGACCAGGAGGGAGTCAGATAGCATTTTCAAAGTACATGAGAAGAAAAACAAAAAACAAAAACAAAACAAAAGTGCCATTCAAGAATACTGTATCCAGCAAAATTAACCTCCCAACATGAAGGAAAGAAAAGATCTTTCCCAGACAAGCAAAAGCTGAGAGAACTCACCACCTGTCTTATAAAAAGTGCTAAAGAGAGCCAGATATGGTGGCTCATGCCTGTAGCACTTTAGGAGGCCATGATGGGAGGATTGCTTGAGTCCAGGAGTTCAATACCAGACTGGACAACATAGTGGGACCTTGTCTCTACAAAAAATATTACAAAAATAGCCAGGGCATGGTGATGCACACCTGTGGTCCCAGGTTATCAGGAGGCTGAGGCAGGAGGATCACATAAGCCCAGCAGATTGAGGCTGCAGTGAGCTGTGATTGCACCACTGCACTGCAGCCTGGGCAACAGAGGGAGACTACATCTCTAAAAAGAAAAAAAAGAAATGCAAAGAGAATTCCTCAATCTCAAGTGAAAAAAAACACTACTGTGCAAAATAAAACATTTAAAGGTTAAAAAACCCACTGGTAAAAGTAAGTACACAGACAAATTCAGAATACTTTATTACTGTAATTGTGGCATGCAATTTACACAAAACTCTAGTAGGAAATTCAAAAGACAAATCTATCAAAAACAATAACAGCTACAGCAATTTGTTAAGAGATAGGCAATATAAATATATTTAAACTGAAACAACAAAAAGTCAAATTGTAGGGGCCATGGAATTAAAGTGTAGAGGTTTTAAATTTTTTTTCTGTTTCTATTATTTTCCTTGTGATCTAATATAAGTTGGTGTCTCTTAAAAATAATTTGTTATATCTGTAAGATATTTTATGTAAGTCTTATTGCAACCGCAATGCAAAAACCTGTAATAGATTCTCTAAAAATAAAAAGCAACGAATTAAAACATAGTACCAGAGAAAATCATTTCTCTGTATGTTTTGGGAAATGGAAAACAGGGAAAACAGGAAGAGAGGAGTTACAAGACAACCAGAAAACACGCAACAAACTGGCAGTAGTAGTTTCCAATCAATAATAACACTGAATGTAAATGGAATAAATTCTCTAATTTAAAAATAGAGAGTGGCTGAATGGATAAAGAAATAAGACCAAATTCCAGGCCGGACATGGTGGCTCACGCCTGTAATCCCAGTACTTTGGGAGGCCGAGGAGGGTGGATCACAAGGTCAGGAGATCAAGACCATCCTGGCTAGCATGATGAAACCCCATCTCTACTAAAAAATACAAAAATTAGCCAGGCATGGTGGTGGGCGCCTGTAGTCCCAGCTTCTCAGGAGGCTGAGGTAGGAGAATGGCATCAACCCAGGAGGCAGAGCTTGCAGTGAGCCGAGATCACACCACTGCACTCCAGCCTGGGAGACAGAGCAAAACTCTGTCCAAAAAAAAAAAAGAAAAAAAAGACCAAATTCTATATTGCTGACAAGAAAGCCATTTCACCTATAAAGACATACAAAGACCGAAAGTGAAGGGGTAGGAAAAGATAGTTCATGCAACTGGAAACCAAAAAAGAGTGAGAGTAGTGGTACTTATATCAGATAAAATAGACTACAAATGAAAGACTGTAAGAAGAGGAAAAAAGGTCACTAAATAATGGTAAAGAGGTCAATTAAGCAAGAAGACATAACAATTATAAATATCTATGCACTGAAGACCAGAGCTCTTAAGTACATAAAGCAAACATGAATAGTTATAAAGGGAGAGATTGACTGAAAACAATAATAGTAGAGGGCTTAAACAGCCCACTCTCAGTAATAGACATATCATTCAGACAAAAAATTAACAAAGAGCCATGGAGTTAAACTACACACTAGACCTATTAGGCCTAACTGACATTTACAGAACATATCACACACCTGTTGCAGAATACACTTTTTTTTTTCATTGTAACATGGAACGTCCTCCAGAATAAGCTGTAGCTTAGCCTACAGAACAAGTGTGAAGAAATTCAAAAATGGAAATCATATTAAGTAGGTTTTCTGACAACAATGGAATAAAAATATAAATTAATAACCAGAGGAACTTCAAAACATCAAAAATACATGAAAATTAAACAAAATGCTCCTGTTGACCAGTGGGTCAATGAAGAAATTAATAAGGAAATATTAAAATTTCTGGAAACAAATGAAAATGCAAATACAATATACCAAAGTCAATGAGATACAACATAAAAAATACTAAGATAGAAGTTTATAACAATAAATGTCTACATCAAAAAAGTAGGAAAAAAAAGACTTCAAATAAGCAACCCAACAATGTACCTCAAGGAACTGGAAAAGCAAAAACAAAACAAATGCCAAATTATTAGAAGAAAATAAATAATAAAGATCATAGCTGAAATAAAAGAAACTGAGACTAAAATATACAAAATATCAGTGAAACAAAAAGTTGCTTTTTTGAAAAGATAAATAAAATCAACAAACTTCTAGCTAGGCTAAGAAAAAAACAGAGAAAACCAAATAAATAATACCAGAAACAAAGAGGAGACATAACAACTGAGACCACAGAAATACAAAAAATCATTAGAGACTGTTATGAACAACTATATGCCAACAAATTGGAAAACCTATAGGCAGTGAATAAATTCCTGGACACTATATCCTCCCAAGATTGAACCATGAAGAAAATAAAAGCTTGAACAGATGAATAACAAGCAATGAGATCAAAGCTGTAATAAAAAATATCCGAGCAAAGAAAAGCCCAGAACTGATGGCTTCCCTGCTGAATTCTACCAAACATTTAAAGAAAAAAAGTACCAATTTTATTCAAACTCTTCAAAGAAGTTGAAAAATAGGGAATACTTCCAAAATCATTCTACAAAGCCAGAATTATCCTGGTAGCAAAACCAGAGAAGGACAAAACAAGAAAAGAAAACCTCAAGCCAATTTCACTGATTAACATAGATGCAAAACTCCTCCCCAAAATACTGGCTAACAGAATTCAACAACACACTAAAAACATCATTCACCATGATCATGTGGGATTCCTCTCAGGGATGCAAGGCATATTAGTCTGTTCTCACATTGTTATAAAGAACTACCTGATACTGGGTAATTTATGAAAAAAGAGGTTTAATTGACTCACAGTTCCACAGGCTGTACAGGAAGCATGGCTGAGGAGGACTCAGGAAACTTACAACCAGAAGGTGAAGGGGAAGCAGGCACCTCTTCACATGGTGGAGCAGGAGAGAGAGTGAAGGGGAAGGTGCTACAAACTTTTAAACAACCAGATCTCGTGAGAACTCTGTCATGAGATAGCACTAAGAGGATGGTGCTAAACCATTAGAAACCACTCCCATGGTCCAGTCACCTCCCCCTAGGCCCCATCTCCAACACTTCGGATTACAATTCAATGTGAGATTTGGGTGGAGACCCAGAGCCTAACCATATCACAAGGATAGTTCAACATGTGCAAATCGTTAAGTGTAATACATCACATAACAGAACCAAGAACAAAAACCACATGATTATTTCAATAGATACTGAAAAAGCATTTGACCAAATTTGCCATCTCTTCTACACCATCCTTCAAGCCTTGTTATAGTGTAGACCATACAGCTTAAAGACAGTCCTATGCCATTTATAAAGTCTACCTCAACTAATTCACCAGAATGCAGGCAGAATAGAGCACTAGGTAACAGATTGTAGAGCCACATGTCATGGGTTGAAATCCAGATGTTGCCACTTGCCGGCTTTGTGACTTTGGGCATATTTCCTGACTGTTGTGTATCTCAATCTTCTCATCTTTAAGATGACATAAAAATAGTATCATGCTCAATAAAATTGTTGGATTAAAAGAGTTAATAGTTTTAAGAACTTAGAAAATATGTGTCACATATATTGGTGCTCAGTAAACACTAGGTGTTATTATTTGTCCCTCTTCATCCTGACTTTCCACAGCATCTTTCATACCATCATGTGTGATGGTACACAAATGAGATGGAAAGTACGAGATTACATGTACAATTTTACTTAATTATAAAGTGTTTTATATTTTTCTGTTAAATGTGTGTCATGTCTTCTCAACTAGATTGAAAGCTCCAGGGGTAGGAACCATTATTGGACTTTGAATCTCCCATAACATTTAGTACACTGCTGGGCCCGGGGTGCTTGCTGAATAAATCCTTATGTATTGAAATGGCATGCTAGTCTAATGCAAAGGACAGTCAGAAAGAACCCTTGGTGTCTGTTAAAATAACATGCAGTATCCTCATCATCTCTCATTGCTCTACAGAGCCATATTAAAGCTTCTATCTCTGAAAACTAATGGCAAATCCCCCTGAGCTCTATGCCTTGCTTCATGAGTTTCATGATTTTCTAGGATGCGGGACACAGGAGCAGAGAGAATGTAATTGAGAACCCTATCTTCTACACACAAAACTTGCAGACCTATACTTCAATGGCTCTTAGCTGGATGTAATTGGTGCTGGTTCTCTGCAACATAATCTCAGGAGAGGTCTAAAAATATGATGGAAACACCTCAAGGTTCAGGTATAGGGAATGGAAAAGAATGAGGTTTGTGGTAGGTCAGTAATAGTGGATGACCTCTTGTGGTAAAATAACCTGTAGGTTTTTTGCTAAGCCTGGGTGGAGGTTTGCAAAATTGAGGAGATAGCCAACCCATACAATGTCACCAATCTCAGCAAGCAGAGATTGGGTCATGTAAATTCAGGATCTGAAGGTTGGAAGCCTGGATGTGGATCTTGGCTCTGCCTCTTAATAGTTATATGACTTCTTTTGGAAAGAAGGAGCAAAGGATCAGAAAGCACATACTGAAGTTAAAACACAGAGGGCTTTAACTCAAAAGCCCCTATTGCTTTGGCTTTTGTTATCTGAGATATGTGACAGTATCACCTGCTGCTCTCACTCTAAGCTGCTGGAGAACCAAGACCTTGAGAAAGGCATGTCACAGATACTCAATAAAGTGTCAAAACAAGTGCTTTCTGCTCATAGTTTGTAGCTGTGTATAATGTAGCATTGCACAACTAGGAAGATGACATAGCTACCAGCATAATAGCAAACCCAGCAGTTTTAACCAAAAGTAATTTTGCTCTTTACTCTCATCCATAATCTATACATTCTGTAAAGGCTCGGATCAGGCCTCTCTTCTTCTACAAGGTCATTAGTTTCCACTTTCTCTGGAGTCCTCTGTTTCCCCAACAACCTATTAAATTTGCATCATAATGCATGGCAGTGTGGGTTTTGTGGGGGAAGGAAGGGTGATGCTACACACATGAGATGGGTTATTTACACATACATATACACAGCCACGTGGACTATTTTTGTTAGTTATTTGAATTGATTATCTATATTAGTTCAAGGAACCACACTCATCATTTATTCCTCACTCTTTCACTCTGTACTGTTGAAGATCTGTTCCAATATTTGAGGTAGAAAAAAAGGTGGTTGTTTTAGAATATCATTTTTTTAAAAAAAAGTAATTCATTTGGCTCTAGTGCCAATAAAAACTCTCTGTGGTTTCCTCATTATCTGTTCCCATGGTTTTCAGAGTCACCCATCAAGAGGGTTATTAATACAGAACATGTGAGTACATGTTAAATTTTCCAATTACTGAGAATAACTCAAAGGGCACAGAGAGAAATAGACTGCAAGCCTTCTCTCAGACGGACTCTGCCAAAGTACGGCACTTCTGCCAGCTCCACTGTCCCCTTGGTCTAAAGCTAAGGGAAAAAGAAATTAGAAATTATGGACCCTGTCCATCGGCCTGGACCATGGCCCAAGGAATTCATGGCATATGGCCTGATACTTTTTCTTTCCCTTCCATGTTAAACAGATTTCATGAAAATTCTTTCTGTATGGCAAGAATTTATTTTAAATTCGTGTGGCACTACATTATCACATTTTGGATCTTAAAACCCCATGAGGTGAGTGAGGAAACTATTAACCTTAGTTTATAGACAAGGAGGGTCAAACCAAGAGAGATTAAGCACTTTGCCCACCTTCACATAGCTCATAATGACAGAACTGAGAATCACATTCAGATTTTCAGATTTGAAATTCAATGATCTGTCTACCTCTTTGTCAACAAACCACCTCTGAAAACTTTCCTCTCTTCTGGGGCCTAACCTTGTCAATTACATGCTAATCTTTAATCATCACTCAAATGCTTCCTACTTTAGGCATTCCAATGAAGCTGAGTATAGATCTCTGAACCACATTTTTACCTTGGTTTGGAGCTTGCTTTTTTATTGTTTGGTTTTGTAATACCTGACCCTCAACATCATGTCAGATTTACAGAACTAGCATTTGTATAATACCATTTAATGAGAATGTTATATTTCAGGTCATAGCTCAACAAAAGGCTACCATTCTGGAGAAATCTCTCAATAATCAAGTGAATGAAAAGTCCTAATCTTGGATGTCATTGGCCTCTTTTCACAGTCCCCACAGTGCTTACTCAATGAGCTTATGAATCATGTCCACGGGGACAGAGACAGAGGTTATGCAATGAATCAACCACATGGACACCCCTTCATAAAGGCTGAGTTGACAGCTATTGTCCCTAGAGAATGCCCAAACTGCTATCAGCAGAGGTCCGTGCTAAGCCCCTAGTTGGGCCCCATTCTGCAGAGACCAAATAGCCACCAGGTAGCAGGTTGATTACTGTGAATGCCCTCCATTGTGGAGGGGGAAGCCATCTGTCCTCAATGTAAATATTACTTACTCTGATGAGGATTTGCTTTCCCAGCCTGCAATGTTTCTATCAGCACTACCACCCATAGACTTACTTAATGTCCATTTTATAGTCATTGTATCACAGACCTTATAAACCAGGAACAGATATTCTGGCAGAACAGTTCAACAGCCTATTACAAATTCAGTTAAAGAGTCTCTAGGAGCCAACTTCGGAAAACTGGAGGTGTTATTCTACAGGAAATGTCATATGATATGAATCAGCAGCCAAAAGACAGTGCTGTTTCTGTCATAACCAGTATTCTTGGAACCAACAGGTGGAAGTTGAAGTGGCTTTTATCAATATTACATCTAATAGCTAATTCACAAAAGTGTATGATTCCATGGTTTAGGTTTCAGTACTTGAGGGGGATATGCCTCCTCTAGGATAGACAACAACATCTCTATTATCCAGAAGATGAGACAGCCACCTGTCTATTTTGGACTGCTTATGCCATTAGAACAACAGCCAAAGTGGGAGTTTCAGGGCTGGATGGTATCACATGAGATTGCTGCTGTGGAGTGAAGGTAGAGAAGAGTATGTTTTGGACACAGAGGATCCTTCCAGGCACCTCTTTCTGCTGCCATTTCAGTAGTAAAAGTTAAAAGTGAAGATCTGAACAACCACATGCAGGCAGGACCACTGAAGACTGTGATACATTAGGAATGAAGGTTTAGGTCATACCTAAGGTAAGAACTTTGATCAGCTTAGGTGCTGATTGAGGGCCAAGAAAACATGGACTGAATAGTAGAGGAAAAGTTACAAAAAGAAGACTATAACATCAGCCTGAGTTTTGTTCTTGCTGTGACTTATCCCTTTCTCCTTCTTAGTCTGTTTTGTGTTGCTATAAAGGAATACCTGAGACTGGGTAATTTATAAAGAAAAAAGGTTTATTTGGCTCACAATTCTGATGCCTGGAAAAGTTCAAGATTGGGCATCTGGTGAGAGTCTCGGGCTGCTTCTACTCATGGTAGAAAGTGAAGGGGAGCCAGAGTGTGCAGAGATCACATAGCAAGAAAGGAAGCAAGAGTGGGGCAGAGATGCCAAGCTCTTTTTAACAGCCGGTTCCCACAGAAGCTAATAGAGTAAGAACTCACCTCTAAAAGAGGGCGTTAATCTATTCATGAGGGGTCTGCTCCCATGACCCAAACACCTCCCATTAGGCCCCACCTCCAACATTGGGGATCAAATTTCAACATAAGATTTGGAGGGACAAATATCCAAATCATAGCACCCTCCCATTCTACTATTTTACATATAGTGATTAACTTTATAACATAGTCTCTAGTGTACAGACTATCAAGATGAAATTGTGATGGAACCAGAAGATGAATATATGCCATCCAAAGATCCTGGACTTAGAGCTAGCTATAGTAACTGGTCAGAATTTGAGATGCCACCCTTTTGCATGTTTTCACTTATATAAGGAAAAATTGCATTATGTTATGTGGGGCACTTATTGTTGTGAAGTTTAAGTATGAAAAAAGGATATACGTTGTTACTAGTCAGCCAAAAATGTGAAATCAAGAGGACATTAGACATTCTTTTTGGCCACTGTCTTAGGATTGGTTCTCCAGGAGAGATTCTGTTTTAAAAATTAATTTGTTTAATTGACAAATAAATATTGTATATATTTATCATACACAACATGTTTCAAAATATGTATACATTGTGGAATGGCTAAATCAAGGTAATTAACATATGTATTATCGAACATGCTTTTTTGTGTGCAATGAAAACACTTAAAATCTACTCTCCTAGTAACTTTCAAGAATACAATACATTGCTATTAACTACAGTCACCATGTTGTTCAGTAGATCTCTTGAACTTATTCCTCCTATCTAACTGGAATTTTGTATTCTTTGACCAATATCTTCCCCAGCCCCCAGGAGCAGGGTTACCACTGCCCCTAGCCCCTGGTAACTACCATTCTATTCTCTACTTCTAGGGATTCAACTTTTTAAGGTCCTACATATAAGTGAGATTGTGTGGCATTTTTCTTTCTGTGCCTGGGTTATTTCACTTACATAATGTCTTCCAGGTTCATCCATGTTGTCACAAATGACAGGAGTTTCATCTTTTTAAAGGTGGAATAGTATCCCATTGTGTATAGGCACCATATTTTCTTTATCCATTTATTCATTAATGGACACTTACATATATTCCATATCTTAGCTATTGTGAATAATGTTGCAATGAATGTAGAAGTGCCAATAACTCTTCAAGATAATGATTTTATTTCCCGTGGATGCATACCCACCCCACAGTGGGACTGCTGAGTCATAAGGTAGTTCTATTTTTAATTTTAAAAGGAACCTCCACACTGTTTTCTACAATGGCCATACTAATTAACATTCCCACCAACAGTGTGCACAGGTTTTTCACTACACCCTCTCTAAAACTTCTTTGTTTTTTTAATAATAGCTGCTGCTCTAACAAGTGTGAGGTGATATCTCCTTGTGGTTCTTCGTTTGCATTTCTCTAATGATTAGTGATTCTGAGTAATTTTTATATACCTATTGGCCATTTTTATGTCTTCTTTTGAGAAATGTCTATTCAGATCCTTTGCTGATTTTTTAAATTGGATTTTTGTTTTCTTACTGTCAAGTTACTTGAGTTCCTTCTACATTTCAAATATTAACCTGTTATCAGATGTATAGTTCACAAATATTTTCTTCTATTCTGAATGTTGTCTTTGCTCTGCTGATTGGTTCCTTGGCTGTGCATGGGCTTTTCAGTTTGCTGTCATTCCATTTGTTTATTTTTCCTTTTGTTGCCTGTGCTTTGGGGTTCATATGCAAACAAAATCATTGCCATGCCCAATGTCGTGGAGTTTTCTGCCATGTTTTCTCCTAGTAGTTTTACAGTTTCAAGTCTTACATTTAAGTCTTTAATGTATTTTGAGTTGATTTTTGTGTATTGTGTGAGATTAGGGTCTGATTTCATTCTGTATTTGAATATCTAGTTTTCCCAACATCATTTATTGAAGAGATTCTCTTTTCCCAGTTGTGTGCTCTTGACACCTTTATCAAAATCAATTGACCATAAATGTATGGATTTATTTCTGGACTCTCCCTTCTGTTCCATTGGTCTCTGTGACTGTGTTTATGCAAATACCATGTTGTTTTAGTTACAATAGCTTTGTAGTATATTTTGATGTCAGAGAGTGTGATGCTTCCAGCTGTGGTCTTTTATGGTTCCATATGAATTTCAGAATTTCTTTTTCTACTTTCATGAAAAATGTCATTGGAATTTTGATAGGTATTGCATTGAATCTGTACATCATTTGGAGCAGTATGGACATTTTAACAATATTAATTTTCCGATCCACATAATGAGATATCTTTCCACTTATTTGTGTCTTCCTTAATTTCTTTCATCAAGGTTTTATAGTTTTCAGTGTATAGATCTTTACCAAGAGATATTCTGATATAAGTGATGTATTAGGAGAATACTCTCAGGAGAATCCTGTGAGAGAATTAGGGAAGCAGGATAAAAAAGGAGACGGGGCTAAACAAGGATGTAATTTCAGATGAAATCTAGTCTTAATCTTATCCCACAGTTAACTTCATCTTATCCCACGTAAAAAATGCTCTGAAAAGTCTGTCCTATTTTGAGATAAAGGGTTGGGAATTTTGTACTGCTAACCTAATTAGTTCATCAGCTATGGACAGGCTTAGGAGAAAGACATAACTCTCGAGCACCTTCAGGTGATATGGCTCAACTTACCCAAGGATAAACCTACCAAGAAGGTAACAAGTGTGAGCCTTTAGCAACAGCACCCACCACAGCTGAAGGATGAGCACATCAGACCAGTAACTGGGATCCCTGGGGATCTGGGTGGAGAACTTACAATGTCATCTAGAACTGCTCAGCTATTTTGAACACCCTTCCCCTGTTTTGGGAATTCCTCACCTTAAAAATCCCAGACTCCTCAAAGAAACCAGATAATTGCTTTTCAAGCCTCCCTGCTGCTAGAGTTGAGGCTTGTGATCCATTCTCCTTCAACCCAATGTGCTTACTCAGAGCTTGAATTAGAAGTTAGTGATGCAGAGAAACAGAAACTGTATGGAGTCCATTCTGGCCATGGCAGTGTCAGTCCCATTTAGTTGGCAGAAGCAGCAGTCACAATGGTTCTAGTGGTAGCATCTGGTGCTCACAATAAGTGATATTGGCAGTTGTCAATGCCCTGTAGCCAAAGACTGCCAGGAACACATCTGGGTAGTTGAACAAGTTGGGTTTATCCCTCATTGCTGCAAGGGCAAATGCACAGTTCAGGGAGAATGATAGAGGGGACTTATTACAAGATTGAGGTTTGTGTTAGATGATTTGGGTGAGGGTTTAAGGAAGTGGGGCTTTGCTCTAGATTGGATGCTGTCAGGAAGTGGGGATAATTCTATGATTTGGTTTCACAATAAATGTCACCTAGGAGTGGCAAAGACTAGCCCAAGGCTAAGCTTGCAGTTTGTAAAGAAGCAGCAATTACTCATATTGGCTAGGGGGGAGGTGGTCATTTTTGTGGTTTTGGGCAATGTTCATGTTTTTGCATTGATCTGTCACCCTCACAGAGTACCTCTATCTGAGGTGATAGTCTGAGAAACTATCCATGTTCAACAAGAGAACACCAAGACCTAGCTATGAGTTCTAGACCAGTTCCTTGCAACACGAAGGCCTCAGTGATAGCACCAGGAAAGCTTCCTCAATACAGGGTCTGCCTTTCTCTTCTTTACCATTCAAGCTGTGGTCTTCATGTCCAGCAGTATTGCCAGTGGTATCTCCATTTCTACATTGTGATTTTGATTGTTATTTTTGACTGCACTGCCTCCAACTTTGGTACTCTGGCTTTCTCAGAGATTCTGTGAGCTTCTCAAGAGCCTCAAATAATTTATTTTTAATAATTTACCTTATCCTTAAACTGTCAGTTTGTGTTTTGGTTCTTCACAACTAAGATCCCTGACTGATAAGCATTACCAACACACCTATACCCCAGCCCCCCTGGACAACATAGATTGTCACTTCCCCTTAAGACACAAAAAAAAAAAAACAAAATTGGCTTTAAGGAGTTTCTGGACCCTTTGTAAGAGTGAATTGTCTTTGTGACTCCTTAGATGGGCACTGACATATTCTAGGGTCAGGATGAACTAGTATCTGCAGGAAATTTGACAGAGTCAGATCCTATGGGATCCTGGATCCCTATGGGAAAGAATCAGATTTACTTTGTGTATAATTTATCAGCTACAGCCACCTCACTACCAGCAAGGTAAGAACAGATATTAGGCACAGATAAAAAAAAAAATGACTAGGAAATGAGACCTTCCATAATTAAGTGCAAGACTGCAGACTTAGAAAGCAAAAGAAGGAGATTTTATTGTGGGCTGTTTTCATGAAGAAGGCTTTAGGGAGTGAATGCAACAGAAGGTAGACCTTGAGCGACAAGGAGGCTTTGACTTAGAAGAAATAAGGGAGAAGGATGTCCAAATGGGGATGTTTAGCTCAGCCTTCTAGTTTCGACCTTAGACAATGACCTTAGGCCACTATTGACCCTAGGCTCATTGCTTGTGGTGACTTCAATGCGTCAATAAGCCATGGTCCTGATCCATATTACTGACTCTAAATCACTGGATTCTACACCAGATCTTTCCTCACTAGAATGTAAGCTTCATAAAAGCTAGAACCTTTTCTTTTTCATACTAACATCACTTGCTCCTTAAATAGTGGTCGACACATAGTAGACCCACGTTAAATATTTGTTGAATAAATGGATGAATGATAAGTAGATGAATAAATGAATGAATTATTTCCAACACTCCTTATGGAAAGAGGCCACAATAACCCTGCTTAGCTTCACCAATGTATTTCTTGTATTGTTTTGTGTCTTCCAAAAGCATTCTACTGCTCCCCAATCCTTCAGGAATAGGTTTATTTCTTAGGCTTTCAGCCTGCTGCTGACAAGTTCTTCTGTAGCTTCAGTTGAACTCATATTGTGCAACCAACCCAAGAGACACTGAACATAGCTCTGTATTCTAGGCCAATTACACTCAGCTGAACTGAGGTATTAATTAGGACAAAGACAGGAAGTGTTCTATTCCAAGATCTGCAGCTAAAGTAGAAGATTTTCTTTGAGTCAGGGACTGTTTCTAGGGAGCAGAGAAGACATGCATATAAGTCAGCTTATTAGCATTAGGCTCAAACTTAGGGGTAATTTTACCTCCATTTTTTGAGTTGGGAAACAAGCCTCCTGTTTGTTCTATTTACAAGAACTGTCAGATATAATTCATTTGAACAGTAATAAAGGGCCATCCATTTTCCCTGGAACTGCCTAGATTTGCCTAGAAAGTTTTACTTAAATACTACATCTCACCCTTATCCCAACACACACACACACACACGCACACGCACATGCACACACACACACACACACACTTGCCAAATCCTTTGCTCAGCAAGGTAGCTATTGTTGAGTTGTTTTGAGAACAAGAAGGACCTTATTAGTAAGTGCCTTTTGAGTTTTCAGTGATACTTGGGGAAATCAGAGAGCTGAGTTAGGTTGTGGGACATGAGGAAGAAATTAGAGAATATAAAAAAATGATTGAGGGCTGGAGGCAGGTGTCCAATAGGGAGTGTGAGGGATAAGGAAAACAAAATGCCCATTTCACATTTGATTTAGGGCCATTACTGGACCCTGCTCTCCAAGAATTTGATTGAAGGTGACTATAAATAGATAAAACTGCCTAGCTAAATGGGGATTTTGATAAACAAAAAAAAACTTAAAGTGGGAATAATAATAGTATCTACTTTATTGGGTTGTGAGGATTAAAGGGGTTAACATATGTAAAAACACTTAAACAGTACCTGGCACACAGTAAGTGCTATATAAATCATAGTTGTTAACATCATTTTTATTATTATTATATCATCATCAGTTGAGAGTATTTTAAATTATTTACACCATTTCCCTCTATTCTCCGGAGGTATGGGCCTTGGGAAACACCTTCCTGTACTGATATGCTTCCTTGCATAGACGGACAAGTACTGGGAACTTGGGCTATCCAGAATTGGAACAGAGCCAAATACAGAACTATGATCCTAGGGAAGGACTCTAGGCCCAAGAAGTACCATGGAACAGGGGCCACAAACATGTCTCTAGTATTAAAAATGGGTTTTATAATGTGTATACTTTAGCTACCTGTCTCAATGTACATGTTTACATGTTAAAAAATCCCTACCCCAGACATGAAAATTAAAATTCTGGGGGTAGAACACAATAATCTGCATTTTTAATAAGCTGCCAAAGTTGGGTTGTCAGATTTAAGAAATAAAAATACAAAATGTCCAATTGAATGTTATGTTCAGATGAACAGCAAATCATATTTTATTACAAATATGTTCCAAATGTTGCAAGTGGCATACTTATACTATTATTTGTTATTTAATCTGAAAAATTATTTGTTGTTTATCTGAAATTCAAATTTAACTGGGTGTCCCGTATTTGATCTGGCAGAATACACCTGATTCTGATGTACTCAGAAATTAGAGAAGCACTCCTTTAGAAGAACTTCAGTTCTGGACAAATTCCCTTTCCAATAATTTGTGTTAAGGAAACTGGAGAAGTAAGCAGTTATTGAAACAGGGGTGTGAAGAGGGGGCTTTGGTCAAAGAGAAATACCAAAGTCCCTAGTTCACTAGAACTAAACGGAATCAGGGCTGTACAATGAGGTGGAGGTAAGTAACTTCAAGTCACCCAACCAGGACCCTTTAAATTAGAACCAAGGTCTGGATTTTTCCTAGAGCAGTAGTTCTCAATGGGTAGAAAAGAACCTTTCTCCAAAAAAAAACATATTACAGGGCCTCATCCAATGAATCATAAAATTAGGGTTCTGGAGTAAGTGATTTTTTTCATTTTGAGGACCACTATCACAGTTACAGCTTGCAAATAGAACAGAAACTACATCTGGTCCTTATAAAATGTGCCTATTGTCTCTATCCTGACTCAGCAGATAGTAGATTTCTTCAGTACTACCTAGCCAGCCATTTTCTACCCCTATCATACCACAGGTTCTTCTCTCCATTTGTAGAATGACAAGCAACTTAATAACCCTTGCAGCTCTGTGTCCATTCCCTTTCATCCTGGTGATTGCCAAGGACTTAGCAGGCACTAGTGTGCAGTAATGCTTACAAGTTTGAGGAGACTGGATAGACAGGTGGATCCATTTTCCTAACAGATATATTCTGAAAGTTCTCCTACTGCCCTTATGTCAAGTGTGTGCTGTATTTACAGGTCTTGTTTTCTGTCAGGCCTCTGAGCCCAAGCCAAGCCATCGCATCCCCTGTGACTTGCACATATATGCCCAGATGGCCTGAAGTAACTGAAGAATCACAAAAGAAGTGAATATGCCCTGCCCCACCTTAACTGATGACATTCCACCACAAAAAGAAGTGTAAATGGCCAGTCCTTGCCTTAAGTGATGACATTACCTTGTGAAAGTCCTTTTCCTGGCTCATCCTGGCTCAAAAAGCTCCCCCACTAAGCATCTTGAGACCCCCACTCCTGCCCGCCAGAGAACAAACCCCCTTTGACTGTAATTTTCCTTTACCTACCCAAATCCTATAAAACGGCCCCACCCTTATCTCCCTTCACTGACTCTCTTTTCAGACTCAGCCCGCCTGCACCCAGGTGAAATAAACAGCCATGTTGCTCACACAAAGCCTGTTTGGTGGTCTCTTCACATGGATGCGCATGAAATTTGGTGCTGAAACCCAGGAATTTGGTGCCGTGACTCGGATCAGGGGACCTCCCTTGGGAGATCAATCCCCTGTACTCCTGTTCTTTGCTCTGTGAGAAAGATCCACCTATGACCTCAGGTCCTCAGACCGACAAGCCCAAGGAACATCTCACCAATTTTAAATCAAGTAAGCAGCCTCTTCTTACTCTCTTCTCCAACCTCTCTCACTGTCCCTCAACCACTTTCTCCTTTCCACTCTTCAATCTCTCCCTTCTCTTAATTTCAATTCCTTTCATTTTTCTGGGAGAGACAAAGCAGACACGTTTTATCCGTGGACCCAAAACTCCGGCGCCGGTCACGGACTGGGAAGGCAGCCTTCCCTTGGTGTTTAATCATTGCAGAGATGCCTCTCTGATTATACACCCACATTTCAAGGGTGTCAGACCACGCAGGGACGCCTGCCTTGGTCCTTCACCCTTAGCGGCAAGTCCCGCTTTTCTGGGGAAGGGGCAAGTACCTCAACCTCTGCTATCCTTGTCTCTACCCCTTCTCTGCTTTTCTGGGAGAGGGGAAAGTACCCCTCAACCCCTTCTCCTTCACTCTTAGCGGCAAGTCCCGCTTTTCTGGGGAAGGGCCAAGTACCCCAACCCCTTCTCTCCTTGTCTCTACCCCTTCTCTGCTTTTCTGGGGGAGAGGCAAGTACCCCTCAACCCCTTCTCCTTCACTCTTAGCAGCAAGTCCCGCTTTTCTAGAGGAGGGGCAAGTACCCCAACCTCATATCTCTGTGCCCCAATCCCTTATTTCCATGCCCCAACCTCTTATCTCTGTGCCCCAATCCCTTATTTCTGTGCCCCAACCCCTTATTTCCATGTCCCGACCCCTTATTTCCATGCCCCAACCCCTTATTTCTGCACCCCATCCCTTTTTTCCATGCCCCAACCTCTTATCTCTGTGCCCCAACCCCTTTTCCCACTTTTCTGGAAGGTAAGAACCCCCGAACCCCTTACCTCCATTTCTCTACTCTCTCTTTTCTCTAGGCTTGCTTCCTTCACTATGGGCAACTTTCCACCCTCCATTCCTCCTTCTACTCCCTTGGCCTGTGTTCTCAAAAACTTAAAACCTCTTCAACTCACACCTGACCTAAAACCTAAATGCCTTATTTTCTTCTGCAATGCTGCTTGACACCAATACAAACTCGACAGTAGTTCCAAATAGCCAGAAAATGGCACTTTGAATTTTTCCATCCTGCAAGATTCTAAATAATTCTTGTCATAAAATAGGCAAATGGTCTGAGGTGCCTGACGTCCAGGCATTCTTTTACACATCAGTCCCTTCCTAGTCTCTGTGCCCAGTGCAACTCATCCCAAATCTTCTTTCTTTCCCTCCCGCCTATTCCCTCTGTACCAACCCCAAGCGTTGCTGAGTCTTTCTAATCTTCCTTTTCTACAGACCCATCTGACCTCTCCCTTCCTCCCCAGGCTGCTCCTCGCCAGGCCGAGCTAGGTCCCAATTCTTCCTCAGCCTCTGCTCCTCCACCCTATAATCTTTTTATCACCTCCCCTCCTCACACCTGGTCCGGCTTACAGTTTCCTTCGGTGACTAGCCCTCCCCCTCCTGCCCAGCAATTTACTCTTAAAAAGGTGGCTGGAGCTAAAGGCATAGTCAAGGTTAATGCTCCTTTTTCTTTATCCCAAATCAGATAGCGTTTAGTCTCTTTTTCATCAAATGTAAAAACCCAGCCCAGTTCATGACTTCTTTGGCAGCAACCCTGAGACACTTTACAGCCCTAGACCCTAAAAGGTCAAAAGGCCATCTTATTCTCAAAGTACATTTTATTACCCAATCTGCTCCCGACATTAAATAAAACTCCAAAAATTAATTTCTGGCCCTCAAACCCCACAACAGGATTTAATTAACCTCACCTTCAAGGTGTACAATAATAGAAAAAAGTTGCAATTCCTTGCCTCCACTGTGAGACAAATCCCAGCCACATCTCCAGCACATAAGAACTTCCAAATGCCTGAACCACAGTGGCCAGACGTTCCTCCAGAACCTCCTCCCACAGGAGCTTGCTACACGTGCCAGAAATCTGGCCACAGGGCCAAGGAATGCCCGCAGCCCGGGATTCCTCCTAAGCTGCATCCCATCTGTGTGGGACCCCACTGAAAATCAGACTGTTCAACTCACCTGGCAGCCACTCCCAGAGCCCCTGGAACTCTGGCCCAAGGCTCTCTGACTCCTTCCCAGATCTTCTCGGCTTAGCGGCTGAAGACTGACGCTGCCCGATCGCCTCGGAAGCCCCCTAGACCATCACGGACGCCGAGCTTCCGGTAACTCTCCCAGTGGAAGGTAAGCCCATCCCCTTCTTAATCAATACGGAGGCTACCCACTCCACATTACCTTCTTTTCAAGGGCCTGTTTCCCTTGTCTCCATAACTGTTGTGGGTATTGATGGCCAGGCTTCTAAACCTCTTAAAACTCCCCAACTCTGGTGCCAACTTAGACAATACTCTTTTAAGCACTCCTTTTTACTTATCTCCACCTGCCCAGTTCCCTTATTAGGCTGACACTGTAACTAAATTATCTGCTTCCCTGACTATTCCTGGACTACAGCTAAATCTCATTGCCGCCCTTCTTCCCAATCCAAAGCCTCCTTTGCGTCCTCCTCTTGTATCCCCCCCACCTTAACCCACAAGTATAAGATACCTCTACTCTCTCCTTGGCGACCGATCATGCACCCCTTACCATCTCATTAAAACCTAATCACCCTTACCCCACTCAATGTCAATATCCCATCCCGCAGCACGCTTTAAAAAGATTAAAGCCTATTATCACTCGCCTGCTACAGCATGGCCTTTTAAAGCCTATAAACTCTCCTTACAATTCCCCCATTTTACCTGTCCTAAAACCAGACAAGCCTTACAAGTTAGTTCAGGATCTGTGCCTTATCAACCAAATTGTTTTGCCTATCCACCCCATGGTGCCAAACCCATATACTCTCCTATCCTCAATACCTGCCTCTACAACCCATTATTCTGTTCTAGATCTCAAACGTGCTTTCTTTACTATTCCTTTGCACCCTTCATCCCAGCCTCTCTTCGCTTTCACTTGGACTGACCCTGACACCCATCAAGCTCAGCAAATTACCTAGGCTGTACTGCCGCAAAGCTTCACAGACAGCCCCCATTACTTCAATCAAGCCCAAATTTCTTCCTCATCTGTTACCTATCTCGGTATAATTCTCATAAAAACACACGTGCTCTCCCTGCCAATCGTGTCCGACTGATCTCTCAAACCCCAGCACCTTCTACGAAACAACAACTGCTTTCCTTCCTAGGCATGGTTAGCGCGGTTGGAATTCTTACACAAAAGCCAGGACCACACCCTGTAGCCTTTCTGTCCAAACAACTTGACCTTACTGTTTTAGCCTAGCCCTCATGTCTGTGTGCAGTGGCTGCCACTGCTTTAATACTTTTAGAGGCCCTCAAAATCACAAACTATGCTCAACTCACTCTCTACAGTTCTCATAACTTCCAAAATCTATTTTCTTCCTCATACCTGATGCATATACTTTCTGCTTCCCGGCTCCTTCAGCTACACTCACTGTTGAGTCTCCCACAATTACCGTTGTTCCTGGCCCAGACTTCAATCCGGCCTCCCACATTATTCCTGATACCACACCTGACCCCCATGACTGTATCTCTCTGATCCAACTGACATTCGCCCCATTTCCCCAAATTTCCTTCTTTCCTGTTCCTCACCCTGATCACGCTTGATTTATTGATGGCGGTTCCACCAGGCCTAATCGCCACACACCAGCAAAGGCAGGTTATGCTATAGTACAAGCCACTAGCCCGCCTCTTAGAACCTCTCATTTCCTTTCCACGTGGAAATCTATCCTCAAGGAAATAACTTCTCAGTGTTCCATCTGCTATTCTACTACTCCTCAGGGATTATTCAGGCTCCCTCCCTTCCCTACACATCAAGCTCGAGGATTTGCCCCACCCAGGACTGGCAAATTAGCTTTACTCAACATGCCCTAGTCAGGAAACTAAAATACCTCTTAGTCTAGGTAGATACTTTCACTGGATAGGTAGAGGCCTTTCCTACAGGGTCTGAGAAGGCCACCATAGTCATTTCTTCCGTTCTGTCAGACATAATTCCTCAGTTTAGCCTTCCAACCTCAATACCGTCTGATAACAGCTGAGCCTTTATTAGTCAAATCAGCCAAGCAGTTTTTCAGGCTGTTAGTATTCAGTGAAACCTTTATATCCCTTACAGTCCTCCGTCTTCAAGAAAAGTAGAATGGACTAAAGGTCTTTTAAAAACACACCTCACCAAGCTCAGCCACCAAAAAGGACTGGACAATACTTTTACCACTTTCCCTTCTCAGAATTCAGGCCTGTCCTCAGAATGCTACAGGGTACAGCCCATTTAAGCTCCTGTATAGACGCTCCTTTTTATTAGGCCCCAGTCTCATTCCAGACACCAGACCAACTTAGACTGTGCCCCAAAAAACTTGTCATCCCTACTATCTTCTGTCTAGTCATACTCCTATTCACAGTTCTCAACTAGTCATACATGCCCTGCTCTTGTTTACACTGCTGGTTTACAGTGTTTTTCCAAGCCATCACAGCTGATATCTCCTAGTGCTATCCCCAAACTGCCACTCTTAACTCTTGAAGTAAATAAATAATCTTTGCTGGCAGGACTATGCTGAATCTCCTTAGGCACTCTCTAATCAGATATCCTGAGTCGTCCCAATTCTTAGGCTTTTTATACCTGTTTTTCTCCTTCTGTTATTCCATTTAGTTTCTCAATTCATCCAAAACTGTATCCAGTCCATCACCAATCATTCTATACGACAAACGTTTCTTCTAACATCCCCACAATATCACCCCTTACCACAAGACCTCCCTTCAGCTTAATCCCTCCCACTCTAGGTTCCCACGCCGCCCCTAATCCCGCTTGAAGCAGCCCTGAGAAACATCGCCCATTCTCTCTCTCCATACCACCCCCCAAAAATTTTCACTGCCCCAACACTTCAACACTATTTTGTTTTATTTTTCTTATTAATATAAGAAGGCAGGAATGTCAGGCCTCTGAGCCCAAGCCAAGCCATGGCATCCCCTGTGACTTGCACATATATGCCCAGATGGCCTGAAGTAACTGAAGAATCACAAAAGAAGTGAATATGCCCTGCCCCACCTTAACTGATGACATTCCACCACAAAAGAAGTGTAAATGGCCAGTCCTTGCCTTAAGTGATGGCATTACCTTGTGAAAGTCCTTTTCCTGGCTCATCCTGGCTCAAAAAACACCCCCCACTGAGCACCTTGCGACCCCCACTCCTGCCCGCCAGAGAACAAACCCCCTTTGACTGTAATTTTCCTTTACCTACCCAAATCCTATAAAATGGCCCCACCCTTATCTCCCTTCACTGACTCTCTTTTCAGACTCAGCCCGCCTGCACCCAGGTGAAATAAACAGCCATGTTGCTCACACAAAGCCTGTTTGGTGGTCTCTTCACACGGACGCGCATGAAATTTTCCACAGCCACATACCATCTATTGCATAGTGCTGTTATCGGCCCAGCACAGCCAGGTTCTGCCTTGTGCCTACTGTCTTATCACATTTTCATTATGACCCAAATGTCAGCACAAAGTAGCCTACTTTCTGTTGGATTAAGAAACAACTCATTCTGATGAGACTTCAATTCTCAGTCCTGCAAAAATGAAAGGAACGCCTTTTCATGGGAAGGCCTGACAGAGCACTGGTGCCAATGGCTTGGTTTAATTGCTGTTTTCCACTGATTGTGCTGCCCACTAGTCCCAGGTGTGGCATCAAAGGGATGCTTCCTGGCCAAAAAGGAAATCTTTGTCTTAACTGCTCTCCCACCCCCACCCTCATCCCAGCACGACCAAAGCCCTCTGGAGAATGGACCACAGTCTACAGCATCAGCTCATTAGGAAGTGACATTCCAGGCATTCCAGAGATTAATTGGCCACTGTTAAGACAGAATAGAGGCCATGCAACAGCCAAACAGGGAAACCACACACATACAGACAGATGCAAACATACAGACTTTTTATTTCAAAACATGGCAGAATTGAGGCCTACAAAATGCATAGGTAAAAACCAAATACCATACACCCAAATGAGGAATATTCCTCATAGTGATGTGCATTAGCATTCCCCATGGTACTGGCCAATTTTTCTTGTGTGGGAGTTATTCTTGTCATCTTATTTGTCCCCATACGCTTCTGAACTGTGAAATCCTTGAGGGTAAGGTCCATGTCTTTTTCATCTCTATTATTTACTCACAGCACTTAGCATAAGGCCTGGCTTAGAGTGGGCACTTTATAAATGTTTATAAAATAGAAGCGGTGGCAGAATACAGAAAGATGGGCAACAGAAGAGGAAGTGTGGGGCAACTTTCAAATCTGGACCAAGTGTCAGCAGTTGAATCCAAAGTAGAAAAAAAGCAATTATAGAACAGAAGAAATGGTGACAAAAGAGCATAAAAATGGGCAGACTGCAACTTTGACCAATGTTTGAGCTGGAAGTGGCCTTTCCCTATCAGCAAGAATTACAGGAAAATTCAAACTGCTTATGTCACCTGCCATCGAGAAGATTTTTTAAAATGAGAAGAGATTAATGAAGACAAATAAAATGAAAAGGAAATTATCATCTCAACCTTTTCTCAGTTCCACATTTACATTTGTGCTATTCTCCCCTCCTTATTCCCCCTGCCTACGAAATCTTATCCATTCTTTAAGGCATAGCTCCACAGGTCTCCAGAATGTTGTTGAAATTAATGTTTTGTTTCTGGTCTCAATCCAAATAAGCTGTGCTTTGGGGGAACAACAGACTCTCATGTCTTTGATGGAAGTCAACGTGTCTTCTGTTTCTCTTCTTGATACTCCAAGCACCTAGAATAGTGTTGGACCTACTATAGGGACTTAATAAATATTTGTTGTTTGCCTGATTTATGGTGAATAGAAAACTAACTCTGCAGACTGCTGGAGATAATCCCTCTCCTGTGGAAACAGTTTTAATTTGGCTTCAATAAATAAAAAACTAGGCTCTTCTCACACAGAATAGCCCTATTATCCTTTGGGGATTGTTTTTCATTGCCTAGTGGAACAGCAAGTCTGTTATGATTAAGGAATAGAAGGCGTATGTACCTCTGGTGTGGGAAGTTGGAACGAGTGACATAAAACTCTTCAGTGAGATTACTGATGGTTTGTGTTTTCTCTTTAATCAAGAAAAAGGGACTAGAAGCTATGGAGGAAATTTTAGATCCCATATCCCTTGATTGTTAAACAACAGTAACAGGATTCTGGCTTACTTCAAAGAATGGTCAGAGGACACACAGGGATGACATACTAAAAGATGGCAAGAAAATTAAAGGGAGTAGGACATGCTCGAGCACAACTGATCAAAAGTAGGGTTAAAGAATCCTGCCAGGGAAGTAGAGCCCAGATGATCAAATCTGTGGAGCGAAGAGGAGCCCAAATTCCAGAATTTTCCACATGCCTAATACAGGACAGTGTGGTATGTAGCCTTCTAAGATTCCCCACCCCTTGCAATGATCTCTGTCTTCTAGGATTTGCATTCTTGTGTAATTCCCTTCTGTTGTTAAATCTACTCCCTTAGTTTGTAGACTGGATCTAGTAACTTGCTTCTAACTAATAGAACATAACAAAAATGAAGGAATATTACTTTTGAGATTCAGTTATAAATGATTTTGACTTCCATTGTCTTTGTACACTTTCTCTTGCTCTCTTCTGCTTGCTCACATTGATGAAGCTATCTTCCATGTTACAAACTGCTCTACAGAGAGGCTCACATAGCAAGGAACACAGAGCATCTTCTGGCTCTGGCCCACAGCCAGTGAAGAACAAAGGCCTTTAGTCCAACCGCCCCCAAGATCTGAATCCTGCCAACGACCCCTGAGTAAGCTTGAAAGCACTCTCCCACTAGAACATGGAGGTACCTGTGGCCCTGGCCATCACCTCGTTTGCAGACTTTTGAGAGACTATGGGTCAGAGAACCAAACTAAGCCACCTTCAGATTCCTGACCCACAGATACTGTGCAATGATAAATGTGTGATGTTGTAAGCTGCTAACATTTAGGGTATTTTGCTACACACGATGGATCTATTAGTCTGTTGTCACGCTGCTAATAAAGATATACCTGAGACTGGGTAATTTATAAATAAAAGAGGTTTAATTGACTCACAGTTCCACATGGCTGAAGAGGCCTCACAATCATGGCAGAAGGCAAGGAGGAGCAAAGTTACGTCTTACATGGCAGCAGGCAAGAGAGCATGTGAAGAGGAGCTGCCCTTTATAAAACCATCAGGTCTCGTGAGACTTATTCACTATCATGAGAATAGCGTTGGAAAAACCCACCCCTATGATTCAATTACCTCTCACTGGGTCCTTCCTGTGACACGTGGGAATTATGGGAGCTATAATTCAAGATGAGATTTGGGTGGGGGCACAGCCAAACCACATCAATGGATAACTGATAAAACAGAAAAAGCAGCCTCTGTGCTCATGCAAGGGTGACAGTGATGTGGGCCTTTAACATTTTGAGGATACAAGTGACAGCAAATATGAGATTACAGTGCTGATCATTATAAGGCAGCAGGGAAGGGGACTATTTTAGAAACAAGATCCTATAAAAGCCTTTTGCCCTTTACCTATTGTTTACCATGGACGCATAATGGAAACAGAATCAAGGACATAGAGAAGGATGCTTCAACTAAGATCCAATTCTTTTGAGTAACAAACTCAAAGGAATTCACAGCCTGAGTCAGTATCATGGTCTAGTCAGCCCAGACATCTATATTTACCAGTTACCTGGAGGGACAGAAATTTTCCCTGTGACCTCTTTCCCAAGTGTTCACTTGAATCACAGGGACTTGGATGGGAAGGGGAAATAGAAGGTCCCTATTAGGTCTGTAGCCTCCTAGATGTGCTGTGTGAATCATAGAGGAAGTCAATAAGGAGGCAAATGAAGAATATTAACTTGAGCAGGATGGTGAGAGGAAGGCAGAGTGCCTGCAACAGTCGCTGAACCTGTTCACTGTTTACTGGGATAGAAGTTGGGGGGTGATGTGGGGCAAGATGAAAGTCAGAGCTGAGACAACATGCAAGTGCTTCCAGTACCTATGTTCCAGCTACCTTAAATCATGGTTTTTTTTGATCTGTTGAAATGGGGTGGTCGGGGATGGGGTGAAAGAGATTTGCAAAATTTGGGCCCAAAATGATGTTGCCTTATTTTTTATTTCTAGTCCTTCTAGAGCAATGACAACACAGTGCTTTATGCAAATCATCACAGACCCTGCTACAATGCCAGTTCTCTACTGGTCCTAGGTCTCACCTTAGTAGCCCTGCCTCACTGTCATTTGTGCCCTTTCACAATAATAGGAAATAATTATCCGATATATTTCATTGTTTGAATTTCACAAGAAGCCTATGGAGTGGATAAGAAAGGCATTGTGGTTCCTATTTTATGGATCAGCAAGTTGATACCCATGAAGTTAATCAACTGGTATAAAGGCACACAGCTAGTTAGTGGCAGAGCTGGTGCAGAAGGCAGGTATTTGGATTTCTAATGCAACACCCTTTTGAAAAATTATTGCATGTTGCTTAGGAAATTCCTTGAGAAGAAAGTGTTACAGAAATATCACTGCTCATTACTGTATAATTGTACTGGCCTTTTCAATAAATAAAATATTTGTTTTTCCTTTCTGACCTAGGGAATGACAGAAATGGTTTCATGTCTACAGTACAAATAAGCCCCGAATGCAAGTTTCATGTTGCATTGGATGATTTCCAGAGGTTCCTAATGTCATTTAGTCTTTGAAAGCATTTTCCAAGTAGCAATCCACAATATATCAAAAGGTATTCCTCTAAGGGAAGATACTATGTTTATGTGATGAGAACCTGATGAGTTTAACAGAGATAAACAGGTTTCCTCACGTCAGGGCTTCTCAGTGCCTTATTAAGGATAATATGCAAAGTAACAAGATCAGATTTAAAACATGCAGCTCTACCAAATTTATTGCACACTGGAATTCATTTTCTCAGAGCATCTTGAAAGACTGGAATATATCAGAATATAGTTTGGGAAATGTTGGTCTATGAACTATATAAATCGTGCTTTGTAAGTTTATTATATTAATACACATGTCCTGGAAACCATGAAGAAAAATGATTGCACCAAACACACAAAGTCTTCTAGGCTGTGGCTTGCTGGGACGCATGTAAGGAACTGTACATTGGAACTGTTTCAAAACTTGTTTTATTTCCAATAACAAGGAAAAGCTCTTCTCTCCTAATGACGGGTGAAATGAAGCGGAGATTGGAAAAGTGAGCCAAACACTTAAACTCTCCACTGAGCTGGCACCTGTCTACCCCAGCATGTTTTCTGAGCCCTCTGTGCAGGCCCTAAACAATAACAGGCTATGCTCCATTATTCAGCCAAATATCCCAGGAAGCTTCAGACCATAGCTAAGTTTCTGGGCTTGGCATGTTTTGAAAGACATAATCCTGGGGAAAAAAGGAAAGACCAGTGTTAGGCCAATGAATATAACCCAGAATATAATCCTGGATTTACAGTTGATTTTTTTCAGGTTGAGTAGATGAGCATAGGAATAAACTGTCTTGGTAGACTCCTGAAGGGTCTCTGTGTGATTTTTCCGGGACTTTTGGTTAATCTGAGATTGGAAACAAACATAATTGCACAGTGTTTTCCAACACAGCTAGATTTATTCCTGCTCTTTCTCCCATCTTTTTGGAAAAGATGGTATAATTCCTAAGAGCAGTTGCTCCAATTGCTTTCCTTAATTTGGGAGTGAAGCTCTGGCTTAAAAGTCCAATTTCCCAGAATATTAGACCTCAAGAAGACCTTGGAAAGCATCTAGACTTCTTCTGGCTCAATTTAATTCTAGCAGGAATTGTTTTTAAAACTCAAGGGTAAGACTATTGCCTTATAAGAAACTGACTTGGACATTGGACCCCTACCCCCCAACTCCTCCCCAACAAACAAACACTAATTTCTTTTTCTGAATTGTGTTCTGAATCTAGCAGACAACTACTCCAAATGTGAAAATGAGTGGTTTAAACTAGAATGGTGGTATGCAAATGCCTGCCTATACTCCGAAAGCAGTAATTAAATGGCGGCATGAAAATCACTGGAGGCATTATTTTAAAATGCACATTCTTGGTTCCTTCTGCCAGATGTATTGAACCAGAATCTCTAGAAGAGGAGCTTAAGAATGTGATTTTTAACAAGTTCTTCAAGTGATTTCAATGCATAGCCAGGGTTGAGAAACCAATAGATTAGATGATCTACAAGATCCCTGCTAGACCTAACATTTATAGGTTCCTTCATTTTTTAAAAAAAGAGAGAGATGTAGATCCACCACCTATCATGTGCCGGGAAGTTTCCTAGATTTGCAGACTTTCTCAACCAATGTTTCTCAACTGAACCACAGAGCACAGAAAATGATCTGTGTAACTATCATTTTAATTCTCCTAAGGATAGTTCATAATGAATAACGTTATACATGCATAGGAAAAAAAATGAATGTGTTGTATACAACAGTTGCCTTACTACATTAGGATTTAGTTCTCTTAGGTTTGATAAAGGCTATTAGTAGAGAAACAATTTGTGAAGAACAAAGTCTCTGAAATATAATGTGTCTATACTCTAGATGGTTGAGCTATAAGATGGTGCCTCCATTTGCCTGGCCACCTGAGTGACTGTGTGAAACAAGCCCCCTTTTTTCTCCCCAGCCTATATCAGTAATATATAATGATCAATAAACAAATCACTGTTGAGATTTATGGGTTAATTTTTTACCACTGCACAACTTAGTCTATCTTGAGGAAAGCAGTCACACTAAAAAATTTGGACTTTGTTCAAACATAAAGCTATTGAAGGATTTTGGGCAGGATAAGTCACATAATCAGCTATACATTTTTCAAAGGTGAGTCTGACTGAAGGGTTGCAAATGGATTTAAAGAGAGCAAGGGTCAATGTAGGGAGATCAACTTGTTAATGAAATAATGATTGAATTAATGTGTTCAGCCCAAAATTAATTATTTTAAAACTCCTCTATGACAGGCATGGTCCTAAGTGTTGGAGATACGAAGATAAACAATATAATTATAGGTGGTGTTAAATACTATAAAGAGAAAAAACAGGGTGCTATGAAAGAGAAAAAGGAAGGGCTTCCTATTTTATATAAAAGTATCTGTGATCGAAACATAACGCAGACCACATATGTAATTTTTTAAAAATCATCCTGCTTGCTATAGGCAAAATGAAAAGGCTGTAGCAGCACAAGAAAGAGCTCATCAAGTTTAGTGACCCAGGCCCCCAGACCAAGAAAAGAAGGTAGGTCAAGGAACAGACACACCCTGACCTATTCATTTTGGAGAATTGAGTGAAAGTCTTGAGTTAGCTAGTAGACAATTTTCCTGAAAGCCCTGTGCAAATATATTCAGAGAAAATGGGAGCAGCTGATAAAATTATCAGGCTTGGGTGTACATAATTTTCAAAACTCATGTAATTGAACACTAAGTGGTTGTGCATTTTATTGTGTATAAGTTATACCTTAATACATTAAAACAACTGCATTCAGACAATTTGTCTTAACTTATATACTTTCTGATGAAGAATAAAATGTGAACACAACCATGTTTTTATGTTCTACTAAAAGTCCAATGAAAAAAATTGACTTAGGTAAATTCCAAGTTTGCTAAAGCAATATCAGTTATTCAGAGAGAGGATGGTAATGCATGAAGTGATTCTATCATTTCTGATTCTTTACATGGCAACTAAAACCTGTGTAACCCAGCTTTTCAATTATTAAAATATTTTTATCCAGACATCAGATGGCTGCTAGGCTGTCAATCCTTCCATAAAGAATGGGCAAGATCCACCACTGGTATTAAGAAGGAGATAATAGGATTTGTGAATGTGCCGCAAACATGAAGGAATACACACACACACACACAAAGACACACACACACACACACGAGGCCTACATCCTAACCCATATGAGAAGAAAGCTCCAGTTTTGTTCCTGACCACAAGGCCATTTGATCTGCACGCCAAGTGATTGTGGTTGAAACTCTCACCTACCCCTATCCCTCTTCCATCATAATCATGGTTTCCTTTTTCCATCATCTCCTTTTGGGATCTCTTTTCCAGGGGAAAATAACTTCTATGTCAGGAAAAAACCTTCATCAGAAAACTGCTCACGACTTGTCCCTGGTTTCAAAGAATCCCCTCACAATATTCACACATACTGGGAATCAGTGTCAACCATGGCTGACCTATGAGGTAGGGCTGAAGAAACGGGGTGTAGACTATGCCATGAACCACACGCACATAGCATGCTGAATTCCAAGTTAAACAGAGAGTCACTGGCTCCCATTAAATACTATTCTATCTCTTCTTTCAAAGGGAAAGAGCATTTTGTAAAGTGGATTGCATGTGGAGTTTTTTTCTTTTTCTCAATATTTATATTTTGGTTTTTTCTCAGGTTTTTTTCTCATGCTACATAATCTTCTTGGGTTATCTCATCCACTCCTCCAACTGTAACTATTATAAGTAAGCTAAAGATTCCTGAATCTTTATCCCTGATTTTAATGTTTTTCCTGAGCATCAGACTCAAATATCTGAAAGTTGGTTGGCATCTGTGCCGAGGTATCCTACAAAAACATCAAACTCAACAACTCTGTAATCAAAGCCTTAATATCTGATCTTAACTCTTGTTCCAAATCTGTTTTTATTTTTGAATTCTTTATCTCTGTATTAATAGTAGCATCCAGTCACCAAAGCTATAAATGTAAGATTTATTCAACTTCAATTTTTATTTTTTTCCTTTCACCATCCCCTACCACCACTCCAATTATTTGCTACATTTTTCCAAATCTATGTTCTAAATACCTTGTTTATCCTTTCCTTGTACTTATCCTCAGTATTGCTGCCTCAGTTTAGGACATTAATATTTTTCATCTGTTGCAATAATCTCCAGGGTTACTCCTTAATCCATCATCCACAATATTGCATCAATGATACATCTAAATATTTATTTGTTCACTCATTTTCCTCTTTCATTATACTGTGAGCTCTTCAAGGGAAGCAACAGTATCTTATATAATTTTATATCACTAATACCTTGCATAGTGTTTGGCACAGAATAGGCAAGCTGAATGATAAACGGATAACAGGAAAAAAGGAAGAGGAGTAGTCCTCTATCCAGCTACATTTCCAAAAGGTGCTAGAGGTACAATGGTGAATAAAACAGAACTCGACTCCTTTCTTTAGTCACAGGGATGAATCATCACCACACTTTGTCAGTTAATTTTTCTGAAGACTCTTATCTTTGTGGCTTTTCCCCTCATTCCTATTGTCATTGTACCTTGAACTTTTGATACATCACATTGCAATGATGTGTTTACGTGACCGTCTCTCCCAAGTGCATATACAAGTCCTGCAATGTCTTATTTATCTCTTTTATCCTAGCACCTAGGCCAGTACTTGGCATACAGTAGATGATCAATGAATGTAGAGTTAATGAATCAAGTAAAGCAGCTCAGCTGCCATACTCCTGTGGCTAGATAAGGCCGTGGTCATTTCTTTTGCTGTCACCATTCCTACCCCCACAGATACACCAGAAATCTTGGGAGAGCTCTTATTTCCAGAGTTTTGGGTACAGCCATATCCACCTCACTTCAGGTGGCAGAATCCCTTAGAGGTGAATTTGATATAGAGACCCATGATGCTGGCAATCCTTTTGAAATATTACAGTGTATTCCCCACATCTAGCTGAATGAGTGCATGGTAAATGTGGGCATATGGTGAATAGTAGCTTCAGACTCACCTGTTGAGAGTCTGCTTTATCAAGCATTCACCACAAACAGGAATGTTCCAAATAGAATCAAATGATGCGTCACTTTTTTTTGGATTTTTATATTATACTTTAAGTTCTAGCGAACATGTGCACAATGTGCAGGTTTGTTACATAGGTATACATGTGCCATGTTGGTGTCCTGCACCCATCAACCCGTCATTTACATCAGGAATTTCTCCCAATACTATCCCTCCCCCAGCCCCCAACCCCCAAACAGGCCCCAGTGTGTGATGTTCCCCAACCTGTGTCCATGTGTTCTCATTGTTCAACTCCCACTGATGAGTGAGAACATGCGGTGTTTGGTTTTCTGTCCTTGTGATAGTTTGCTGAGAATGATGGTTTCCAGCTTCATCCATGTCCCTGCATAGGACATAAATTCATCCTTTTTATGGCTGCATAGTATTCCATGGTGTATATGTGCCACATTTTCTTAATCCAGTCTATCATTGATGGACATTTGGGTTGGTTCCAAGTCTTTGTTATTGTGAATAGTGCCACAATAAACATACATGTGCATGTGTCTTTATGGAAGCATGATTTATAATCCTTTGGGTATATACCCAGTAATGGGATCTCTGGGTCAAATGGTATTTCTAATTCTAGATCCTTGAGGAATCGCCACACTGTCTTCCACAATGGCTGAACTAATTCACACTCCCACCAACAGTGTAAAAGCGTTCCTATTTCTCTGCAGCCTCTCCAGTATCTGTTGTTTCCTAACTTTTTAATGATTGCCATTCTAACTGGTGTGAGATGGTATCTCATTGTCGTTTGGATTTGCACTTCTCTGATGACCAGTAATGATGAGCATTTCTTCATGTGTCTGTTGGCTGCATAAATGTCTTCTTTTGAGAAGTGTCTGTTCATATCCTTTGCCTACTTTTTGATGGAGTTGTTTGATTTTTTCTTGTAAATTTGTTGAAGTTCTTTGTAGATTCTGGATATTAGCCCTTTGTCAGAAGGGTAGATTGCAAAAATTTTCTCCCATTCTGTAGGTTGCCTGTTCACTCTGATGATAGTTTCTTTTGCTGTGCAGAAGCCCTTTAGTTTAATTAGATCGCATTTGTCTATTTTGGCTTTCGTTGCCATTGCTTTTGTTGTTTTAGTCATTAAGTCTTTGCCCATGTCTATGTCCTGAATGGTGATGCCTAGGTTTTCTTCTAGGGTTTTTATGGTTTTAGGTCTAACATTTAAGTCATTAATCCTTCTTGAGTTAATTTTTGTATAACGTGTAAGGAAGGGATCCAGTTTCAGCTTTCTACATATGGCTAGCCAGTTTTCCCAGCACCATTTCTTAAATAGGGAATCCTTTTGCCATTTCTTGTTTTTGTCAGGCTTGCCAAAGATCAGATGGTTGTAGATGTGTGGTGTTATTTCTGAGGCCTCTGTTCAGTTCCACTGGTCTATATATCTGTTTTGGTACCAGTACCATGATGTTTTGGTTACTGTAGCCTTGTAGCATAGTTTGAAATCAGGTACTGTGATGCCTCTAGCTTTGTTCTTTTTGCTTAGGATTGTCTTGGCTATGTGAGCTCTTTTTTGGTTCCATATGAACTTTAAAGTAGTTTTTTTTCAGCTCTGTGAAGAAAGTCATTGGTAGCTCGATGGGGATGACATTGAATCTAAAATTACCTTGGGCACTATGGCCATTTTCACGATATTGATTCTTCCTATCCATGAGCATGGAATGTTCTTCAATTTGTTTGTGCCCTTTTTTATTTCACTGAGCAGCGGTTTGTAGTTCTCCTTGAAGAGGTCCTTCACATCCCTTGTAAGTTGGATTCCTAGGTATTTTATTCCCTTTGTAGCAATTATTAATGGGAGTTTACTCATGATTTGGCTCTCTGTTTGACTGTTACTGGTGTATAGGAATGCTTTTGATTTTTGCACATTGATTTTGTATCCTGAGACTTTGCTGAAGTTGCTCATCAGCTTAAGGAGATTTTGGGCTGAGACAACAGGGCTTTCTAAATATACAATCATGTCATCTGCAAACAGGGACAATTTGACTTCCTCTTTTCTTAATTGAATACCCTTTATTTATTTCACTTGCCTGATTGCCCTGGCCAGAACTTCCAACACTATGTTGAATAGTAGTGGTGAGAGAGAACATCCTTGCCTTGTGCCGATTTTCAAAGAGAATGCTTTCAGGTTTTGCCCATTCAGTATGATATTGGCTGTGGGTTTGTCATAAACAGCTCTTATTATTTTGAGATATGTTCCATCAATACCTAGTTTATGGAGAGTTTTCAATAAATTCTCAAGAGTTTTGTCCAAGACCTTTTCTGCATCTATTGAGATAATCATGTGGTTTTTGTCTTTGGTTGTGTTTATGTGATGGATTACGTTTATTTATTTGCGTATGTTGAACCAGCCTTGCATCCCAGGGATGAAGCCAACTTCATCGTGGTGGCTAAGTTTTTGATGTGCTGCTGGATTCAGTTTGCCATTATTTTATTGAGGATTTTTGCATTGATGTTCATGAGGGATATTGGTGTAAAATTCACTTTTTTTATTGTGTCTCTGCCAGGCTTTGGCATCACGATGATGCTGGCGTCATAAAATGAGTTAGGGGGGATGCCCTCTTCTATTAATTGGAATAGTTTCAGAAGGAATAGTAACAGCTCTTCTTTGTACCTCTGGTAGAATTCGACTGTGAATCCATCTGCTCCTGGTCTTGTTTTGGTTGGTAGACTATTAATTATTGCCTCAATTTCAGGACCTATTATTGGTCTATTCAGAGACTGAACTTCTTCCTTGTTTAGTCTTGGGAGGGTGTATGCGTCCAGGAATTTGTCCATTTCTTCTAGATTTTCTAGTTTATTTGCATAGAGGTGTTTATAGTATTCTCTGATGGTAGTTTTTATTTCTGTGGGATTGGTGGTGATATCCCCTTGATCATTCTTTATTGCGTCTATTTGATTCTTCTCTCTTTTCTTCTTTATTAGTCTTGCTCTTTCCTCTTGCTCCTCTAGTTCAATTAATTTTTATGTTAGGGGTTGATTTTAGATCTTTCTTGCTTTCTCTTGTGGGGATTTAGTGCTATAAATTTCTTTCTACACACTGCTTTAAATGTGTCCCAGAGATCCGGGTATGTTGTGTCTTTGTCCTCATTGGTTTCAAAGAACATCTTTATTTCTGCCTTCATTTCCTTATTTATCCAGTAGTCATTCAGGAATAGTTTGTTTAGTTTCCATGTAGTTGTGCAGTTTTGAGTGAGTTTCTTAATCCTGAGTTCTAATTTGATTGCACTGTGGTCTGAGAGACAGTTTGTTGTGATTTCTGTTCTTTTACATTTGCTGAGGAGTGTTTTACTTCCAATTATGTGGTCAATTTTAGAAAAAGTGCGAAGTCGTGCTGAGAAGAATGTATATTCTGTTGATTTGGGTTGGAGAGTTCTGTAGATGTCTATTAGGTCTGCTTGGTGCAGAGCTGAGTTCAAGTCCTGGATATCCTTGTTAACCTTCTGTCTCATTGATCTGTCTAATATTGACAGTTGGGTGTTAAATTCTCCCAGTATTATTGTGTGGGAGTCTAAGTCTCTTTGTAGGTCTCTAAGGACTTGCTTTATGAATCTGGGTGCTCCTGTATTGGGTGCATATATATTTAGGACAGTTAGCTCTTCTTGTTGAATTGATCTCTTTAACATTATGTAATGGCCTTCTTTGTCTCTTTTGATCTTTGTTGGTTTAAAGTCTGTTTTATCAGAGACTAGAATTGCAATCCTTGCTTTTTTTTTTTTTTTTTTTTTTTTGTTTTTTTTGTTTTTTGCTTTCCATTTGCTTGGTAGATCTTCCTCCATCCCCTTATTTTGAGCCTACGTGTGTCTCTGCACATGAGATGAGTCTCCTGAATATAGCACACTGATGGTTCTTGACTCTTTATCCAATTTGCCAGTCTGTGTCTTTTAATTGGGGCATTTAGCCCATTTACATTTAAGGTTAATATTGTTATATGTGAATTTAATCCTGTCATTATGATGTTAGCTGTTTATTTTGCCTGTTAATTGATGCAGTTTCTTCATAGTGTCAATGGTCTTTACAGTTTGACATGTTTTTGCAGTTTTTGGTACCACTTGTTCCTTTCCATGTTTAGTGCTTCCTTCAGGAGCTCTTGTAAGGCAGGCCTGATGGTGACAAAGTCTCTCAGCATTTGCTTGTCTGTAAAGGATTTTATTTCTCCGTCACTTATGAAGCTTAGTTTGGCTGGATATGAAATTCTGGGTTGAATATTCTTTTCTTTAAGAATGTTGAATACTGGCCCCCAGTCTCTTCTGGCTTGTAGAGTGTCTGCCAAGGGATCCACTGTTAGTCTGATGGGCTTCCCTTTGTGGGTAACCCGACCTTTGTCTCTGGCTGCCCTTAACATTTTTTCCTTCATTTCAACCTTGGTGAATCTGAAAATTATGTGTCTTGGGGTTGCTCTTCTCGAAGAGTATCTTTGTGGTGTTCTCTGTATTTCCTGAATTTGAATGTTGGCCTGCCTTGTTAGGTTGGGGAAGTTCTCCTAGATAATATCCTGAAAAGCGTTTTCTAACTTGGTTCCATTCTCCCCGTCACTTTCAGGTACACCAATCAAATGTAGATTTGGTCTTTTCACTTTGTCCCATATTTCTTGGGGCTTTTTTCATTTCTTTTCACTCTTTTTTATCTAATCTTGTCTTCTCACTTTATTTCATTCATTTGATCTTCCATCACTGATATCCTTTCTTCCACTTGATCGAATCAGCTACTGAAGCTTGTATATGCATCATGAAGTCCTCATGCTGTGGTTTTCAGCTCCATGAGGTCACTTGAGGTCTTCTCTACACTTTTTATTCTAGTTAGCCATTCGTCTAATATTTTTTCAAGGTTTATACCTTCTTTGCAATGGGTTAGAACACGCTCCTTTAGCTCGGAGAATTTTGTTATTACCGACCTTCTGAAGCTTACTTCTGTCAACTCGTCAAACTCATTCTCCATGCAGTTTTGTTCCCTTGCTGGCGAGGAGCTGTGATACTTTGGAGGAGAAGAGGGGCTCTGGTTTTTGGAATTTTCAGCTTTTCTGCTCTGGTTTCTCCCCATCTTAGTGGTTTTATCTACCTTTGGTCTTTGATGTTGGTGATCTACAGATGGGGCTTTGGTGTGGATGTCCTTTTTTTTTTTTTTTTTTTATTTTTTATTTTTTTGGATGTCCTTTTTTGTTGATGTTGATGGTATTCCTTTGTTTGTTAGTTTTCCTTCTAACAGTCAGGCCCCTCAGCTGCAGGTCTGTTGGAGTTTGCTGGAGGTCCACTCCAGACTCTGTTTGCCTGGATTTCACCAGCAGAGGCTGCAGAACAGCAAATATTGCAGAACAGCAAATATTGCTGCCTGATCATTCCTCTGGAAACTTCATCCCAGAGAGGCACCCGCCTGTATGAGGTGTCTGTCAGCCCCTGCTGGGAGGTGTCTCCCAGTCAGGCTACACGGGGGTCAGGGACCCACTTGAGGAGGCAGTCTGTCCCTTCTCAGAGCTTGAACACCGTGCTGGGAGAACCACTGCTATCTTCAGAGCTGTCAGACAGGGACGTTTAAGTCTGCAGAAGTTGTCTGCTGCCTTTTTTTCATCTATGCCCTCCCTACAGAGGTGCAGTCTAGAGAGGCAGTAGACCTTGCTGAGCTGCGGTGGGCTCTGCCCAGTTTGAGCTTCCCAGCTGCTTTGTTTGCCTACTCAAGCCTCAGCAATGGTGGACACTCCTCCCCCTGCCAGGCTGTAGCCTCACAGGTCGATCTCAGACTGCTGTGCTAGCAGTGAGCAAGGCTCTATGGGCGTGGGACCCCCCGAGCCAGGCACGGGAGGGAATCCCCTGGTCTGCCAGTTGCTAATACTGTGGGCAAAGTGCAGTATTTGGGCGAGAATGTACTGTCCCTCCAGGTACAGTCTGTCATGGCTTCCCTTGGCTAGGAAAGGAAAATCCCCTGACCCCTTGTGTTTCCCAGATGAGGTGATGCCCCACTCTGCTTCAGTTCTCCCTCCGTGGGCTGCATGCACTGTCCAACCAGTCCCAGTGAGATGAACCAGGTACCTCAGTTGGAAATGCAGAAATCACCTATCTTCTGCATCAATCTTGCTGGGAGCTGCAGACTGGAGCTGTTCCTATTAGGCCATCTTGGAAATGACCCTGATGTGTCACTTTTTACTTAACTTCATTAACCACTTTAAATCACCACTTTTTTCTCTCAATATGTAAAGTTTTCCTCTGCTGATTGAAATCCCCTCTCCCTTTCCAGAAGAAGACCCCACAATAGACACTCAATGAGCATTCGATTTTCTTATTAGAAGGAAACTCCACTCCTACCTCATCATTTGCTTTATAGTCTCTTCTCGGGGAAATGCAGGTAACAGAAGGGGCAAGAATGGAGCCTCTTCTTCCACAAACCCCCTCTTACCTCCTTTCTTTCTCCGTTTCCCCCTCACCTACGAACCTGTAAACCACAAATACCACATTTTTGAATTCCTATTTTGGGAGCGCAGCTAACAGACTGCAATTCAATGAAGGCCTTTGTAAGTTGGAGGGACTCCTGAATTTTAAAACAAGAGCTTCTTTTTAGAACTACCTAGGTATAAATGACAACATGGAGAAATGTGGCAGCATCTAATTTCCAGGTGAAGGGAAAATTTAGTGTTTTCCAATAAACAGGGCTTAGAAAATAGCCCCAGCCAGAGATACAAAACAGAATGAAAGCTGAAACTGTATAGAAATTAGTGTAAGATACGACTATGCCTGAGAAACTATGGAATATAATTTTCTAATTCCACACAGGTATCAACCAAGATCCATGATAGCTAACTGTCTTGCCTGTTTCCCTGTGTCCTAATCATAGCTGAACTTCCCTGTGTAGGGAGAAATTATGCCTTTCTAAATAATCTGTGCAGTCTTACCTGCACTTAGTGTACTTTTCTGAGGGACTGCCACTGAGGGACTCCTGCCACCCTGGCTACTCAACCTCGTGGGAAATTATTCAAACCTGTTTTCCCAAGGCCACCCAACCCTACTCATGAGTTTTATTTTCTGCCTTAAATGCATTTCTTAGTATTTTTAGAAGATTACTACATTCTTTCTTGTGTGATTAAGTCAATGGCCACTTCATATCAAAAGGCCAATGATACTTTGTCTTTATCAAAGACTTTATGTTTAAAGATCTTAACACCAGCCCAAGAACAAAACAAAATCCACAAGAGATAGAATGTCCTTACAAGGGAGACTTTTGGAAAACCCAAGAGAATTGAGGCCATGATAGAAAAGTAGAGTGGAAAGTAGATTTCTTCCAGACAATAGGCAGGATTAATTACTGGAAGCTTTTCTTATTTGTTCAAGGATATTATGATAAGAAATACACAGTCTTATTTTGAATGCACCCCCTACACACACACAGATAAGGGCTGCAAGTTGTAAAAATAAATAAGACATCATTTCTCTCTTAAGAAGTTTAAAGACAAGTAGAAATTACATGGTCACTAAGGCTCTACATTATCTGGCCTGCCTCTCTCAACTCATTCTAGACTACCCTTCTCACTATGAACTAGACACTCCCATGTTCTTTCTGTTCACTGAATACACTAAGCTTCTTCCTTCCTTGGTGCCTTTGCATTTTCTTTTTCTTTTACCTGGAATACCCTTACTTTCAAATCTTTCCCTAAATGGCCCCCCTTTATTATCACTAGCTCAGACAAATCTTCCCTAAGCATTCTACATAAAGTAGTTCTTCTCCATTATTTTTTTCAACATCCTGTTTGTTTTCTTCAAATACTTATTATAACTTAACAGTCATTTTATTTGTTTACTCTATTTGTATGTTTGTCTTCCCCACTATGATGCAAATACTATAAGGATGGGCACTGAGTCTTGTTCACCATTGAATCTGCAACAGTTAACACTATGCTTGGCACATAATAGTTGCTTAAAAATACGCGTTGGATGAATGAATGGGATTATAAGGCAAGTATACAAATAACCACTATACAATGCAGTATGGAAAAAATTCAATGAGACAGTGTTGTGGACATTCGCCTCCCCAGAATCTGTTTCCCCCTTCTTTTGGCAATGATCCTTGTCTTCCCCTTCCCAACTTCAGTTCACACCTAGCCTTAGGGGGTGGAACATGTGATCCGGGCCTAACTGAAGCAGTATATTACATTCCTTAGCCACAGTTGTTGATTCAATGGTTGGTACAATCAGAGGAAATTGAGACTTAAGACTTTACTCTTTTTCCCCCTTTGGCAGAGGGGATGAGACTAGAGCTAAAGCAGCTATCTTGTAATCTTATACATACACACACACTGGCTCAGAAAAGAAGCATTATGGAAGCTCATAACTTTGTAAGCCATGAGCTGTGGGTTACAATGGTACTTGAACTGGACCTTGAAAACAGGTAGCATTATTTTTTATACCCTATGATTTTCTCTTTTTAATTTCAAGTTAGAAACAACCTTAGAGACCTAGAAAGGTGAGTCTCAGAGAAATGAATTAGCTTTCTTATAGTCACATGGAAAGTTAATGGCAGTGCCATTAACAATATAATTGTTATTGACAATACATTGACAATACAACTAGTATCCAGATGTATTGTCATCTGGCCTTGTATTCTTTCCACTCATTGAGGTAAAATTTTAAATATGCAGTTTGGCAATGTAGGTAGAGGGATAGAAACATCATGCAAAATTTGGCATAAAAATATGCTCAGAAGATAATAACCTGTCCATGTGGCTAAAGGAAAGGGTGCCAATAGGAGAGTAGCAAAAGATCAAGCAGGGAACATCAGCTAGTGTTAGATTTTAGAAGGCAAAAGGAAGCCATTTACAGTCTTTGAATAGAAGAGCATTATAATTTAGGTACCATGGACGATGAGAAGAATGAAGGCAAAAACACTGGCTAGGTGGTTGTTATACTAGCCTGAGTGTACCATAACATGCGGCAAACCAAGGTAGTTTGGGTTTTTATAAATTGTCATCAGAGATACTTGAACAACTATCTAAAAGCAATTCCAATTATGTTCATTTCTGTCAATGGCTTAATGTATGCACCTGCTGATAGAACAACCATATAAGAACCATCTACTATTAAATCCATGTCAGATTAATTGTTCTCTACATTTTATTTCACTTTAACCAATGAATTTTTTCACGTATGCTCATGCAGCCTTCCAGATTTGGTGCTCATGATGAAGAGAACGAGAAAGTGGAAACTCAGCAAGCCACTTGGCCTTTGCCTTTATTGTTTCTCACTTATCTCCATTTGAGGGTAGCCTTCTCAATCCCCAAAAGCAAGGTGACTTCCTTCCTCCATCCTGGGTAGAAATTTTGGAGTAAATCCCAACAGTAAAAGACAAGGACACTCCCTAAGCTGAAAGCCTTAGCAATGCTGTTCACTTGCTTTTTCTGCTGTAAGAATTAAAATCAGCTACTTTGGGTGGAGGGGCCAATATAACCAACTAGAAACAGCTGCAGTCAGAGGCTCCCACCAAGAAGAATGAAAACAGCAGGTGAATCCCGCACCAGCAACTAAGGTATCCAGGTTCTCTCATTGGGGCTGAGTAGTTGGTTGGTGCAACCCACAGAGAGTGAGGAAAAGTGGGGTGGACTGACAGCCTATCCAGTAGCTGCACAGGACAAGGAGAGCTCCCACCCCCAGCCAAGGGAGGCAGTGAGTGACTGTGCTACCCCGCCCAGGAAACCACACTTTTTCCACAGATCTGCGCAACCCATGGATCAGGAGATCCCTTCATGAGCACACGCCACCAGGGCCTTGGGTCCCATGCATAGAGCTGTGCAGATTCTTGGCAGCCACTCAGCTGGAGACTAAGACTACCAAGTTCCTGGGAAAGTGGTGGCTGCCATCACTTCAGCTGCCTATTGCCTAAGAGGACTGAGCTCCTTGCGGGAGGGGCGGCAGCCACCACTGCAACTCCAGTCTGCCATTTTCCCCTGCCAGTGCAGGGGAGACTGGGTGGTTTGTACCCAGGAGGAATTCCCCACAGCACAGTACAGCAGCTGTGGTACACTGTGACCAGACTGCCTTACTAGGCCAGACCTGGACCCATACCTCCTCACCAGGCAGGGGCTTCATGTGGGAATTTCAGCAACTCCAGCCAGGGGATTATGGATAGAACTCTGATCTCCCTGGGATGGAGCCCTGGGGGGGAGAGGAGTCTGCAGTATTTGTGGATCAGGTGACTTAGTCTTTTCCCTTGCTCGCTCTGAGGAGTCTGGGCAGTTTGAACAAGTGGGATTTCCCCCATTACAACACACCCCTCTGCCAAGGTGCAGACAGAGTGCTTTGTTAAGCAGGTCCCTGATCCCACGCCTTCTGACTGGGTGAGACCTCCCAAAGGGGGTCACCAGTCACCAGTCACAGGAGCATTCCCACTGGCATCAGGTTGGTGCCCCACTGGAACAGAGTTGCCCGAGGAAGGAGCAGGCTGTCAGCTTTGCTGTTCTGCAGCCTCCACTGGTGACACCTCCAGGTGTGGGAAGGACCCAGGTGAACAGGGTCTGGGGTAGGTTTCCAGCAAACCACAGCAGCCCTATGGAAGAGGGGCCAGACTTTTAAAAGTAAAACAAGCAGAAAGCAACAACAACAACAGCATCGACAAAGTCCCCACAAAACCCCCATCCAAAGGTCAGTAGCCTCAAAGATTGAAACTAGGTGAACTCACAAAGATGAAAAAGAACCAACAAAAAAACTCTGAAAACTCAAAAAACCAAAGTGCCTCTTCTCCTCCAAATGATCACAACACCTCTCCAGCAAGGGCACAGAACTGGGCTGAGGCTGAGATGAATGAAATGACAGAAGTAGGCTTCAGAAGATGAGTAATAACCAACTTCACTGAGCTAAAGGAGCGTGTTCTAACCCAATGCAAAGAAGCTAAGAACTATGATAAAACATTACAGGAACTGTTAATTGGAATAACCAGGTTAGCAAGGAACACAAATGACCTGATGGAGCTGAAAAACACAACACGAGAACTTCGCAATACAGCCACAAGTATCAATAGCTGAATAGACAAAGTGGAGGAAAGAATTTCAGAGATTGAAGACTATCTTGCTGAAATAAGACAAGATTAGAGAAAAAAAGAATGAAAAGGAATGAACAAAACCTCCGAGGACTATGGGATTAGGTAAAAAGACCAAAACTATGACTGATTGGGGTACCTGAAAGAGACAGGGAGAATGGAACCAAGTTGGAAAACATTCTTCAGGATATCATCCAAGAGAACTTCACCAGCCTATCAAGAGAGGCCAACATTCAAATTCAGGAAATCCAGATAACCCCAGTGAGGTACTCCATGAGAAGATCAACGCCAAGCATGTAATCATTAGATTCTCCAAGGTCGAAATGAAGGAAAAAATGTTAAGCGCAGCCAGAGAGAAAGGCAAGATCACCTACAAAGGGAAGCCCTTCATACGAGCAGCAGACTTCTCAGCAGAAACCCTATAAGCCAGAAGAGATAAGGGGCCGGTATTCAACATTCTTAAAGAAAAGAATTCCCAACCCACAATGTTGTATCTGCCCAAACTAAGCTTCATAAGTAAAGAAGAAATAAAATCCTTTTCAGACAAGCAATTGCTGAGTGAATTCATAACCACCAGACCTGCCTTGAAGGTCTTCCTTCTGAAGGAAGCACTAAATATGGAAAGGAAAAATCATTACCAGCCACTGCAGAAACACACTGAAGTACAAAAACCAATGACACTATGAAGAAACTACATCAACAAGTCTGCAAAACTACCAGCTAGCATCATGATGAAAAGATCAAATTCACACATAACAATGTTAATCTTAAATGTAAATGGACTAAATGCCTCAATTAAAAGAATGGCAAGCTGGATAATGAATCAAGACTCATTGCTGTGCTGTATTCAAGAGACCCATCTAACAGGCAAAAACACACATAGGCTCAAAATAAAAGGATAGAGGAAAATCTACCAAACAAATGGAAAGCATCAAAAAGCAGAGGTTGCAATCCTAGTGACTGACAAAACAGACTTTATACCAATGCAGATCAAAAAAGACAAAGAAGGGCATTACATAATGGTAAAGGGTTCAATTCAACAAGAAGAGTTAACTATCCTAAGTATATATGCAGCCAATACAGGAGCACCCAAATTCATAAAACAAGTTATTAGAGACCTACAAGGAGACTTAGATTCCCACACAATAATAGTGGGAGACTTTAACACCCCACTGTCAACATTAGACAGATCATCAAGACACAAAATTAACAAAGATATTCAGGACTTGAACTCAGCTCTGGAGCAAGTAGACCTAGTAGATATCTACAGAATTCTCTACCCCAAAACAACAGAATATACATTCTTCTTGGCACCACGTGGCACTTAACTCTAAAATCAATCACATAATTGGAAGTAAATCGCTCCTCAGCAAATGCAAAAGAAAAGAAATCAAAACAAACAGTCTCTCAGACCACAGCACAATCAAATTAGAACCCAAAACCAAGAAACCCACTCAAAACCACACAACTACATGGAAATTGAACAACCTGCTCCTAAATGACTCCTGGGTAAATAATGAAATTAAAGCAGAAATCAAGGAGTTCTTTGAAACCAATAAGAACAAAGAGACAATGTACCCAAATCTCTGGGACACAGTTAAGCAGTGGTAAGCAGGAAATTTATAGCCCAAATGCCCACATCGAAAGTCTAGAAAGTTCTCAGATTGACATCCTAACATCACAACTAAAAGAACTAGAGGACCAAGAGCAAACAAACTCCAAAGCTAGCAGAAGACAAGAAATAACCAATATCTGAGTGGAACTTAAGGAGATAGAGGCTTGAAAAACCATTCCAAAATCAACAAATCCAGGAGCTAATTTTTTTTTGAAAAAATTAATAGAATAGATAGACCACTAGCTAGACTAATGAAGAAGAAAAGAGAAAAATCAAATAGACACAATAAAAAATTATAAAGTGGATATAACCACTGACCCCACAGAAATACAACCATCAGAAAATACTATAAACACCTCTATGCAAATAAACTAGAAAATCTAGAAGAAATGGATATATTCTTTGACACATACACCCACCCAAGGCTGAACCAGGAAAAAGTTGAATCCCTAAATAGACCAATAACAAGGCCTGAAATTAAGGCAGTAATAAATAACCTATCAACGAAAAAGAGGCCAGGACCAGATGGATTTACAGCTGAATTCTACCAGAGGTATGAAGAGGAGCTGGTACCATTTCTTCTGAAACTATTCCAAACAATTAAAAAGGAATGACTCCTCCCTAACTCATTTTATGAGGACAGCATTATCCTGATACCAAAACAGCGCAGAAATATTTTTAAAAATTTTAGGCCAATATTCCTGATGTACATCTATGCAAAAATCCTCAATAGAATGCTGGCAAACTGAATCCAGCTGCACATCAAAAAGCATAGCCACCATGATCAAGTCAGCTTCATTCCTGGTGTGCAAGGCTGGTTCAACATATGTAAATCAATAAGCGTAATCCATCACATAAACAGAATTAAAGAAAAAAAACATTGTTACTCAAAAGCCACAGAATAGGTCTTCAATAAAACTCAACATCCCTTTATGTTAAAAACTCTCAATAAACTAGGTATTGATGGAACATACCACAAAATAATAAGAGTGATTTATGACAAACCCACAGCCAATATCATACTGAATTGGTAAAAGCTGGAAGCATTCCCCTTGAAAAGTGGCAAAAAACAAGGAAGCCCTCTCTCACCACACTCATTCCTCAGACTGTTGGAAGTTCTGGCAAGTGCAATCAGGCAAGAGAAAGAAGTAAAGTGTATTCAAATAGGAAGAGAGAAAGTCAAACTCTGTTTGCAGATAACATGATCCTATATCTAGAAAACCCAATTGTCTCAGCCCAAAACCTTCTTAAGCTGATCAAGTTCAGCAAAGTCTCAGGATACAAAATCAACGTGCAAAAATCACAAGCATTCCTATGCACCAACAATAGACAAGCAGAGAGACAAATCATGAATGAACTCCCATTCGCAATTGCTACAAAGAGAATAAAATATGTGGGAATATGGCTAACAAGGGAAGTGAAGGACTTCTTCAAGGAGAACTACAAACCACTGCTCAAGGAAATCAGAGAGGACAGAAACAAATGGAAAAACATTTCATGCTCATAGATAGGAAGAATCAATATCATGAAAATGGCCATACTGCCCAAAGTAATTTATAGATTCAATGCTATTCACACCAAATTACATTGACATTCTTCACAGAATTAGAAAAAAAAACTACTTTAAAATTCATATGGAACCAAAAAAAAAAGCCTGTATAGCCAAGACAATCTTAAGCAAAGAAAAAAAAAAGAACAAACAAACAAACAAAAAAACAAAGCTGGAGACATCATGCTACCCAATTTCAATCTATACTACAAGGCTACAGTAATCAAAACAGCATTGTATTGGTACAAAAACAGACACATAGACCAATGGAAAAGAACAGAGTTCTCAGAAATAAGATTGCACATCTACAATCATCTGATCTTTCACAAACCTGGCAAAAGAAAGCAATTGGGAAAGATTCCCGATATAATAAATGGTGCTGGGAGAACCGGTAGCCATATGCAGAAAGCTGAAACTGGACCATTCCTTACACCTTATACAAAAATTAACTCAAGATGGATTAAAGACTTAAATGTAAAACCCAAAACTATAAAAACCTTAGAAGAAACCCTAGACAATACGATTCAGGACATAGGCATGGGCAAAAATTTCATGACAAAACTTCAAAAGCAATTGTAACAAAAGCAAAAATTGACAAATGGAATCTAAGTAAACTAAAGAGCTTCTGCACAGCAAAAACAAAACAAAACAAAACAAACAAATAAACAAAAAACAAAAAAAAACTATCATCAGAGTGAACAGACAACCTACAATATTGGAGAAAATTTTTACAATCTATCCACCTGACAAACATCTAATATCCAGAATCTACAAGGAACTTAAACAAATTTACAAGAAAAAAACAACCCCATGAAAAAGTGGGCAAAGGACATGAACAGACACTTCTCAAAAGAAGACATTTATGTGGCCAACAAACATGAAAAAAAGGTCAATATCACTGATCATTAGAGAAATGAAAATCAAAGCCACAATGAGATACCATCTCACACCAGTCAGAATGGCAATTATTAAATTTATTAAAAAGTCAAGAAACAATAGATGCTGGCAAGGCTGTGGAGAAATAGGAACACTTCTACACTGTTGGTGGGAATGTAAATTAGTTCAACCATTGTAGAAGACAGTATGGCAAGTCCTCAAAGACCTAGAACCAGAAATACCACTTGACTGAGCAATCCCATTATTTATATTCCCAAAGGAATATAAGCCATTCTATTATAAAGACACATGCACGCTTATGTTCATTACAGCACTGTTCACAATATCAAAGACATAGAATCAACCCAAATGCCCATCAATGATAGACTGGATAAAGAAAATGTGGTACATGTACACCATGAAACACTATGCAGCCATGAAAGGAAATTAGATCATGTCCTTTTCAGGGACATGGATGGAGCTAGAAGCCATTATTCTCAGGAAGCTAATGCAGGAACAGAAAACCAAACACTTCATGTTCTCACTTATTAGTGAGAGCTGAATGGTGAGAACCCATTGACACGAGGAGGGAAACAACACTCACTGGGGCCTGTTGCAGGGGTGGGGAGAGAGCATAGGATAAATAGCTAATGCATACTGGGCTTAATACCTAGATGATAGGTTAATAGGTGCGGCCAACCACCATGGCACATGTTTATATATGTAGCAATCCCGCACATCCTGCACATGTACCCCGGAAGTTTAAATTAAATTAAATTATTTAAAAAATCATCTACTTCTCTGCTTCTCCACTGGGTACTCACCCAAGATGTACCCCAGACCTCTGTCTCTGGCTGCTCAGCTGGGGAGGCTGCCAGACACCCTTGGTGGTTCTGCCTAGCAGTATACTTAGCAACATGTCAGAGGTAGAAGGACTGTTGAATTAGAGAGGAGGGAACAAAAAGAGCCCAGAGCAAATCTGGAGCCCATTTGAATAATCAATCACTAGCCAAACCTGAGCATTGGTGCTATTTATTTGGGAATCTTTAAGTTGTAATAATGACATGTTTATTCATGGCTCAACTTTTTTCTAGATCAGATATTTCAAAGAATGCACACACACATGCACACACAGACAGTCACACACATATGTTTTCCTGCTTTTCCTGTATAGGATACCTGAAATAAAGCATAAAGAAGAGCATTTCAGAGTTAAGGGGTAAGAGAGGAGCCAAGGAAAGAGATAAGCAGAAAAGACAGAATGAAATAAATATCAATGCAAGGGTTACTGTAGTCTGGATTTACCTAGGACATTCTCATTTTATGCCTGCTATAGACCAATTAATAACTGTTAATAACTATATAAACTCAAAATTTATTCTGATTTAGAAGGAAATTATATGGTCATTCTATAAAGTCCATTATTTTAAAGAGAAATACTTTCCATTTTTATAGCTTCTTATAATTTTCATTAGACTTTGTCATGCATAATCTTTATTAATATTTACAACAACTTTGTGGGGTAATAGTAGGTGCTATTATGCTTTTTTAACAGATGAAAAAACTAAAGCTAAAGTACGTTACTTTTCCTGAAGCTAATAAACAGCATAACTGAGATTCCTATTTTTTAGTCGTGTGTTTTCCCAACTATACTGCTGTGCTGTCCCCATTCATTCTCAAGACATGTGTTCAACTCTAACATCCCCAGTAATCAGCATAAAGTTCCCAGGTCTGATAATGTACAATGCTTAGCAAAATGATTCTTGACCTACAGACAATGTTCATACAACCTGTGAGAAGTGAAGAAAAAAAATCCTCTGTAGGTTAAAACGATGAGAAAGTATAGGGTTAGTAGAGTCATACCTTATACAGTGGTAACTCCAATCAGAGGCAGCCAAATCTTTTATATCAAAGTTGGTGCTTAAATATTTGGCCTGGCATGGTTTATTAACTGTGTCCAAGTAGACTCTTGGTAAAATAAAAAGTGTAAGAAGTGTGGTATCATGGCTGGTGTCTTCCATGCTAATGCCCTGCCAAACACATATTGTCTCTGGACCCTCACTCAGCTCATGTTGCCCACTGCCCTCTAGATGCCCAACCTACCTCTGCAGTAAATGACCAGGATCTACAATGTCCTCTCACTAAAGCCTTAATTTTCAATGGCAGCAAGTTAAAGCTACATAGTAGACGAAAGGGACCTGATTATCTAATTCAAGTTACTCACTCTGAGTGGAGGAATATCAGTTTGAGACTTCCCCCATCCAGTGGTATTTGTATATGAAGAAGACACAGGAGATTTTCTAGTATCCCCTTCAGATTCCAGTTACAATCCATCTCATCTGACTGTTTGCTAAGAAGGAAACAATAGTCCAGTACATTCGTCAGTAAACCTGGAAACCAAGCCTGCCAAAGCACAAGGACGGGAAAAGATGAGGTCACAGCAGTATTGACCAATCCCCGTGCACCAAAAATGTCTCATTCTTTTAAGAAGGGGGGTCTTACGGCTTGTGCAATCAGTACAAGGTTAGAAAACAGCAACTGCCAGTTCTGTTTATGGATCTACTATGTTTAGTCTATATTGCCATAGACAAGTTTTTATACTTGATTTGTATTCATTTATTCATTCAACAAATACTAGGTGCCTACTATGTATAAATTCATGTGGAAGGTGCAGGTGTTACAGCAATGAACAAGACATGGTTTCTGCTCTCAATAAGCTCATAGTTTGTTCGAGAAAGACAACAGGTAAAATAATTATAACACAATGTAATTAGTGCTATTCATTTATTTGTTCAACAAACATTTATTGAGCACCTTATAAAATGTATATGACAAATACTTCACTAGGCACTGCACATATATTGGTAAGCAAAAAAGATAAGAGACATCTTCCATATATATGTTCCCCCAGCACCTTACATCCAACACTCTGTCCAGCACAAAGACAGGTCTTGGCAAAATAAATAAATAAACTTTCAGGGCATAATTCACCATTAAGGTTTTTACAACATTTTTTTCCTAAGTATTAGTAAACTCCCTTTAAAGGAAATCTTGCCTGAAAGCCTAATATATCAAATAAATGAAAGGTGGGGGAAGGTAAAAACTGACATCTAAAAATTAAAAGAAAGAGCAGTCTTCTGCTTGAACTTGTACTGTGAGCCCAAGAACTCTGCTCTAGCATCCTATTTAACAGCCCCCCAATCCCCCCACCAAAATTCTCTTCTACCTCAAAGCAGTCCATGAGGCATTTCAGGAATATGAAGAAACCAATGAATTAGCTTGCTTCCCATATTATGGTTCTCAACCCAATAGTAAAAGAATCATCTGAAGAGTCTGTTAAATGAATCTATTACCGACATATTGAATCAAACTCTTTGGGGGTGGGACCCAGGAATATGTGTTTTAACAATTCCTTCCAAGTGATTCTGATACCAATTTTAGTTTGAAGACAGTATGGAAGAAGCTTTCTCCATAAAATTGTGTATTCATTTCCTGTCACTGCACAATCAATTGCCACTTAGTTTGTTATGAGTGGCTTAAAACAACACCTATCTACAGAGCTCACAGTTCTGTAGGTCAGAAGTCCAGGCACAGTGTGGCTGGGTTCACTGCTCAAGGTCTCCCAAGGTCAAAATCCAGGTGTCAGCTGGGCTTCATTCTAATTTGGACCTCAGGATCCTCTTCCAAGTCGGTGTGGTTGTGCCAGAATTCACTTCATTATGATTGTAGAACTGAGGTTCTTATTTTCTTGTGGGCTATTGGTCTAGGACTGCTCTTACCACTGGCACTCCTTGCCATACGGCCCCTCCATGTATAGTAGTTAGGATTCTGACTACCATAAAAGGCATCTGTATCAGTTTTTTGGAAATGATAAATAAAGAAAAGAGGTTTAATTGGCTAACAGTTTTGCAGGCTGTATAGGAAGCATAGCTGGGGAGGCCTCAGGAAACTTACAATCAAGGCAGAAGGTGAAGGGGAAGCAGGCACATCTTATATGGCTGGATCAAGAGGAAGAAGGTGAAGGGGGAAGTGCTACACACTTTTGAACAACCATATCTCATGAGAACTCACCCACTATCATGAGAACAGCATGGGGGAAATCCACCTTCATGATCCAATCACCTCCCACCTCCAACATTGGGGTTTATAATTCAATATGAGATTTGGGTTGGGATGCAAATCCAAACCATATTATTCTGCTCCTGGCCTCTCCCAAAATCTCATGTCCTTCTCACATTGCAAAGTACAATCATCCCTTCTCAACAGTCCCCCAAGTCTTATTTCAGCATTAACTCAAAACTTCACAGTCCAAAGACTAATCTGAGACAATGCAAGTCCTTTCCACCTATGAGCCTATAAAATAAAAAACAAGTTAGTTACTTCCAAGATACAATAGGGGTACATGCATTGGGTAAACACACCCTTTCAAAAAGGGAGAAATCAGCCAAAAGAGAGGGGCTGCAGGCCCCATGTAAGTCCAAATGACAACAGGGCAGTCATTAAATCATAAAGCTCCAAAATAATCTCCTTCGACTCCATGTCTCACATCTAGGCCACAGTGATGCAAGCGGTGGGCTCCCAAGGCCTTGGGCAGCTCTGCCCCTGTGGCTCTGCAGGGCTCATCTCCAATGGCTGCTCTCAAGGGCTGGTGTTGAGTGCCTGTGTCTTTCCAGGCATACAGTGCAAACTGCCAGTGGATCTAGTGTTCATGGTGGCCCTCTTCTCACAGCTCCACTAGGCAGTCCCCCAGTGGGGACTCTGTGTTGGGGTTCCTACCCCATATTTCCCCTCCACACTGCTCTAGTAGAGGTTCCCTATGATAGTTCTGCCCTGCAGCAGACTTCTGCCTGGACATCCAGGCGTTTCCATACATCCTCTGAAATCTATGCAGAGGCTCCCAGGCATCAACTCCTGCACTCTGTGCACCTGCAGGCTTAACACTACGTGGAAGCTGCCAAGGCTTACAGTTTTTACCCTCTGAGACAGTGACCCTTTTTAGCCACAGCCGAAGCTGGAGCTGCCAAGATTCAGGGCACCATGTCCTGAAGCTGCACAGAGCAGCGGGGGACCTGGGCCTGGCTCACAAAACCATTCTTTCCTCCTAGGCCTCAGGGCCTCTGATGGGAGGGGCTGTCATGAAGATCTCTGAAATGCCTTCAGAGCCTTTTCCCCATTGTCTTGGCTATTAGTACTTCCCTTCTTTTTAGTTATGTGACTTTCTGCAGCCTGCTTCAATTCCTCTCCTGAAAATTGGTTTTTATTTTCTACCACATGGTGAGGCTGCAAATTCTCCAAACTTTTATGTTCTGCTTCCCTTTTAAATATAAGTTCCAGTTTCAGGTCATTTATTTGTTCATGCATATGGGCATAGGCTTTTAGAAGCAGCCAGGCCATACCTTGAACACTGCTGCTTAGAAATTTCTTCCACCAGATACCTAAATCATCTTTCTCAAGTTCAAAGTTCCACAAATCCCCAGAGCAGGGACACAATGCTGCCAGGTTCTTTGCTAATGCATAACAAAAGTGATCTTTTCTCCAGTTCCCAATAACTTCCTCATTTCCATCTGAGACCTCCTCAGCCTAGCCATCTCTGTCCATATTACTATCAGCATTTTGGTCAAAACTATTCAACAACTCTCTAGGAAGTTCCAAACTTTCCCTCATCTTCCTGTCATCTTCTGAGCCCTCCAATCTGTTCCAACTTCTGCTTGCTACCCAGATCCAAAGCTTTGTAGGTATCTTTATAACAATAACACTCTTGGTACCAATTTTCTGTATTAGCCGATTCTTGCACTGCTATGAAGAACTACCTGAGACTGGGTAATTTATAAAGAAAAGAGGTTTAATTGACTCATGGTTCCACAGACAGTACAGGAGACATGGCTGTGAAGACATCTAGAAACTTATAATCATGGCAGAAGGCTAAAATGAACAAGCATGTTTTACGTGGCTCAAGCATGAGGAAGAGGGTAAAGGAGGAGGTGCTACACACTTTTAAACAACCAGATCTCATGAGAACTCACTCACTATTATGAGAACAGCAAGGGGGAAATCCACCCCCAAGATCCAATCACCTCTGACCAGGCACCTCCACCAACATTGGGGATTACAATTTTACATGGGATTTGGGCAGGGACACAAATTCAGATCATATCATCATTCATCCACTGATAGACACAGGTTGATTCCATATCTTGGCTATTGTGAATAGTGCTGCAATAAACATAGGAGTGCAAGTATCCCTTTGATATACTGATTTCTTTTCCTTCTGGTAAATAGTCAGTAGTGGTATTTGACCAAATATTGCTGGATCACATGGTAGTTCTATTTTTAATTTTTAAAGAAATCTCCATATTGTTTTCCATAGTGGCTGTGCTAATTTGTGTTCCCACCAATAGTATATGGGGGGTTCCCTTTTCTCCACAGCCTCGCTAGCATGTATTTTTTTTTGTCTTTTTAATAGTAGCCATTCTGACAGTGGTAAGATGACATCTCATTAAGGTTTTCAATTTCATTCCCCTGATGATAAGTGATGTAGAGCATTTTATTCATATGCCTGTTGACCACTTGTATGTCTTCTTTTGAGAAATGTCTATTCATGTTCTTTACCCACTTTTAAATGAAATTATTAATTGTTTCTTTACTGTTTAATTGTTTAAGTTGCCTGTATATTTTGGATATTACTCCCCTGACAAATGAATATTTTGCCAATATTTTCTTTCATTCAACAGGTTCTTTGTTTACTCTGTTGATTATTTTCTTAGCTGTTCAGAAGCTTTTTAGTTTAATATAGTCACATTCATCTACTTTTGTTTGTGTTGCCTGTGCTTTGAAGTTTTAGACATAAAATCTTTATCTAGATCAATATCCTGAAGTGTTTTCCCTATGTTTTCTTCTGGTAGTGTTATAGTTTCATGTTTTACATTTAAGTCTTTAAACCATCTTGAATTGATTTTGGTATATGTTGAAAGATAGGAGTACAGCTTTATTCTTCTGCATATGACAATCCAATTTTCGCAGCACCATTTAATGAAGAAGGTATCCTTTACCCATTGTATGTTCTTGGTAACTTTGTTGAAAATCAGCTGGCTGTAAATATGTAGATTTACTTCTGGATTTTCAATTTCATTCTCTTGGTCTACGTGTCTGTTTTTATGCCAAAACCATGATGTCTTGGCTAACATAACCTTGTAATATATTTTGAAGTCATGTGGTGTAATGTCTCCAGCTTTGTTATTTTTGCTCAGGATGGCTTTGGCTATTTGAGCTCTTCTGTGGTTCCATACAAATTTTATGATTGTTTTATCTATTTCCAAGAAAAATGGGCCAGGCATGGTGGCCCGTGCCTGTAATCCCAGCACGTTGGGAGGCTGAGTGTGGTGGATCACATGAGATCAGGAGTTCGAGACCAGCGTGGCCAACATGATGAAACCCCATCTATACTAAAAATATAAAAATTAGCTGGCTGTGGTGGCATGCACCTGTAATCCCAGCTACTTAGAAGGCTGAGGCAGGAGAATCACTTGAATCCAGGAGGTGGAGGTTGCAGTGAGCTGAGATCGTGCCACCACACTCCAGCCTGGGCAACAGAGTAAGACTCTCTCAAAAGAAAAAAAGAAAAATGACGTTGGTGTTTTGATAGGTGTTGCATTGAATCTCTAGATTGTTCTGGGCAGTACAATGATTGTAATGATATTATTTCTTCCACTGCATGAACATGGAACATCTTTCCATTTGTTTGTGTCCACTTCAATTTCTTTCATCAGTGTTTTTTGTTTTTGTTGTAGAGATCTTTCATCTCCTTGGTTAAGTGCATTCCTACACGGTTTTATTCTGGAGCCTTCTTGATTTCTTTCTCAGCTAGTTCATTATTGTCATATAGAAATACTAATTTTTGTATATTAATTTCGTAGCTTGCAACTTTACTGAATTTATTTATTAGATATTAATGATATACTCCAAGGACTCAAAAACTAATGTGCCTGGTGCATTATAAATGCTCAATAAATATTTTTACTTTAATATAAATCTCTCAGTAATTTTCAATGGTTCATTAGGTTAAACTTTATAGTAATCTGGAACTTTGGATTTTGCCTGTAGACCCAGAGTCTGTTGCACCTATGAGTGATATCTATCCCAGCATCTACCTGAAAGCCAGAAGCTGTTTGGTTTCCGTTCCTGAATTAGGCCCCAGGCAGAACTTGAGATATTGTTCCTTGTGTTTTGACAAACAATGCTTTATATATGAGGTCACAAGATCCAAATTTTTTATTGTACTGTTCTTGAAGCTCTGCAGATAGGTGGAGACTGACTGAGACCCATGGCTCACCTCTTCCTCAGGAACCATTCAGTTAAGGCTTTTTGGGGTCAGCCTTATTAATTCACATGGAGAAACAGTGTCTTTCCCAATCAAGCAGCGCCACTCTCCCTGGCTGATCAACATGCCATGCTGTGACATGAAGCTTGTATAACCTTCATATGGTCTCACTTTGCAGAGTTTAGAAAGTGCAGTTTAAAGTGAGTTCAAAGAACAGGAATCAGAGAATGTGCAACTGTCTGAGTTGGAATATGCATTTTAGATGGAGTTCATCTAGCAGGGGATTGTTGGTGTGTGTGAGAGAGGGCCGAAAGCAAAGATAAATGAGAGAAGTGGGAGCCATAAGCACACATTCTAAAAGGCCAGCATACAGGGCAAGTGAGGAGTAAGAGAGTAAGAGCATAAAGGAGCTGGATGCTATGAGGAGATCTAGTAAAAAGTGGCAGAGCAGGCCTTTGAGCCCTGGTCTGTTGGAGTCCCGAAACACACACTCTTCATCTCTAGAATGCTGAAAGTGCAATCTAAAGACCTGCTGCTTCACAAGCTCTAGGAAGCTTGTTAAAATGCAGATTTCTATGTTTTTGGAAGTATTTATGGTAAGCTTTCTTAAAAATTATTAGGGTACATATTTCTGACATCTAGCATACTTTTTTTTAAGCTTTGTCATTTCTATTATGATTTTTCATGGTGAAATTTTGGTACTGAGATGGGCATTCTCTGTACCTTTATAGTACTACTCCAAAGGCAAAGAGCCATGATTGACAACAGTCAAGCTGTGGATGAAATGACCGGGAACAGAGAATGAAGTATGTAAATCCCAGCTTCATACGACCTCTTCTCATATTGCTTTTCTGATTAAAATGGCTGTTTACCTGGTCTCTGAATGTTAATGCCTGACTAATTTAATTAAGTCATTGCCCAAATCGGTTTTCCCTTTGCCCCATCAATATGTTCTCTTGCATATATTGGCATGCTGCCATATAAAGTAAAAATATTGGAGATATTCTATATTTTATGTGTAGGTTTAGGTATTGTTGGGGATGTTTTTGTTGTGCTCTTTTGGACATATAAACAATTCTCTGTTGAGGCTACAACCTTTTTCTTCTTCTTCTTTTCTTTTTTATTTTAGAGGATGGCATCTCACTCTGTTGCCCAGGCCAGAATGTAGTGGCTCAGTCGTAGCTCACTGCAGCTTCAAACTCCTGGGCTCAGGCAATTCTCCTGCCTCAGCCTCTTGAGTATCTAGGATTATGGGCATACTCTACCACACCTGGCTAATTTCATTTTTATTTTTTGTAGAGATGAGGTCTCACTATGCTGCCTAGGCTGGTCTTGAATTCCTAGGCCAAGAGATCCTCCTCCCTTGGCCTCCCAAACTGCTGGGATCACTACACCTGGCCAGGGCTACATTCTTAACTCAACTAGATTGTTTACTAAATCCCATATGACAGTGGTACATTGTCCTTACATATTTTTAGACATTGCAAAGTTATTAAAAACAGTTACTATAGTTTTTACACAATGTAGGCAACAATGTAAAAGATGAGAATAGGCTGTAAGATTTTCATGGATGACTCATAAATCTGGGAGAAAAAAGAAAATTGTTAAGACTAATGAGAAACTGAAAACCTTAAACTAATGAATATTACCATTTATGCTGCTAAAAATATGAAACTTTCTGGTCTGTAGTTGAAATTTATATGATCCTCTACACTTGGGCATACTTTTCATCTGGTGCCATTAAACCATCTTTAATATTGATCCTAAAAAAAATGCAGAGTTCTAACTAGATCATGGTAATGGTTGCACAACTCCACAAATTTACTAAAACAGGTATATACTTAAAAATAGGCGAATTTTATGGTAAGCTGATTATACCTCAATAAATTTGTTTAAAATGCAGATTTCCAGGCCCTACCCTGAACCTACTGAAAAAAAAATTTTAAGTAAACCAGAAATCTATATTTTTATAACATCCCCTGGTGATTCTGATGCTTGCTGAAGTTAAGGGTGCACCTATCAAGGTAGATGAATCATAAAATCTTCCATCTAACTGGGAAAAGCAGAGTGAGATTGATAACACCATTTACATAAATTTAAAAAATGCAGATTTTTCAAGAACACAAAAAGATATACATTGGCTACCTTAGAATGGTTGGCTGCAATGAAAATAAGAGAAAGAGAGACAGAGACAGAGAAACAGAGAGGGAATGCCCTAGGGAGAGGTTCTAGAGCAGTTCTTGAGAGCAAGATCCTACCTTTTAACTCACCAAGGAGAGAAAGGAATCATTTTGTCATTTTTCCAGCTTGCCCATTCTAGTTTTAGAACTGGCCTGGTCTTGCTGTTTAACAGTGGTCCCTTCCAATGTCATGCAAGCCCAGCACTTTCCGATCTATCATGGGGACTTCCAAACTTTAGCAACAAAACCAGAGAGTAGAGTGTTTGTGACTGGCTACTGAAGTGACTCCCCAGGGAGAACTGAAGAATTTAGGTCTCAGTTTCAATTGAGTCAATTATTCACTGATTGCTTTTGTGCCCTGTCTCCCTCTAAAAAACAAATAAACAACAATAACAGCAAAAAAAAAAAAAAAAAAAAAAAAAAAAACTATTAAACCCTTCCAATTCCTGAGCTGTTTACAGAAAAAAAAAATCAGGCTAATTAGCAACTGAGAGCATGTATTAAGAACCTTCAATTAAATCTATTGTGTTATAATTTTTGTCTAACCCTGCTGGAATATAAATCCTTAATATAGTAACCTGTGAATTATCCCTCTTCACCAGTGGTTCTCCAAGTGTTGTCCCCGGACCGCTGCACTTGCAGCACCTGAGAACTTATTAGAAATGCGAATCTGGGGACAACACTCCAGACCTAATGAATAAAATCTGCATTTTAACAAGCTCCCTAGAGGACTTGTCCTGAGGGTATGGCCTAGCGATCTTGAATTCAGCATACCCTTTATGTGCTTCTGGTGCACTGAACTACTGAACCCCTGCTCTACACTTAAGAAGGATGCCACTACTATTGCCTCTCCCAGTTAACTTCCTTGTTAGCTGGAGTGGTAGGTCATTCTCAACTGGGTCAAGGAAGGGATGAAACCCTCTGAAAGTCCCAAGAATAAGATCTTTTCTAAAAGATTGCTGTGTTTTAAAAAGACTGAACTCACTTGTCTTGTGTCAGGAGCATCCACAGTTCTTCTATGTTATTAGAAGATGAGATCCTGAACTCCACGTCGCAATACACTGCTGTCTCGTAATGGAAAAGGGGCCACTTTGAGCTTACAAAAGTTTCTCTAGCTAGTTTGGCATATTCGAGCTATGTAAAATTGTAGAGAAGTACCTTTGTAACTTTAGGGTACTAAGGAGCTGATAAGAACAGCAATTTATCTCAGGACTTTATCTCTCTCTACTCTCCCATTCATGTAAATTATTAGGAAATGATATCCTGAAAAAGTCTGAGTCTGTTGCCTTTTCATCACAGTATTTTACAACAGGCCACAAATTCAATTGCCTGTATGTACAAAATGGGTAACATAAATGAATATTGTGGGTCTGTCATCAGAAAACCTGACACTAAGCCTCCTCTATGTCAGAGAGCAAAAAAAAAGTAGTGAGGACTGTGGAACCAGCTGCTACTAAGCTCCAGCTGATTGTAGACAGATGTAAATGATTTTCATATGAAATTCCTGAATTTTTAAGTGCTGGCCTCAAAACTACAACTCCATGAAAGCCAAATAAAATATTTCGTCTTGTGAACCAACTAGTTTGGATTTCTGCTTTACGTTGAAGAGGGCTTGGGTGTCCTCAGGCAGTCTTCTTATTCCCCAAACCAGTATCTTTAACTAAACTGTGTAATCTACATGTAAAAGCCACTCCACCTCTATGGCCCAGTGACAGGTTTGGATTTTAAGCTCTTAGTGACTGGTGGTTAGGTTTTTGTGATAGAATCTGTGAAAAATGGGGGTAGATAGAGATGCTTCTCCCTGGCCCTCTTCCTCTGTGTCTGTATTTACATTTGTTGCAACCTTTCAAAACTGGTTCTCCTTGCAAGGGGGAAATGCCACTAACTCCTAAATGAGGCTATTCCACAAAAGAAAATATAAACAGAGATAAATTCAAACCAAAATGAGTTACCACTATTCCCCCACCAAATGGCTAAAATAAAGAAGACTGACAAGACCAAGTGATGGGGAGGATGTAGAACAGCTGGAATTCTCATATGTTGTTATTGGAAATTTAAATTCGTTCAACCACTTTGGAAAAATTTGGTATTATCTGTTAAGGTTCAACATATGTCTCTCCTGTGGTTCCTATCCTAGATATTTACCCAGGATAATTTAGCTTATATGACTATCCAAAGCCTTGTTGCAAATGTTCACAGCCATTTTATTCATAAGAGCCAAAAACTGGCAACAACCCAAATATTCATGAATAGTAGAATGGATAAATTGTGAGATTAGGTATAGATATATTTATAGATATTGTTTGGCTCTGTGTCCCCACTCAAATCTCATCTTGAATTGTACTCCCATAATTCCCACATGTCATGGGAGGGACCTGGTAAGAGATAATTTTTGAATCATGGGGGTGGTTTCCTCCATACCGCTCTTGTGGTAGTGAATAAGTTTCACGAGATCTGATGGTTTTATCCAGGGTTTCTGCTTTTACATCTTCCTCATTCTCTCTTTGCCTGCTGCCATCCATGTAAGATGGGACTTGCTCCTCCTTGCCTCCTGCTGTGATTGTGAGACTTCCTCAGCCACATGGAGCTGCAAGTCCAATTAAACCTCTTTTGTAAATTATCCAGTCTCAGGTATGTCTTTATCAACGCATGAAAACAGGACTAATACTGTAAATTGGTACCAGCGGAGTGGGGTGTTGCTGAAAAGATACCCAAAAATGTGGAAGCGACTTTGGAACTGGGTAACAGGCAGAGGTTGCAATGGTTTGGAGGGCTCAGAAGAAGACAGGAAAATGTGGGAAAGGCTGGAACTTCCTAGAGATTTGTTGAATGGCTTTGCCCAAAATGCTGACAGCGATATGGATAATAAGATCCAGGCTGAGGTGTTCTCAGATGGAGATGAGGAACTTGTTGGGAACTGGAGCAAAGATGACTCTCGTTATGTTTTAGCAAAGAGACTGGTAGCATTTTGCCCCTGCCCTACAGATTTGTGGAACTTTGAACCTGAGAGAGAGGATTTAGGGTATCTGGCAGAAGAAATTTCTATGCAGCAAAGCATTTAAGAGGTGACTTGTTTCTGGTAAAAGCATTCAATTTTAAAAGGGAAACAGAGCATAAAACTTTGAAAAATTTGCAGCCTGACAATGTGGTAGAAAAGAAAATCCCATTTTCTGAGAAGAAATTCAAGTCAGCTGCAGATATTTGCATAAGTAATGAGGAGCCAAATGTTAATCCCCAAGACAATGGAGAAAATGTCTCCAGGGCGTCAAAGATCTTCATGGCAGCCACTCCTATCACAAGCCCAGAGTCCTAGTAGGAAAAAGTGGTTTCCTGGGCCAGGCACAGGGGTCCTCAAGCTGTGTGCAGCCAAAGGACTTGGTGCCCTGTGTCCCAGCTGCTCCAGCTGTGGCTGAAAAGGAATAATGTAGAGTTCTAGCCATGGCTTCAGATGGTGCAAACTCCAAGCCTTGGCAGCTTCCATGTGGTCTTGAGCCTGTGGGTGCACAGAAGTCAAGAATTGAGGTTTGGGAACCTCTGCCTAGATTTCAGAATGTGTGGAAATGCCTGGATGCCCAGGCAAAAGTTTGCTGCATGGGCTGGGCTTTCATGGGGAAACTCTGCTAGGGCAGTGCGGAAGGGAAATGTGGGATCGCAGCTCCCACACAGATTTCCTACTGGGGCACCACCTAGTGGAGCTGTGAGAAGAGGGCCACCATCCTCCAGACCTAAGAATGGTAGATCCACTGACAGCTTGCACCGTGTGCCTGGAAAAGCCACAGACACTCAACACCAGCCCATGAAAGCAGCCAGGAGGGAGGCCGTACCCTGCAAAGCCACAACGGCAGAGCTGCCCAAGACCATGGGAACCCACCTTTTGCATCAGCGTGACCTGCATGTGAGACATGGATTCAAAGGAGATCATTTTGGAGCTTTAAGATTTGACTGCACCGCTGGATTTTGGACTTGCATGGGTCCTGTAGCCTCTTTGTTTTGGCCAATTTCTACCATTTGGAATAGTTGTATTTATCCAATGTCTGTACCCTCATTATATCTAGGAAATAACTAGCTTGCTTTTGATTTCATAGGCTCATAGTCAGAAGGGAGTTGCCTTGTCTGGGATGAGACTTTGGACTGTGGACCGTTAAGTTAACACTGAAATGAGTTAAGACTTTGGGGGACTGTTGGGAAGGCAGGATTGGTTTTTTGGCAGGGGCCAGGGGCAGAATGATATGGTTTGGCTCTGTGTACCCACCCAAATCTCATGTTGAATTGTACTCCCATAATTCCCGTATGTTTTGGGAGGGACCCAGTGGGAGATAATTGAATCATGGGGGCAGTTTCCTCTATACTGTTCTCGTGGCAGTGAATAAGTCTCACGAGATCTGATGGTTTTATCAGGGGTTTCTGCTTTTGCATCTTCCTCATTCTCTCTTTGCCTGCTGCCATCCATGTAAGACGGGACTTGCTCCTCCTTGCCTCCCACCATGATTGTGAGGCTTCCCCAGCCACATGGAGCTGTAAGTCCAATTAAACCTCTTTCTTTTGTAAATTACCCAATCTCAGGTATGTCTTTATCAGCAGTGTGAAAATGGAGTAATACATATATACATACATATATATACATATACACACATATTACATATATACACACACGATGGAATATAGTACAGTATTTAAAAAACAAACTACTGATGTATCTTAAAACATAGATATATGTCAAAAACATCATGCTAAGGGAAAGGAGTCACAATAAAAGTACACACTGAATGATTCCATTCATATGAAATTCAAGAGCATGCTAAATTCAATTTGTGATAATAAAAGTGAGAACCATGGTTATTTCTTGGGGGCAGTATTGGACTAAAGGAAACTTGTGGGATGCTGTAAATGTCCTATATCTTCATCAGAGTGGTGATTACAAGAATGTACACATGTGTCAAATGAAAATCTGGGAAAAAGAAACAGGCCATGACCCAAGAGGAATTATATATCACCAATAAGCCTATGCAAAAAATAAAATAGCTGCCATTAATAAAGGAAATATCAAATAAAACAGAATACTACAATATACTGGTTTTTAATCCAAACTAGTAATTTTGCTGGGATGGGATGATAGTGGAGGAGTGTAAACTCTTTACATATATACACACACACACACACACACACACACACACCTGTGTGTATATATAATATACAAAGATGTGTGTGTATATATATATAAGATACACACACATATGAACATATATATAAAGTTTGTTTTGTTTGATTACAATGAACTCAAATTACTTTTTTAATTCAAAAAGCAAGTAAAATAAAAAATAAATCTCCCCCAAATTAAATGAAGGAGCAAAGCAAATGTAAAAAAGCTTATTCCATTTTGTACAGAGCTTCTGGCTGCTTAAAGTGGAACAGTCTAGGTTCTTTCTATGCTGCACTAATAGCATACTTTAGTGGCAGCATAGTCAAGGACAGAAAGATAGAAAAAGAATCCAGGATCACCACACCTAGTCTATCCCTCAAAACCACTATACTCTTTCTTGCTTGCAGAAATCATCGTAAACATGAAAGAGGAGTTAATTAGGTTGGCCAAATGTTTTTATTTCTCAGCTGCATAAGCTAGACCACACATTCCCAGAGTTGAAGACCCATAGAAGATTGATGCTTACAGATTACCTAATCCAATTTTTTTTATTTTACATATAGAGGCCAAGAGAGATAAAATAATTGTCTAAAACTGTGAAGTTATTCCCAAGTGTTCTGATTCCAAGTCCAGTAGTAACATATAGGATAAGATTGGAGCATGTATTATGGTATGCCACAGAAAGCAAATAAATAGAATGTATATGTATAGAGAAAGAGATGTATTATAAGAAATTGATTCATACGTTTATGGAGGCTGACAAATTTCCAGATCTGCTGGATGAGTCAGCAAGCTGGAGACCCAGGAGAGCCAATGATATAGTTCCAATCTGGATCCAAAGTCATGAAAACCAGGAAAACTGATGATGTAGTTCTAGTCTGAAGGATGACAAGCTTAAGATCCCAGCAAAACTGATGTTTCACTTTGAGTCTGAAGGCAGGAAAAAGCCAATGACCCAGCTCAAAGGCATTCAGACAAGAGGAATGTTCTCTTAATTGGGAAAGGGTCAGTCTTTTTTTAACTTCTTTATTTCAATTTTTGTCGGTATGTAGTAGGTGTATATTTGTGGGGTACATGAGATATTTTCATTCAGGCATGCAATGTATAATAATCATATCATGAAAAATAAGGTATCCCTTCCCTCAAGCATTTATTTTTTGTGTTACCAACAATCCAGTTATACTCTTAGTTATTTTAACATGTATAATTACATGATATTGACTATAGTCACCCTGTTGTGCTATCAAATATTAGGTCTTATTCATTCTTTCTATTTTTTATACCCATTAACAATTCCCACCTCATCCCCCACCCCCCATTACCCTTCCCAGCCTCTAGTAGCCATCCTTCTTTTATCTATCTCTATGAGTTCATTTGTTTTAATTTTTAGCTTCCACAAGTAAGTGAGAACATGTAAAGTTTGTCTTTCTGTGCCTTGCTTATTTCATTTAACATAATGACCTCTGGTTCCATCCATGTTGTTGCAAATAACAGTATGTAATTTTTTTGGCTAAATATTACTTCATTATGTATAAGTACCATATTTTCATGGTCCATTCATCTGTTAATGGACACTTAGGTTGTTTCTAAATCTTGGCTATTGTGAACACTGCTGCAACAAATATGTGAGTGCAGATATCTCTTGGATATACTGATTTCCCATCTTCTGAGTATATACCTAGCAGTAAGATTGCTGGGTTCTACGGTAGCTCAATTTTTAGTTTTTTGAGGAACCTTCAAACTGTTCTCCACAATGGTTGTACTAATTCCACATTCCCACAAACAGCGTACAAGGGTTGCCTTTTCTTCACATCCTTGACAGCATTTTTTATTGCCTGTCTTTTGGATATAAGCCATTTAACTAGAGTGAGATGATATCTAGTTGTAGTTTTGATTTGCATTTCTCTAATAATCAATTATGTTGAGCATCTTTTCGTTTGCCTGTTTTCTATTTGTATGTGTTCTTTGGAGAAATGTCTATTCAAATTACAAAATAAACATGTATCTCAGATGAGAGGTAGAATGATTGTAGAAGATGGAGAAGTTTGCAAAATCTATTTCCACTATGCCTTTACCACAGCATATCAGATCAGCAGGGGTGAAAGCAGAACTGGCTGTCTGGGAGACTGAGTCAGCTTTTCTTGGTGTACTTCTTGGAAAGGATCACTATCACTTACTTTCCCCACATATTCTTGCTGAAGTCAACCATTGCTTTCCATTTCTCTGACCATTTGTGGTCAGAGCCTGTCCTTCCACCATCTCAGATGAGTTCTCACTGACATGGGCCACTCAGGGGATTTTATGCACTGGCAAAAAAAAAAAAAAAAAAAAATGCAGATCCTTGTTCAGGATCAGCTTCTGGATAGATGGGAGTTTAGAAAAAGAGTGGGAATGAAAGAGTTTGGGGAAACAGAGTTGTATCCAGCAAAGCCACCTATATCTTATATCACAACACTATCACAAAGGGGCCCTGTTGAAAGGCATGACCCCCTGGGAACTTGCCCAAGAAAGCCAGGCAGTCCAGGGAGCCAAACTCCAACCAACCACAGTGGCCCCTGGGACCTTTCTCAGCCACGGTTTTCCCAAGAGCATGTCTGTGTGCTCAGGTTGGGTTGTAAATGACTAGTGATATTGACCACTTGGAGGAGAAAATACCCACTATCAAGGCATTGAAAACTGTTGCCATTCATTTGTAGCAGTTGTTTTATTTCTTTTTCTCACAGAAAACCTCAAAGACTTTTGAAAAACAATGTATTCCCTGGTACATGTTTAGGCTAACATCTAATTTGTATCATAAGTTTAAATAGATGAAAAGGATATCCTATCAGACATATTGAAAATACCGACTTGTCAAATAAAGCTGCTATATCACCACTCTAAGTGTGTCCAGTGGAAGCTAACTACCACAGAGATTTGATATCCAACCTTAACCATTTAAAAACATGTAGAACATCAGCAAGATAGTGGAATACAAGCTCCCCAGTACTAGTTTCCCCACAAAAATACCATTTTAACAACTATCCATGCATAAGAATGCCTGTATGAGAATTCTGGAACCCAAGGGAAAGGTTACAGCACCCTAGGAGAGCACCAAAACTAAGAAAAACAACATTTAAAAGGCAAAAACACCCATGACAATTTGTTCAAATAGACCTTCCCCAAGTTGGCACAGTACAGTGCCTAGAAAGATATCTTCAGCCTATGATTTCTCCAGTGAAGAAAAGAGAGACTGAAGTGGATATCTAACTTCCTTCCAGGGCACTGCCCAAGAGGTTCATTCTGTCTCCCTTAATGAAAAACATTTGGGCAATTAGAAGAGCTGACAAATTCAGGGACAGCTAGAAATAAAGAAAAGTGGCAGGAGCTCTCAGTGGATGCTGCACACAGATTTTGGCAGTAGCTCCACAGTACCCATCAGTGGCCTCACCCAAATGCAATCCCTGCCATCAGCCCTCCAAAAGTATGCCCTCTACTATCTGGCCCTGCTTGAATGCAAAGCCCTGCCAGCTGCTCCACCTGAACATGAAAAAACCCTCAACAGTGGCCTTGCTCAAATGCAAAGCCTTGTCAGTAACACCAGCAAAACATGGAAATCAGCCTGCTGGCCCTGTCTGACCATGAAGCCCCTCCAGCTGGCCTTGTTCAACTGCACACACCAGAAGGAGGCCCTATACCCTCCAAAGACCATGATGACAGGCCCTGAACATCATCAGGCCCATGCAGCAGACCTCGCCCACCTATGGATCACACTAGTTGGCCTGCCCAGAATCCCAGTCTTGGATAACTGGGGAGAGTCTTTCCCTGCCAAAGCCAGTCTGTAAAGACTGGAAGAGGTGACTACTTTTTCAAATTTGCAAACACCAACACAAGAATACAAGGATTACAAAGAATCAGGGAAACATGACATCACCAAATAAACAAATAAATAAATAAATAAATATATAAAGCTCCAGTATCTGACTTTTAAGAAATAGATATCTACAAATTTCCTGAGAAATATTTCAAAATAACCATCCTAAGCAAGCTCAGTGAGCTGAAAGATAACACAGATAGATATCAAAATAAAATCAGAAAAACAAAAGCATGAACAAAATGAGAAGTTCAACAAAGAAATAGAAACCACAAAATAAAACCAAATAAAAATCATGGAGCTGAAGAACATACATAACTGAACAGAAGATTTAAAAGAAAACTTCAACAGCAGACCCAATCAAGCAAAAGAAAGAATTAGTGAACTCAAAGACAGGACATTTTAAATTATCCAGTCAGAGGAATAAAAAGATAAAATAATGAAAAAAGTGAAGAAAGCCTATGGGACTTATGAGACACCATCAAGCAAAATAATAAATGCAAAATGTGAGTCTCAGAAGGAGAAGAGAAAGAGAAAGAAGATGAAACATTTTTTATAGCAATAGTTATTGAAAACTTCCCAAAGCTGGGGAGGTAAATGAACGTCCAGATACATCAAGAAATATATTTTCCAAATTGGTTAAACTTTCAGAGGTCCACACCAAGACACATTATAATCAAATTGTCAAAATTCAAAATTAAAGAATTTTGAAAACAGAAAGAGAAAAATGATTTGTCATCTGCAAGGGAGCCTCTATAAGAATATAAATGCATTTCCGACAGAAGCCTTCCAGGCTAAGAGAGAGTGCAATGATACAGTCAAAGTACTGAAAGAAAAAAAAAAAACTGCATTCTAAGAATACTATACCCAGAAAAACTGTCCTTAAAAATGAAGTAGAGCTAAAGACTTGTCCAGATAAACAAAAAAGCAAGAAGTTTGTCACCACTATACTTACCTTACAAGAAATACTATAGGGAGTTCTTCAAGTTTGAAAGAAACAAACTTTGAACTGCAACACAACTCATATGAGTAGAAATCTCACTGCTAAAGGTAAATATATAAGAAAACACAAAACATGGTAATAATGTAATGGTTGCACATAGGTCACTTTTAATCCTGGTATAAAAGTTAAAAGACAAAAATATTTAGAATAACCACAAGAATGTGTTGATTCATGCACAATATTTTTCAAAAGTAAACTCTAACATAAATAATATAAAGTTTGTGTGGGGGGATAAATGGCTACAGTTTTGTATGCAACAAAAGTTAATTTATTATTAGCTTTAAATAGACTGTTATAACTATAAGGGGTTCAATGTCAGCCTCATGGTAACCACAAGAAAAAAAAACTGATAATAGATACACAATAGATAAACAGAAAATAATCAAAGCATATCCCCACAAAAAGTTGTCAAACCAGAAAGAAAGACATCAAGAGAAGAGAGGAACAATAGAAGTACAAATCAAACAGAAAAAAAAAATGACATGGCAAGAGTGAAACCTTCCCTATCAGTAATTCCATTAAATGTAAATGAATTAAACTATACAGTGGTTGAATAAATTTTTTCCGTCAACTTTTCTTTTAAGTTCCAGGGTACATGTGCAGGATGTACAGGTTCATTACATAGGTAAACGTGTGCCATGGTGATTTGCTGCACTGATCAACCCATCACCTAGGTATTAAGCCCAGCATCCATTAGCTATTCTTCCTGATGCTCGCCCTCCCCTCACCTCCTGACAGACTCAAGTGGGTGTTGTTTTCCCCATGTGTCCATGTGTTCTCATTATTCAGCTTCCACTTGTGAGAACATGCAGTGTTTGGTTTTTTGCTCCTGTGTTAGTTTGCTGAGGATAACAGCTTCCAGCTCCATCCATGTCCTTGCAAAGGACATGATCTCATTCCTTTTTATGGCTGGATAGTATTCCGTGATGTATACGTGCCACATTTTCTTTATCCAGTCTATCACTGATGGGCATTTGGGTTGATTCCATGGAATGAATTTTTTGAAAAGACCCAACTACATGCTGTCTATAAGAGACTCACCTTAGATTTAAGAACACACATAAGCTAAAAAAGAACAGATGAAAATATTCTATGGAAATTATGATCAAAAGAGCACTGGGGTGGCTATACTTATATCAGACAAAATAGATTTTAAGTAATAGACTCTCTAGAGACAAAGATGTTCATTATGTGGTGAAAAAAGCTTGAATTCAAAAGAAAGATATAACAACTATAAAAATATACCCTAACATTAAAGCACCCAAACATATAAAGCAAATATTGATGGATCTGAAGGGAAAAATAGATAGCAAAAAAATAGGAACTTCAATACTCTATTTTTGCTAATGGATAGATTATCCAGACAGAAAATCAGTAAGGAAATAGCAAACTTGAACAACACTATAGATCAAATGAACTTAACATATACAGAACATTCTACCAAATAGTAGCAGAATACATATTCTTTTCAAGTGCACACAGAATATTTTATAGGGTAGATCACATGCTAGGTAACATAAAACGTCTTAACAAATTAAAGAAGTTTGAAATAATTTTAAGTGTCTTTTTCACCCAAACTGGAATAAAACTATAAATCCCTAACACAATTAGATAAAGAAAACTCACAAATACATGGAAATTAGACAACATGCTCTTAAACAACCATTTGAACAAAGAAGAAATAAAAAAAAATCTCAAAAAATGAAAATAAAAACACAACATCCCAAAACTTATGAGATACAGCAAGTGCATTATTAGAAGGGAATGTTATAGTGATAAATGCCTACATTTAAAAAAGAAAAAAGGTCTCAATTAAACAAACTAACTTTAAAACTCAAGAAACTATAAAAAGAAAAACAAAGTGAGGACAAATTTAGCAGAAAAAAGGAAATAATAAAAGTTGGAGCTGAAATAAATGAAAGAGAATAAAAAAGAGTTTAAAAATCAATGAAACTAAGAGGTGGGTTTTTGAAAAGATAAAATTTACAAACCCTTAGCTAGACTAAGAAAGAAAGAGAGAAGGCTCACATAAATAAAATCAGAAATGAAAAATGAGGCATTACAACTTATGCCAAGAAAATTTTTAAAAGATCAGAAGGAATTGTTATGAAAGATTTTACACCAACAAATTGAACAACTTAGAAGAAATTGATAATTTCCTAGACATAAACATCCTACAAAGACTGATTTAAGAAGAAATAGAAACCCTGAACAAACCAATAGCAAATATAGAAATTGAATGGGTAATCAAAAAACTTCCAAACAACAGAAAGCTCAGGACCAGATGCCTTTATGTATGAATTCTTCCGAACATTTAAAGAATTAGTATGAAACTTGTTAAACTCTTCCAAAAAATAGAACAAGGAACATTTCTGAACTCATTTTATGCAGCCAGCATCACTGATACCAAAGCCAATGACACCACACACAAAAAAAGAAAACTACAGGTCAATAGCTCTGACGAACATGGATGCAAAAATTCTCAACAATATATTAGTAAACTGAATTCAACAGCACTTGAAAAGGATCATACACTATATGTGCTAGTCCATTTGCGTTGCTATAAAGAAATACCTGAGGCTGGATAATTTATAAATAAAGCAGGTTTAATTGGCTCACAGTTCTGCAGACTGTACAAACATGGCACCAGCATCTGCATGGCTTCTGGTAAGCCCTCATGGTGGAAGGCAATGCATGAATCAGCATATTACATGGTGAGAGCAGGAGCAAGAGTGAGGGGAGGTGCCACATATTTTAAACAAGCAGATCTCACAATAACTCACTCACTACTGCAAGGACAGCCCCAATCTGTTCATGAGGAATCCACCCCCATAACCCAAACACCTCCCACCAGGCCCTACTTCCAACATTGGGGATTACATTTCAACATGAGATTTGGAGGGAACAAACATCCAAATCACATCACCATGATATAGTGGGATATCCCAGGGATGCAAGGATGGTTCAACATACACAAATCAATAAATGTGACACACCACATTGGTAGAAAGAAGGGCAAAAATCATGTGTTTGTCTCAATAGATGCACAAAAAGTATTTGAGAAAATTCAAAACCCTTTCGGGATAAAAACAGTCAACAAATCCAGCCTGGGTGACAAAGCGAGACTCCGTCTCAAAAGAAAAAATGAAAAAAATTACCTAAACACAATAAAGGCCACATATGAAAAGCCCACAACTAACATTATACTTGTATTAGTCCATTTTCATGCAGCTGAAAAAGACACACTCGAGACTGGGAAATTTATGGAAGAAAGAGGTTTAATTGGACTCTCAGTTCCACATGGCTGGGGAGGCCTCACAATCATGGTAGAAGGCAGGGAGGAGCAAGTCACATCTTGTGTGGATGGCAGCAGGCAAAGAAAACTTGTGCAGGGAAACTCCCATTTTTTTTAAACCATCAGATCTCATGAGACTCACTCATTATCAAGAGAACAGTGCAGGAAAGACCTGCCCCCATAATTCAATCACTTCCCACCTGGTTCCTCCCACAACATGTAGGAATTTTGGGAGTTACAATTCAAGATGAGACTTCAGGGGGGACAAGTCCAAACCATCTCAATACTCAAAGTAAAATACTGAAAGTTTTTTCTCTTTTATCTGGAATAAGTCAAGGATACCTATGCTTACCACCTTCTATTCAACATTGTACTGAAAGTCCTAACAAAAGCAGTTAGGCAAGACAAAAAGCAAAGGCATCTGAAATTGAAAGGAACAAGTAAAATGATCTCTGTATACAGATGACATGATCTCGTATGTAGAGAGCACTAAAGTCTAAAAACACACACACACACATACACAAACTCTTAGAACTAATAAATTCAGTAAAGTTGTAGAATATGAAATCAACATTAGAAAGTCAGTTGCATTTCTATAAACTAATAATGAGCTATCCAAAAGAAATATAAACTTGACAAAAACAGAAACAAAACAAAGAAACAAAAAACAAAAGGAAAGAAAGAAACTTTTGGAGGTGATGAATCTGTTTAGTACCTTGATTGTGATAATAAAAACACAAGGGAATACATATGTCCAAAGTCACCATATTATATATGTTAATTATGCGCAGCTTTATGTATAAAACTGCACCTCAGCAAAGCTGGGGGAAGAAAGAAAAACTATGTAATTATATAAACTTTGATGCAAAAAACCCTTTATCAATACTCAATGCCAATTTATGACAACAGATGTTTACAAGAAATCTACAGCTAACTTTATACATAATGGTGAAAGGTTACATTTTTTCACCTTAATTTTGGGGAAAAGGCACTAATGTTCTTTTCCAATACTTTTATTCAGCACCATAATTGAAGTCCTATCTAGTGTAATAGGCAAGGAAATAAATAACAATTTACATAGAAGGAAGGAAAAAACCTCTTCTTATTTGTGAGCAATATAATTGTACATCTAGAAATATTCTTTAATTCTCAAGGAATAAAAATAATATTTCTAGGACTAATAAGTAGGTTAAATATTATTTCAAAAGACCTAAGTAACGAAAATGCATACCATGTTTGTGGACTGAAAGTTTCAACATAGTCAAAATGTCAAATCTCCTCAAATTGTTCTAGAGATTTAATGCAATTTTAACCAAAATCCCAACTGTTTTTTACAGATTTCAACAAATTCAGCTAATCCTAAAAATTATACTGAGGGTCAAAAGAGCTAGCATAGTTGAAACAATTTTGAAAAAGAAGAATAAATTGCACTACACAATTTTAAGATTTACCATAATGCCACAGTGATTAAGACAGCATGCTACTGACAAAAACACACATAGACAAATGGAATAGAAAAAAAAGAGTCCCAAAATTGACCGATATACATAACCAATTTATTTGACAAAGATATAAATCAATGCAACAGAAAAGGGTATTTTAAACAATATTCAGTAATATAAAAAATACACAATTGATACTTTCAACAACTTAGATAAATCTGAAACGCATTGTACTGAGTAAAATGAACAAGTCTCAAAATATTACATACTATAAAGTTCTACTTTTATGACATTTTCAAATAGATAACAAATATTGTAATTAAGAATAGATTAGTTGTTGGTGTAGATTAGGCATGGGAAGAAGATGTTGCTATAAAGAGATGCATAAAGGAGATTTGAGGGCTTATATCCCTGATTTGTGTCATCATTACAGTGGTCGTTACATCAACTTGTACACAAAAAAATAATCAAATTTTGTACTAATTTTTACAAATAAAATTTTAAATTAAACGATGGTTTCAATAGGAAAAAATAAAAAATATGTGAACATCTTTTCTCCTTGAACTTGTATTTCTGTTTTACTCCCCCCACAGAGTATTACAATATATTAATATGTTTAAAAGTATCTTACTGATCACTCCCACATACTTGTATTTATATATATAATTTTATTTTTATTTTTTGTGACCATGAGTCTCTAATTGCTTTTATTTCCTAGAGTGAGTTGCCATTACTACTATGCATAGCACATAATTGATAAAACTACATGACTATATCACACATTTTTTGAAAATTACTTAATATGAAAAAGCAGAAAACCAGGAAAGCCGAGAGGACCCACAGACCCTCTGAAAAAAGCGGACTGCCCTGCAGGACCCAGGAGACACCCCAATACTGTGAGTGCCCAAACTGTGGTAGTGAGAAAGGGAGATCCTTCGCTCCTGAACACACATTCCCACTGGGGAAACTGAAGGTCTAGTTTGCGGGAGAAATTTCTGACCTTACCTGGAACTGAGTGAATTTAGAGCGTTGAGTGAAATACGGGGTAGAGGAAGCAACAGAAAAGGCCCTGGGAGCTTGCTGGGTCCCCAAGCAGGCAACTCCTGCCTGGCACCACAGGGATCCTTCAGAAGGGCAGCCAGAGGCAAGGGGAAAATGCCACAAGGAGAAGAAAGTCTCCAGCTGAACTTTGTAACAATTTGAAAAGGGTGAGAAGCCTCCTGATCAGAACTTGGGGGAGGGCACTAATCCAGTGTGCAGACTCCACAGGCAAGAGAAGAACCAAAGCCCTTTTCTTTCACAGCTGGGAGGTGGGTAGCCTCAGGCAAGTTCTCAAGCCCTTCTCCTCCACTGCCTGGAAACAGACTCAGTGCTGTTAGCGGGGGGGGACATGGTGGGAGCTGGATGAGGCCTGTGACTGCTGGCTTTCCCCCACTTCCTTGACAACCTGCATGGCTCAGCAGAGGCAACCATAATCCTTCTAGGTACACAACTCCATTGACCTGGGAATTTAACTCCCATCTCCAACAGCAGCCACAGCAAGACCCACCCAAAAAGAATCTGAGCTCAAATATGCCTAGCCCTGCCCCCACCTGATGGGCCTTCCCTACCCACCCTAGCAGCTGAAGACAAATAACATATACTCTTAAGAATTCTAGGGCCCTGTCCACCAGCAATTCTTCTCCATACTACCACAGCTGATGCTCTCTAGAAAGAACCACCTCCCTGCAGGAGGCCAACCAGCACAAAAGCAGAACATTAAACCACCAAAGCTAAGAGCACTCACAGAGTCCATTTCACCCCCCGCCAGCCACCTCCACCAGAACAGGTACTGGTATCCATGGCTGAGATACCCATAGATGGTTCACATCACAGGATTCTATGCAGACAACATCCAGTACCAGCCCAAAGCCTGGTAGACTTGCTGGGTGGCTACACCCAGAATAGAGATAACAATCACTGCAGATCAGCTCTCAGGAAACCACATACATAGGAAAAGGGGGAGAGTACTACATCAAGGAAACACCCCATGGGACAAAAGAATCTGAATGACAGACTTCAGCCCTAGACCTTTTCTCTGACAGAGCCTACCCAAATGAGAAGGAACCAGAAAACTAACTCTGGCAATACGACAAAACAAGGCTCTCTAACACCCCCCCAAAATTGCACTAGCTCACCAGCAATGGATACAAACCAAGAAGAAATCCCATATTTACCTAAAAAAGAATTCAGGAGGTTAGTTATTAAGCCAATCAGGGTGGCACAAGAGAAAGGCAAACTCAATGCAAGGGAATCCAAAAAAAAAATGATACAAGAAGCAAAGGGGGAAATATTCAAGGAAATAGATAGCATAAAGAAAAAAACAATCAAAACTTCAGAAAACATTGGACACACTTATAGAAATGCAAAATGTTCTAGAAAGTCTCAGCAATAAAATTGAACAAGTAGAAGAAATTCAGAGCTTGAAGACAAGGTCTTTGAATTAACCCAATCCATCAAAGGCAAAGAAAAAAGAATTAGAAAATATGAACAAAGCCTCCAAGAAGTTTGGGGTTATGTTAAACGACCAAACCTAAGAATAATCAGTGTCACTGAGAAAGAAGAGAAATCTAAAAGTTTGGATAATTTGGGGGAATAATTGAGGAAAACTTCCTCAGCCTTGCTAGAGACCTAGACATCCAAATACAAGAAGCACAAAGAACACCTGGGAAATTCATCACACAAGATGAAGGAAAGAATCTTAAGAGCTGTGAGACAAAAGCACCAGGTAACCTATAAAAGAAAACCTATCAGATTAACAGCACATTTCTCAGCAGAAACCCTACAAGCTAGACGGGGTTGGGGCCCTATCTTCAACATCCTAGAACAAAACAATTATCAGTAAAGAATTTTGTCTCCAATGAAAGTAAGCATCATATATGAGGGAAAGATAGTCTTTTCCAGACAAACAAATGCTGAGAGAATTTGCCACTACCAAGCCACAAAAACAAGACCTGTGAAAAGGAGCTCTAAATCTGGAAACAAATCCTGGAAACACATCAAAACAGAACCTTTAAAGGCTAAATCACACAGGACCTATAAAACAAATGACAATTTAAAAAGCAGAAACAAAAGAACACGGTACACAGCAAAATGAATGGAATGGTACTTCACATCTCAATACTAACACTGAATATAAATGGCCTAAATGCTCCACTAAAAAGGTAAAGAACTGCAGAATGGATAAGAACTCACCAACCAACTATCTGCTGGCTTCAGGAGACTCACCTAACACATAAGGACTCACATAAACTTAAAGTAAAGGGGTGGAAAAAGGCATTTCATGCAAATGGACACAAAGTGAGCAGGCATACCTATTCTTATATCAGACAAAAAAAACTTTAAAGCCACAGCAGTTAAAAGAGACAAAGAAGGATATTATATAACGGTAAAAGGCCTTGTCCAACAGGAAAATATTGCAATCCTAAACATATATGCACCTAACACTGGAGCTCCCAAATTTATAAAACAGTTAGTAATAGACCTAAGAAATGAGATAGACAGCAATGCAATAATAGTGGGGGACTTCAATACTCCACTGACAACACTACTCAGGTCATCACAACAGAAAGTCAGCAAAGAAACAATGGATTTAAACTATACCTTTGAACAAATGGACTTAACAGATACATACAGAACATTTCATCAAACAACCACAAACTACACATTCTATTCAACAGTGTGTGAAACTTTCTTCAAGATAGACCATATGATAGGCCATAAAACAAGCCTCAATAAATTTAAGAAAATTAAAAGTATACCAAGCACTCTCTCAGACCACAGTGGAATAAAACTGGAAATCAACTCCAAAAGAACCTACAAAACTATGCAAATACATGGAAATTAAATATCCTGCTTCTGAATAAGCATTGGGTCAAAAATGAAATGAAGATGGAAATTTAAAAATTCTTTGAACTGAATGACAATAATGACATAATTTATCAAAACCTCTGGGATATAGCAAAGGCAGTAGTAAGAGGAAATTTCATAGCCCTAAACACCTACATCAAAAGACAAAGAAATAGTGGGGGAGGAGCCAAGATGGCCAAATAGGAAGAGCTCCAGTCTACAGCTCCCAGCATGAGCGACGCAGAAGACGGGTGATTTCTGCATTTCCATCTGAGGTACCGGGTTCATCTCACTACAGAGTGCCAGACAGTGGGTGCAGGACTGTGGGTGCAGTGCACCATGTGTGAGCCAAAGCAGGGTGAGGCATTGCCTCACTCGGGAAGTGCAAGGGATCAGGGAGTTCCCTTTCCTGGTCAAGGAAAGGGGTGACAGACGGCACCTGGAAAATCGGGCCACTCCCACCTGAATACTGTGCTTTTCCGACGGGCTTAGGAAACGGTGCACCAGGAGATTATATCCCGCACGTGGCTCAGAGGGTCCTACACCCATGGAGTCTCGCTGATTGCTAGCACAGCAGTCTGAGATCAAACTGCAAGGCGGCAGCAAGGCTGGGGGAGGGGCGCCCGCCATTGCCCAGGCTCGCTTAGGTAAATAAAGGAGCCGGGAAGCTCGAACTGGGTGGAGCCAACCACAGCTCAAGGAGGCCTGCCTGCCTCTGTAGGCTCCACCTCTGGGGGCAGGGTACAGACAAAAAAAAAGACAGCAGTAACCTCTGCAGACTTAAATGTCCCTGTCTGACAGCTTTGAGGAGAGCAGTGGTTCTCCCAGCATGCAGTTGGAGATCTGAGAACAGGCAGACTGCCTCCTCAAGTGGGTCCCTGACCCCTGAACCCCGAGCAGCCTAACTGGGATGCACCCCCCAGTAGGGGCAGACTGACACCTCACATGGCCGGATACTCCTCTGAGACAAAACTTCCAGAGGAACGATCAGACAGCAGCATTCGCAGATCACGAAAATCCGCGGTTCTGCAGACACCACTGCTGATACCCAGGCAAACAGGGTCTGGAGTGGACCTCTAGCAAACTCCAACAGACCTGCAGCTCAGGGTCCTGTCTGTTAGAAGGAAAACTAACAAACAGAAAGGCCATCCACACCAAAAATCCATCTGTACATCACCATCATCAAAGACCAAAAGTAGATAAAACCACAAAGATGGGGAAAAAACAGAGCAGAAAAACTGGAAACTCTAAAAAGCAGAGCACCTTTCCTCCTCCAAAGGAACACAGTTCCTCACCAGCAATGGAACAAAGCTGGATGGAGAATGACTTTGACGAGTTGAGAGAAGAAGGCTTCAGACGATCAAACTACTCTGAGCTACAGGAGGAAATTCAAACCAAAGGCAAAGAAGCTGAAAACTTTGAAAAAAAATTTAGACGAATGTATAACTAGAATAACCAATACAGAGAAGTGCTTAAAGGAGCTGCTGGAGCTGAAAGCCAAGGCTCGAGAACTACTTGAAGAATGCAGAAGCCTCAGGAGCCAATGGGATCAACTGGAAGAAAGGGTATCAGTGATGGAAGATGAAATGAATGAAATGAAGTGAGAAGGGAAGTTTAGAGAAAAAAGAATAAAAAGAAATGAACAAAGCCTCCAAGAAACATGGGACTATGTGAAAAGACCAAATCTATGTCTGATTGGTGTACCTGAAAGTGACAGGGAGAATGGAACCAAGTTGGAAAAGACTCTGCAGGATATTATCCAGGAGAACTTCCCCAATCTAGCAAGGCAGGCCAACATTCAGATTCAGGAAATACAGAGAATGCCACAAAGATACTTCTCGAGAAGAGCAACTCCAAGACACATAATTGTCAGATTCACCAAAGTTGAAATGACGGAAAAAATATTAAGGGCAGCCAGAGAGAAAGGTCGGGTTACCCACAAAGGGAAGTTCATCAGAAAAACAGCGGATCTCTCGGCAGACACTCTACAAGCCAGAATAGAGTGGGGGCCAATATTCAACATTCTTAAAGAAAAGAATTTTCAACCCAGAATTTCATATCCAGCCAAACTAAGCTTCATAAGTGAAGGAGAAATAAAATACTTCATAGACAAGCAAATGCTGAGAGATTTTGTCACCACCAGGCCTGCCCTAAAAGAGCTCCTGAAGGAAGCACTAAACATGGAAAGGAACAACCGGTACCAGCTGCTGCAAAATCATGCCAAAATGTAAAGATCATTGAGACTAGGAAGAAGCTGCATCAACTAACGAGCAACATAACCAGCTAACATCATAATGACAGGATCAAATTCACACATAACAATATTAACTTTAAACGTAAATGGACTAAATGCTCCAATTAAAAGACACAGACTGCCAAATTGGATAAAGAGTCAAGACCCATCAGTGTGCTGTATTCAGGAAACCCATCTCACATGCAGAGACACACATAGGCTCAAAATAAAAGGATGGAGGAAGATCTACCAAGCAAATGGAAAACAAAAAAAGGCAGGGGTTGCAATCCTAGTCTCTGATAAAACAGACTTTAAATCAACAAAGATCAAAAGAGACAAAGAAGGACATTACATAATGGTAAAGGCATCAATTCAACAAGAAGAGCTAACTATCCTAAATATATATGCACCCAATACAGGAGCACCCAGATTCATAAAGCAAGTCCTGAGTGACTTACAAAGAGACTTAGATTCCCACACAATAATAATGGGAGACTTTAATACCCCACCGTCAACATTAGACAGATCAACGAGACAGAAAGTTAAAAAGGATACCCAGGAATTGAACTCAGCTCTGCAACAAGCAGACCTAATAGACATCTCCAGAACTCTCCACCCCAAATCAACAGAATATACATTTTTTTCAGCACCACACCACACCTATTCCAAAATTGACCACATACTTGGAAGTAAAGCTCTCCTCAGCAAATGTAAAAGAACAGAAATTATAACAAACTGTCTCTCAGACCACAGTGCAATCAAACTAGAACTCAGGATAAAGAATCTCACTCAAAACCGCTCAACTACATGGAAACTGAACAACCTGCTCCTGAATGACTACTGGGTACATAACAAAATGAAGGCAGAAATAAAGATGTTCTTTGAAACCAACAAGAACAAAGACACAACATACCAGAATCTCTGGGACACATTCAAAGCAGTGTGTAGAAGGAAACTTATAGCACTAAATGCCCACAAGAGAAAGCAGGAAAGATCCAAAATTGACACCCTAACATCACAATTAAAAGAGCTGGAAAAGCAAGAGCAAACACATTCAAAAGCTAGCAGAAGGCAAGAAATAACTAAAATCAGAACAGAACTGAAGGAAATAGAGACACAAAAAACCCTTCAAAAAATTAATGAATCCAGGAGCTGGTTTTTTGAAAGGATCAACAAAATTGATAGACCACTAGCAAGACTAATAAAGAAAAAAAGAGAGAAGAATCAAATAGACCCAATAAAAAATGATAAAGGGGATATCACCACCGATCCCACAGAAATACAAATTACCATCAGAGAATACTACAAACACCTCTGGGCAAATAAACTAGAAAATCTAGAAGAAATGGATAAATTCCTCAACACATACACCCTCCCAAGACTAAACCAGGAAGAAGTTGAATCTCTGAATAGACCAATAACAGGATCTGAAATTGTGGCAATAATCAATAGCTTACCAACCAAAAAGAGTCCAGGACCAGTTGGATTCACAGCCGAATTCTACCAGAGGTACAAGGAGGAACTGGTACCATTCCTTCTGAAACTATTCCAATCAATAGAAAAAGAGGGAATGCTCCCTAACTCATTTTATGAGGCCAGCATCATCCTGATACCAAAATCTGGCAGAGACACAACCAAAAAAGAGAATTTTAGACCAATATCCTTGATGAACATTAATGCAAAAATCCTCAATAAAATACTGGCAAACCGAATCCAGCAGCACATCCAAAAGCTTATCCACCATGATCAAGTGGGATTCATCCCTGGGAAGCAAGGCTGGTTCAATATACACAAATCAATAAACGTAATCCAGCATATAAACAGAACCAAAGACAAAAACCACATGATTATCTCAATAGATGCAGAAAAGGCCTTTGACAAAATTCAACAACCCTTCATGCTAAAAACTCTCAATAAATTAGGTATTGATGGGACGTATCTCAAAATAATAAGAGCTATCTATGACAAACCCACAGCCAATACCATACTGAATGGACAAAAACTGGAAGCATTCCCTTTGAAAACTGGCACAAGACAGGGATGCCCTCTCTCACCACTCCTATTCAACATAGTGTTGGAAGTTCTGGCCAGGGTAATTAGGCAGGAGAAGGAAATAAAGGGTATTCAATTAGGAAAAGAGGAAGTCAAATTGTCCCTGTTTGCAGATGACATGATTGTATCTCTAGAAAACCCCATTGTCTCAGCCCACAATCTCCTTAAGCTGATAAGCAACTTCAGCAAAGTCTCAGGATACAAAATCAATGTACAAAAATCACAAGCATTCTTATACACCAATAACAGACAAACAGAGAGCCAAATCATGAGTGAACTCCCATTCACAATTGCTTCAAACAGAATAAAATACCTAGGAATCCAACTTACAAGGGATGTGAAGGACCTCTTCAAGGAGAACTACAAACCACTGCTCAAGGAAATAAAAGAGGATACAAACAAATGGAAGAACATTCCATGCTCATGGGTAGGAAGAATCAATAATGTGAAAATGGCCATACTGCCCAAGGTAATTTATAGATTCGATGCCATCCCCATCAAGCTACCAATGACTTTCTTCACAGAATTGGAAAAAACTACTTTAAAGTTCATATGGAACCAAAAAAGAGCCCGCATCACCAAGTCAATCCTAAGCCAAAAGAATAAAGTTGGAGGCATCAGGCTACCTGACTTCAAACTGTACTACAAGGCTACAGTAACCAAAACAGCATGGTAGGGGTACCAAAACAGAGATATAGATCAATGGAACAGAACAGAGCCCTCAGAAATAATGCCGCATATCTACAACTATCTGATCTTTGACAAACCTGAGAAAAACAAGAAATGGGGAAAGAATTCCCTATTTAATAAATGGTGCTGGGAAAACTGGCTAGCCATATGTAGAAAGCTGAAACTGGATCCCTTCCTTACATCTTATACAAAAATTAATTCAAGATGGATTAAAGACTTAAAGGTAGACCTAAAACCATAAAAACCCTAGAAGAAAACCTAGGCATTACCATTCAGGACATAGGCATGGGCAAGGACTTCATGTCTAAAACACCAAAAGCAATGGCAACAAAAGCCAAAATTGACAAATGGGATCTAATTAAACTAAAGAGCTTCTGCACAGCAAAAGAAACTACCATCAGAGTGAACAGGCAACCTACAAAATGGGAGAAAATTTTCTCAACCTACTCATCTGACAAAGGGCTAATATCCAGAATCTATAATGAACTCAATCAAATTTACAAGAAAAAAACAACCCCATCAAAAAGTGGGCAAAGGATATGAACAGACACTTCTCAAAAGAAGACATTTATGCAGCCAAAAGACACATGAAAAAATGCTCATCATCACTGACCATCAGAGAAATGCAAATCAAAACCACAATGAGATATCATCTCACACCAGTTAGAATGGCAATCATTAAAAAGTCAGGAAACCACAGGTGCTGGAGAGGATGTGGAGAAATAGGAACACTTTTACACTGTTGGTGGGACTGTAATCTAGTTCAACCATTGTGGAAGTCAGTGTGGCGATTCCTCAGGGATCTAGAACTCGAAATACCATTTGACCCAGCCATCCCATCACTGGGTATATACCTAAAGGACTATAATTCATGCTGCTATAAAGACACATGCACACGTATGTTTATTGTGGCACTATTCACAATAGCAAAGACTTGGAACCAACTCAAATGTCCAACAATGATAGACTGGATTAAGAAAATGTGGCACATATACACCATGGAATACTATGCAGCCATAAAAAATGATGAGTTCATGTCCTTTGTAGGGACATGGATGAAATTGTAAATCATCATTCTTAGTAAACTATTGCAAGGACAAAAAACCAAACGCCACATGTTCTCACTCATAGATGGGAATTGAACAATGAGAACACATGGACACAGGAAGGGGAACATCACACTCTGGGGACTGTTGTGGGGTAGGGGGAAGGGGGAGGGATAGCATTAGGAGATATACCTAATGCTAAATGACGAGTTAATGGGTGCAGCACACCAGCATGGCACATGTATACATATGTCACTAACCTGCACATTGTGCACATGTACCCTAAAACTTCAGGTATAATGATAATAAAAAAGATAAATAAATGAAAAATAAAAAATAAAAAATAAAATAAATAAATAAATAAATAAAAACACAAAAGACTGAAAGAGCACAAATTAATTGACACTCTAAGGTGACACCTCAGGAAACTAGAGAAACGAGAGCAAACCAAACCCAAACCCAGCAGACGAAAGGAAATAACCAAGATCAGAGCAGAACTAAATGAAATTGAAACAAAAAAAAAAATACAAAAGGTAATGAAACAAAAAGCAGGTTCTCTGAAAATATAAACAAAATTGATAGACCATTGGCAAGATTAACCAAGAGAAGAAGAGTGAAACGCCAAATAACCTCTCTAAGAAATGAAACAGAAGATATTACAACTGACACCATTGAAATACAAAAGATCATTCAAGGCTACTATGAACACCTTTACACACATAAACTAGAAAACCTAGAAGAGATGGATAAATTCCTGGAAAAATACAACTCTGCTAGCTTAAATCAGGAAGAATTAGATACCTTTAACAGACTAGTAACAAGCAGCGAGATTGAAATGGTAATTTAAAAAGTACCAACAAAAAAATTCCAGGACCAGATGGATTCACAGCAGAATTCTATTTGACATTCAAAGAAGAATTGGCACTAATCTTTTTGACACTATTCCACAAGACAGAGAAAGATGGAATCTTCCTTAATTCATTCTATGAAGCCAGCATCACCCTAATACTAAAACCAGGAAAGGACATAACCAAAAAAGAAAACTACAGGCCGACATCCCTGATGAACACAGATGCTAAAATCCTTAACAAAATACTAGCTAACTGAATCCAACAACATATCAAAAAGATAATCCGCCATGATTAAGTGGGTCTCATGGTAGGGATGCAGGCATGGTTTAACATATGCAAGTCAATAAATGTGATACACTACATAAACAGAATTAAAAACAAAAATCACATGACTATCTCAATAGATGCAGAAAAAGCATTTGACAAATTCAACATCCCTTTATGAGTAAAACTGTCAAGAAAATCAGCATACAAGGGACACACCTCAATGTAATAAAAGCCATCTATGACAAATCCACAGCCAACATAATACTGAATAGGGAATAGTTGAAAGCATTCCCTCTGAGAACTGGAACAAGACAAGGCTGCCCACTCTCACCACTCCTCTTCAACATAGTTCTGGAAGTCCTAGCCAGAGCAATCAGACAAAAGAAATAAATAAAGGGCATCCAAATTGGTAAAGAGGAAGTTAAAATGTCACTGTTTGCTGATGATATGATCATGTACCTCAAAAACCATAGAGACTCCTCTAGTAAGCTCCTAGACCTGGTCAAAGAATTCATCAAAGTTTCTGGATACAAGATTAATGTACACAAATCAGTACATTCTCTACATAGCTCTTCTATACACCAACAGCGACCAAGCAGAGAATCAAATCAAGAGCTCAACCCATTTTACAAGAGCTGCAATAAATAAATAAATAAAATACTTAGAAATATACCTAACCAAGGAGGCAAAAGACTTCTACAAGGAAAACTACAAAACACAGCTGAAAGAAATCATAGGAGACACAAACAAATGGAAACACATTTCATGCTCATGGACAGGTAGAATCAATATTGTGAAAATGACCATACTGCCAAAAGTGCTCTACAAATTCAATGCAGTTGCCATCAAAATACCAGCATCATTCTTTGCAGAGCTAGAAAAAGCAATTTTATAATTCATATGGAACCAAAAAAGAGCCCACTTAGCTGAAACAAGACTAAGCACAAAGAACAAATCTGGAGGCATCACACTACCAGATTTCAAAGTATACTGTAAGGCCATAGTCACCAAAACAGCATGGAACTGGTATAAAAATAGGCACATAGATCCACGGAACAGAATAAAGAACCCAGAAATAAACCCAAATACTTACAGCCAAATGATATTCGACAAAGCAAACCAAAATATAAAGTAGGGAAAGGACACCCTTTTCAACAAATGATGCTGGGATAATTGGCTAGCCATATGTAGGAGAAGGAAACTGGATCCTCATCTCTCACGTTACACAAAAATCAACTCAAGATGGATTAAGGACTTAAATCTAAGACCTGAAACTATAAAAATTCTAGAAGAAAACATTGGAAAAACCCTTCTAGACATTGGCTTAGGTGAAGATTTCATGACCAAGAACCCAAAAGTAAATTCAATAAAAACAAAGCTAAATAGCTGGGACTTAATTAAACTGAAGAGCTTTTGCATAGCAAAAGGAACAGTCAGCAGAATAAACAGACAACCCATAGAGTGGGAGAAAATCTTCACAATCTATACATCTGACAAAGGACTAATATCCAAAATCTACAATGAGCTCAAGCAAATCGTTAAGAAAAAAACAATCCCGTCAAAAAGTGGGCTGAGGACATGAATAGACAATTCTCAAAAGAAGTTATACGAATGGCCAACAAACATATGAAAAAGTGCTCAGCATCACTAATGATCAGGGAAATGCAAGTCAAAACCACAGTGGAATACCACCTTATTCCTGCAAAAATAGCCATAATCGAGAAATCTAAAAACAGTAGATGTTGACGTGGATGCAGTGATAAGGGAACACTTTTACACTGCTGGCGGGAATGTAAACTAGCACAGCCACTATGGAAAACAGTGTGGACATTTCTTAAAGAACTAACAGTAGAACTACCATTTGATCCAGCAATCCCACTACTGGGTATCTATCCAGAGGAAAAGGATTCATTATTCAAAAAAGATACTTGCACACGCATGTTTATAGCAGCACAATTCGCAATTGCAAAATCATGGAACCAACCCAAATGCCCATCAATCAACAAGTGGATAAATAAATTGTGATATATAGGGAATACTACTCAGCCATAAAAAGGAATCAATTAATGGCATTCATATCGACCTGGATGAGATTGGAGTCTATTATCCTAAGTGAAGTAACTCAGGAATGGGATACCAAACATTGTATGTTCTCACTGATACGTGGGAGCTAAGCTATGAGGGTGCAAAGGCATAAGAATGATACAATGGACTTTGGGGACTTGCGGGGGAAGAATGGGAGGGGGATGGGGGATAAAAGACTGCAAACTGGGTGCAGTGTATACTTCTTAGGTGATGGGTGAACGAAAATCTCACAAATCATCACTAAGGAACTTACTCATGTAACCAAACACTACCTGTACCCCAATAACCTATGGGAAAATAAGCAAAATGTTATTGAAAATTGCTAGATTTAGGTAAGTCTCAGTATCAATTCAATTGCTTTCTTTTATGAAAAAAAGCTCATCATCACTGGTCATTAATTTTTACTTTTTATAGAAAAGTATTGAGAAATTTTGTTTATATAAATAAGTTTATAAGAATGGAAGTTTCTTTGAATGTCTTCTGTGTTACATGTGAAACGTTACACAGTGTTCTACCATCAACACACTTTTTAATGATCAGTCACTGATAATGCAACTAGCTCAATTTTATCGGAAGCAAATAATTTAAACCATTTGACTTTTAAGGACATTTCTCTCTCTATTATTAGAGATCCCTATGATCAAAATGAGAACAATTTGAGCAACAGAATAAATAAAAACAGTATAGGATCATAACATGTAGAATAAAAAAAATCAAACACAAAATTGTGAAGGAACAACTCTTCTTTACAGAAGAATTCCAATTAATAAATGTACAAAGATTGAGGGAAAGAGAAAATCACCATTAGAACACCACGGTAATTATTGTTGCAGAGAAGATCCACCAATGGATGCTAAAATCAATGGGCAAAAGTTTAAGGAGAAACAGGATATTTGCATAGCTTCAAAGTATCTACTCCAAGATACATGTGATGGTTAATTTTATGTGTCAACTTAACTGGGATCAAGGATGCTCAGATAGCTGGTGAACATTATTTCTGGGTGTGTCTGTGAGGGTGTTTCCAGAAGAGATTAGCATTTGCATTAGCATATTCTCTGTCTACTCAGTAGACTGACTAAAAAAGATCATGATCAACAAAGTGCATGAGTATAAATCATTCTATTATAAAGATTCATGCACGCATATGATCATTGCAGCACTATTCACAATAGCAAAGACATGGAATCAACCCACATGCCCATCAATGATAGACTGGATTAAGAAAATGTGGTACATGTACACCATGGAATACTATGCAGCCGTAAAAAGGAATGAGATCATGTCCTTTGCAGGGACATGAATGGAGCTGGAAGCCATTATCCTCAGCAAACTAACACAGGAACAAAAAACCAACCACCACATTTTCTCACTTATATGTGAGAGCTGAACACCTACTGGGGGGCTGTGTGTGGGAAGGGAGAACATGAAGACAAATAGCTAACACATGCTGGGCTTAATACCTAGGTGATAGGTTGATAGGTGCAGCAAACCACTATGGCACACGTTTACCTATGTTACAAACCTGCACACGCTGCACATTGCACATGTATCCCAGAACTTAAAATAAAACTTTAAAAAAATAAAAAATACACAAATTGTCAACCAAAACATAAATAAATAGAAGCGAAGATATTTAAGACATGCAAAACTAAACAAAACGAAAACAATGTACATGAGGATCATTTGATCTGTTTAGGGCCTGAATAGAATAAAAAGGTGGAGGAAAAGTGAATTTGCTGTCTCTGCTTGAGGTGGAACATCCATCTTCTCCTGCCTGCAGACATCGATGCTCCTCATTCTTGGGACTTTTAACTCAGAATGAGACTTATACCATTGGTTCCACTGGTTCTCAGGCCTCCGGATTTGAACTGGAACTAAACACTGGCTTTCCTGGGCCTCCAGCTCTCAAACAGCAGATCATGGGATTTCTCAGACTCCATAATCACATAAGCCAATCCTTCATAAAAACATCTTTCTGTATACCTATATATAACCTATTAGCTCTGTTTCTCTGGAAAACACTGAATAATACAATATGTATTAATTACAAAGAGAAAGTCTAAAATTATTTTAAAATAAGGAGTTAAAACAAACAAAAAATTAGAAATTATTTATTTTAGGATTTGTCTCATGGACTACAAACAAACAAAACAGACACATACACGCAGCCATATATTTTACAGACCATATTTCAGTTTTCTGATCAAAATCTTCTACAAGCACTTCTAAAATATGTGGTAGACAGAGGGAGAGACACTTGAGAGTTATTATATATAGATTAGTAATTTAGTTTTATTGTTAAAAATTATTGCTTATAATTATTCATTTGACATAATTAGGGCAGCATATTAGCTGAAAAGCAAGGGTTTTCTTCTAATTAAGTGAAACTGGTTTTCTGAAGTTCTGGGCATCACATTCTTCATAGCATTTTAGAATCATTTTGTCCTACACTTGTGCATAAGTAAATGTTCTACTTTTATAAGGTCATTTTAAATCTCTCTATGGAAATCTCTGCATGTTAACATATAGAGAAGCTATAGGGTCATTAGTAACTGATGGGTCCACAAAAGTTATTTTTTTTTTTATCAGTGCTCCCTTTGCTTTTCTCTCACAGGACTCTTTCTCAGCAGTGTTGCTATTATTTTTAAACATAGTTGGATGATGGAATACATCATAGCAAGATTCAAGATAAATGTTCTGCTTTTCTTTTGTGTAGTGGGAGAAGGGCAACTATGAACGGAGAAGAAGGAAAGGGGAACCATGGTAAGACAACTTGACTTCAAGCATGGACTCTGGCAGATCAGTATTAAGAATTGAATGATATGGAAGTTGAGATAACACTGGAAACTGATTCTTTTAATTCTCCCTTTGCCTGAATACCCCTTGAGAAATCTAGTGTTCCTCCAGGGAAACGAATACTTCTAATTTGTAGAGGATCCAGAGTTTCAGAAAAAAAAAAACCTGCCAATTTTTGCTTCAATCCTTTAATATCTTCATTAGGAGCATTAATTATTATGGTTATAATTGGTATGAAGGCTACTAACATTACATAAATCAGATTAATAGCTTGTATTGCATAGCATTTTTGGGTTTTCAAATTATCTCACTTATGTTATTTCATGTCACTCTGTCTTGGGCTTACTTATCCGGAAAGCAGAGCCTGAGGAAAAGGCTTGCTTGCAGGTAATATATTTGGGAAGTTATTCCAGAAAACAGACAAGAGGGCTAGGGAAGTGAAACAGGGAAGGAGGGAATGAAAATGCAGGTAGGAATTCTTGAGTTGGATATGTCTGTGGATGGCTGGGACCTTCTGAGAAACCTGAAGGAGTATGAAGGAGTATATCTCGGGACTATCAGTCCAGGAGAAAACATTGCTCAAGGAAGGTCCCAAGGACATCCAATGTCAAGGTGTCCTCAAAACCACAGGGTAGGGAGCAAGACATAGCAGCAGTGGGTTCGAGGTGAAGCACTGTCAGGTTGCACACAGTAAAGTGGGTGGAAGTCTGCAACGAAATAATTAATACGGTATTGGTTGGAGTAGAAGGCAAGGTCTAGACTGTTTTAAATCACACAAGAGGTGTTCTATACATATCCTTACAGCAACACTGTGAGATAGGGCAGAAATTATTATTCATCTCATTTTAAAGGGAAAAATGTAAAAACAATCTACTGAGATTGTTAGTAAATGATTTGGCCGCTCTGTGCCTCAGTTTTCATATCTGGAAAAAAGTAGAGATTAAAACCATTTACCCTTTCCATTATGAAAATAACTAAAAGAACACCTGCAAAATGCTTTGAGCTTCAGAAGAAGGCAAGTATGTAAATAAATTGTGTTATTGTGCTTTATAGTCTATTTGAAAACAAGATGAGTCTTTTGTCATTTTGAAATATTGAATTCTACTTTGCACAAAATTGAAAAATAGAAACAAATTTTATCTCTCATTCTTCATGCATATCTCTCACTAACTTCAAAGGGAGCTTGGCTCTCCCTGTCTATACGTAATTATACAAAGTAATCATAAAATTCCATATTTTAGTACTTGTATAATGAGCTTCAAAAGTCAATAACGAACTATAAATATTCATAGAAAATATTTCTCCCTAATTTTAGGATTGATAACTCACTGCTGCTTCTATTTTGTACATCCAGAATGACTACTGGTAGGATCATTTCTCAGAATTTATGCCCTCATTTAGGAGCAAAGTGACTTTTGATTGTACTGCATTTATGGTATTCTTTGAAGAAAGCCTTTCCTGGCTCCTGAGCCATCTGCAACTCCATGCTACACCAAGAGATCCACTTCAAACTACAATATGAGGAAATTTCTTATTGGTCTAAAGTAACCCATATGGATATGGATGGCATGAAATTGCTGGGCTAGGTAGCCACTGCTGGCTCGTGGTCTGGGCCCTGGGACATATAATTAGCTTGAGCGACTCTATTTTCTCCTGATGAATTGACTGGTTTTTAGTGTGTTTATGTAACTGTGGCCATACCTTTGGGAATGTAACCCATGCAATCACATCCAGGTCAGCACAGTCACCTAACTGAGAAAGAAGGCCAAGGTAACAATACAGGGAAAGAGAATCCTAGGACTCTATATCCTTTTTTTCTGTAAGCAAAAAGATGCAAGTTTGTTATAAATTAATAGGCACAGACATAAGCGTATCTTGCAAATTTATTCTCTTTCCATGTGGATTTCTCCCCAAGGACTGGGACAATCTTCAACCCACAGGAGAGCTCATTTCTTCTGTTTCTCCCTCTCCTTCTTCCTTTCGTTCATTACCTGTGCACATTATGTGCTAGGTTCTATTCAAAGTGCTACACATATTTAATTCACTTTGTTGTTACAATAACCCTATGCAGTAGGCAACCTTATCGTATCTGTTTTGCTGATGAGAAATCTGATGCTTGGGTAGATTAATTAAATTGCTGAAAGTCACCTAGCTTGTCAGTGGCTCAGCCGGTATTCAAACTCAGGTCTGCCTGTTATCAAAACATTTATTTCTTCTCTTTAGGTAGTGTTCCACCTCTGAACATGGAAAGCTCTGTGTCCATTAGTTATTAAGGCTAGCTTCACTCTGGACTTACATTTCTTCTTCCAGTCTTTTTCCATTAACCTAATGCAAATGCAATTAATGCTCTAGCCTCCATACTATGTTCCCTAGCTACAAAAATCTCTGGCCCTGACTATATCCTGGAAGCTTGTGCCCAACCTACCAGTCATTGATGTGATTGATGGTATGGGGCCCAGAAACTTCATTGTCTCTTCAGACCTTTGTGATGCCTATATTCTCGTTCCATAATCCTTTCCCACCCATTTGTTTATTCAAAACATTTTTATTAAGTAACTAATATGCCAGGCACTAAAAATACAGTGGAAAATTAGATGGACACTGCCCCTATAGTCACAAAACTTACAGCATAATGGGAGAGACAGAAACACAAATAAACCAACACACATACACACACACATATGCACATATGCACGTGAACAGCTGAAATAATTTCAAGCTGTGATGAGAATTATGAAAGAAACAAATAGGGTTCTATGTCAGAGAAAAATGGAGTTGGGTATACTTTAGAGAGTCAGGAAAGGTGTCTCTGAGGTGGTTATAGTGGAAAGAGGAAGGAACAAGTTATATGAACAGCAAGAGAAAGAACACTGCAGGCAGAGGGAAAAATAAATGGCAAAAAGAAGGAGGAGGAGAAGGACTTGCCTCGTTCAAACAACATTAGACAGATCAATGAGACAGAAAGTTAACAAGGATATCCAGGAATTGAACTCAGCTCTGCACCAAGCGGACCTAATATATATCTGCAGAACTCTCCACCCCAAATCAACAGAATATACATTCTTTTCAGCACCACACCACACCTATTCGAAAATTGACCACATAGTTGGAAGTAAAGCTCTCCTCAGCAAATGCAAAAGAACAGAAATTGTAATAAACTGTCTCTCAGACCACAGTGCAATCTAACTAGACCTCAGGATTAAGAAACCCACTCAAAACTGCTCAACTACATGGAAACTGAACAATCTGCTCCTGAATGACTACTGGGTACATAACGAAATGAAGGCAGAAATAAAGATGTTCTTTGAAACCAACGAGAACAAAGACAAAACATACCAGAATCTCTGGGACACATTCAAGCAGTGTGTAGAGGGAAATTAATAGCACTAAATGCCCACAAGAGAAAGCAGGAAAGATCTAAAATTGATACCCTAACATCGCAATTAAAAGAACTAGAGAAGCAAGAGCAAACACATTCAAAAGCTAGCAGAAGGCAAGAAATAACTAGGATCAGAGCAGAACTGAAGGAAATAGAGACAAAAAATCTCTTCAAAAAATTAATGAATCCAGGAGCTGGTTTTCTGAAAAGATCAACAAAATTGATAGACTGCTAGCAAGACTAATAAACACCTCTATGCAAATAAACTAGAAAATCTAGAAGAAATAGATAAATTCCTCAACACATACACCCTCCCAAGACTAAACCAGGAAGAAGTTGAATCTCTGAATAGACCCATAACAGGCTCTGAAATTGAGGCAATAATTAATAGCTTACCAACCAAAAAGAGTCCAGGACCAGACGGATTCACAGCCGAATTCTACCAGAGGTACAAGTAGGAGCTAGTACCATTCCTTCTGAAACTATTCCAATCAATAGAAAAAGAGGGAATCCTCCCTAACTCATTTTATGAGGCCAGCATCATCCTGATACCAAAGCCGGGCAGAGACACAACAAAAAAAGAGAATTTTAGACCAATATCCCTGATGAACATTGATGCAAAAATCCTCAATAAAATACTGGCAAACTGAATCCAGCAGCACATCAAAAGGCTTACCCACCATGATCAAATGGGCTTCATCCCTGGAATGCAAGGCTGGTTCAACATATGCAATCAATAAACGTAATACAGCATATAAACAGAACCAAAGACAAAAACCATATGATTATCTCAATAGATGCAGAAAAGGCTTTTGACAAATTTCAACAACGCTTCATGTTAAAAACTCTCAATAAATTAGGCATTGATGGGACGTATCTCAAAATAATAAGAGCTATCTATGACAAACCCACAGCCAATACCATACTGAATGGACAAAAACTGGAAGCATTCCCTTTGAAAACTGGCACAAGACAGGGATGCCTCTCTCACCACTCCTATTTAACATAGTGTTGGATGTTCTGGCCAGGACAATCAGGCAGGAGAAGGAAATAAAGGGCATTCAATTAGGAAAAGAGGGAGTCAAATTGTCCCTGTTTGCAGATGACATGCTTGTATATCTAGAAAACCCCATCATCTCAGCCCAAAATCTCCTTAAGCTGATAAGCAACTTCAGCAAAGTCTCAGGATATAAAATCAATTTGCAAAAATCACAAGCATTCTTATACACCAATAACAGACAAACAGAGAGACAAATCATGAGCGAACTCCCATTCACAATTGCTTCAAACAGAATACAATACCTAGGAATCCAACTTACAAGGGATGTGAAGGACCTCTTCAAGGAGAATTACAAACCACTGCTCAATGAAATAAAAGAGGACACAAACAAATGGAAGAATATTCCATGCTCATGGGTAGGAAGAATCAATATTGTGAAAATGGCCATACTGCCCAAGGTAATTTGTAGATTTAATGCCATCCCCATCAAGCTACCAATGACTTTCTTCACAGAATTGGAAAAAACTACTTTAAAGTTCATATGGAACCAAAAAAGAGCCCGCATTGCCAAGTCAATCCTAAGCCAAAAGAACAAAGCTGGAGGCATCACACTACCTGACTTCAAACTATACTACAAGGCTACAGTAACCAAACAGCATGGTACTGGTACCAAAACAGAGATATAGACCAATGGAACAGAACAGAGCCTTCAGAAATAGTGCCACATATCTACAACTATCTGATCTTTGACAAACCTGACAAAACCAAGCAATGGGGAAAGGATTCCCTATTTAATAAATGGTGCTGGGAAAACTGGCTAGCCATATGTAGAAAGCTGAAACTGGATCCCTTCCTTGCACCTTATACAAAAATTAATTCAAGATGGATTAAAGACTTAAATGTTAGACCTAAAACCATAAAAACCCTAGAAGAAAACCTAGGCAATACCATTCAGGACATAGGCATGGGCAAGGACTTCATGTCTAAAACACCAAAAGCAATGGAAACGAAAGCCAAAATTCACAAATGGGATCTAATTAAACTAAAGAGCTTCTGCACAGCAAAAGAAACCACCATCAGAGTGAACAGGCAACCTACAGAATGGGAGAAAACTTTTGCAACCTGCTCATCTGACAAAGGGCTAATATCCAGAATCTACATTTAACTCAAACAAATTTACATGAAAAAAACAAACAACCCCATCAAAAAGTGGGCAAAGGATATGAACAGACACTTCTCAAAAGAAGACATTTATGCAGCCAAAAAACACACGAAGAAATGCTCACCATCACTGACCATCAGAGAAATGCAAATCAAAACCACAATGAGATACAATCTCACACCAGTTAGAATGGCAATCATTAGAAAGTCAGGAAACAACAGGTGCTGGAGAGGATGTGGAGAAATAGGAATACTTTTACACTGTTGGTGGGACTGTAAACTAGTTCAACCATTGTGGAAGTCAGTGTGGTGATTCCTCAGGGATCTAGAACTAGAAATACCATTTGACCCAGCCATCCCATTACTGGGTATATACCCAAAGGATTATAAATCATGCTGCTATAAAGACACATGCACACGTATGTTTATTGCGGCACTATTCACAATAGCAAAGACTTGGAACCAACCCAAATGTCCAACAATGATAGACTGGATTAAGAAAATGTGGCACATATACACCATGGAATACTAGGCAGCCATAAAAAATGATGAGTTCATGTCCTTTGTAGGCACATGGATGAAGCTGGAAACCATGATTCTAAGCAAACTATCACAAGGACAAAAAACCAAACACCACATGTTCTCACTCATAGGTGGGAATTGAACAATGAGAACACATGGACACACAAAGGGGAACATCACACACCAGGGACTGTTGTGGGGTGGGGGGAGGGGGGAGGGATTGCATTAGGATATATACCTAATGCTAAATGACAAGTTAATGGGTGCAGCACACCAACATGGCACGTGTTTACATAAGTAACAAACCTGCACGTTGTGCACATGTACCCTAAAACTTAAAGTATAATAATAAAAAAATTAAAAATTAAAATTATAAATAAATGCTGCAAGCAGAAAATTTAAAAAAAATAATATAGAAGATAAATAAAACCATAAAGCTGGATGAAATCATTCAGGAAAAGAGTCTATTTGTTTAGTTTGTTTCTTGCCTGTCTCCTACCCCACACTAGAATGTAAGCTTCGTGAGTGTAGGTATTTCTACTCACTGGTGTTTCTCTAGTGCCCATAACAATGCACTTATTAAAAATTTATTGAATATGTGAAATGAATGATTGTGTCTCACTAAATACTTCCCATTGGCCCTCACAGTCACATTTGGCCCCACCCTAGCCTCCCACGCCTTGTTTCTTTATTCTTTCTTGTGCCTTTTATAAAGAGTCATATTCACTCATAATGATAGCTGTCACATTTCTAACTTCCAGTGAAAGTTCATAGCTTGTCACGTCTGCCTCTCTTGATGTGTTCTCCTCTTTGAGTTTTCTTTGTCTAGGCCTTTTGACCCCTTTACGTGTGACCACTCCTATCTCCTTTTCCTAATACCATACCCTCTACAGGATACCTAAAACTGGAGTCTATATGTGGGTATCTGAATCATAGTCAGGTTGAGAATTGTCAAAGGCTGGCTGCAGCACTAGAGACACAAGAAGAAATAAATGCAGTGATGCAGGATTTGATCACACTCCACGAGTGTTCAACTTTGATTCATTCTGTGTATTGAGTTTCAGATTAAGATTATATTTGAAAGAAAAGGTTCTGCTGAGTTTTTAAGTATAAAAATTACTAATACAGACCATTCATTAATTCATTCAACATTTATTGAACATTTACTATGTGGCCAGCAATGCACTAATATTCTTATAGGCAGCTAAAAAACAGAAAGACCTGGGGGCTGGAGTTGTTGAAGAATTTTACACATCAAGAACTTGGTAGTGTAGAGATAATGGGAAAGTCATTTCTAGGAACCAGAATAACTCATCACCTAGTGTTTCACACACTGAGAAGGTATAGGTGTTGGCGCTCCATCACTGTTCTCTTAGAGGAGTGAGAACAAAGATTAGGGCATCCCTTCCCCAGTTCTCTCTACCAGTCACTCTTCTCTTGTCTTTTCCCTTGCTAGTCTTGCCTCATGGGCTGAACCTCAGAATGACAGGACCTTATATTCTTTCATCTCAAAATCAGATCAGGCATATTGGGGTGCCAGTTTGATTGTTTTCCTTTTATGGGCCATGTTCCCCAGTGGGCACTGGCATTTCTACATCTGCTCACATAGCAGGCTGTCTACATGAAATCTTCCTCCTGATCCTTCAGGAGTCTACTGGGAGACTGTGTTAGCATCAGGAAACTGCTTTTCCCATAATTCATTTCTGTAATACTGAACGTCAAGCACCTGAAGCAAAGAGTACTGCTGCCACCACCACCAGGCAAAACTGAATCATGTGCAGACACCAACGCCCCAGGCTGCTGGCTAAGAATAAGATAAGCTCAAAATAACTTGCACTCTCCCCAGCAGACCTTATTGTCTGCCATTCCCCTCTTTACCCCTGCCTATGATTGGCTGAAGAGCAAGGTAGACAACTGGTTTCTGAGCCCTGAAATAACATTGACAACAGAAATAAATCTCCTGCCTCGGTTAGAGGCTGATCAAAGCAGAAGAAAGAGATGATCAATCATTCTGCCACTTATTCAGCTGCACTCAGGATTTCTAGTATGGGCTTCAGGGGGTTCTAGGACTGCCTCCCTCCCCACATCAGGTAGATGGTGTGGGCATTTGAGTAATGGAGTTTGGGAACAGGTCAGGCGATGTAACTGGGCTTTGTGGCAGGGAAGAGGCAAGGAAGTCTGTACCCATGAGCTGGAAACTCCATTCTTATACTTAGGTCCCTGGCCCCTATGCACACACTCACATTCAGACTGTCTGAATGGAAAACTACAACCAAGACATGTATGCTCAGCTAATGGGAAACAAAGGGAGCTAAGGATGAGAAGCCTCACGATTTCATACCACCTCCTCCAGAGCTAGGGACATCTTTCCTAAAAGTAAACACAAAGCAGAAGGTGAAGGCATTGGTGTTTCCTATACTGCATCTTACCTGTTGAACAATCTCAGCTAGCTGATAGCTCTGAGAGCCCCAACTTGCCACTCTCATGGTTCACCTCAACTCTCACCTCAAAAGAGGCATTTGCCACTCTGCTAGCACTTAATGGTGGTAGCATAGGATGGGGTAAGTTCTTGAGCCAAGCAAAAAGCAGAAGGTACTGGTCCTTTTTAGGACTAGGCAACTTATCAATAACAGGAAATAGGGGTGCATGGGTATGCAAGACTAGCAGACTGACTGACCTTAAATGAACTTCAGTACAAAAGCCAGATTCTCTACAGCTTATTCATTTTACTTATCTGAAACTTTATACCTGTTGATTAATAAGTTCCCATATCGTCATTCCAATAGCACCTAATAATGACCATTCCAGTCTTTGGTTTTATGAATTTCATTATTTTAGATACCTCATATACGTGAAATCATTCAGTACTTGTGGCTCTGTGTCTGGCTTTTTTCACTTAGCTTAAAATGTTTTAAGACGCTAGATCTCATGTTAAGTGTTCCTAACATAATAAAATAAAATAATAAAAACCAGGGATTCTCAGCAGGGGCAGGGAGCAAAGCAGTAGAGCATGAGTATTTTGAAAAACCTACAAAAGTTATTGTGATCTCCACCTTGAACCTTATATCTATGCATTAGCAAGTCACTCTTATTAATTTCCTAATTTACCAAAGAGACAAAAATGGCCCAGATAAGCAACATGACCTACAGAAGGTCACCCAGCTAAGAGTCCTGCCAGAACCTGCCTGTCTCCTCAAGTGCTGACACACCCATTACTGTTAGGCCACTTAAAGCTTTGACCATGAAAATAAGTGATTTAGAGCAATCCCCATTCAGCATTGAGAGCAATCTTCCTTCACATGTGTATTAGCTCATGCTGCCATAACATAATGCCATAGACTAGAGGCTCAAAGAAGAGAAATGTTTTTTTCTCACAGTTTTGGAGGCTGGAAGTCCAAGATCAAGGAGTTGGCTGATTTGGCTTCTCCTGAGGCCTCTCTCCTTGACCCCCAGACAGCCACCTTCTCACTGTGTCCTCACTTGGCCTTATCTCTGTGTGTGCACATTCCTGGTGTTTCTTCTTCTTTTTATTAATATAAGGACATCAGTCATATTGGATCAGGGCCCCATCCATATGAACTCATTTAACCTTAACTACCTCTTTAAAAGCCCTATCTCAAAATACACTCACATTCTGAGATACTAGAATTTAGGACTTGAACATATGAATTTGTAAGGGACACAATTTGGTCCCTAACAACATGAGTACTGTGACAACTAGGCATAAAGAATGTTCATTCCAACTTCACCCTGCATCCATGAAACTACATTGCACTCCTTCCCCATCCCCTGCCACAAAAAAACCTTCCTCTGCTCTTCTATAACCATCACTGCCACTTCCACTAAATCACATCCCTTCTACTCTTCTCCAATGCCAGAATACCCTATCACTCTAGTTCTTCTGCATTATCCTGGGGCCATCTGTGTCTTCCACATGTCCTTTTCATATATGGATTCTATGCTGCCTGGCAGCCCTATTAGTTCCTTATGGATAGGGACCAAATCTTGTGTTTCCCTTGGCTCCCAAGAACAGACAGCAAATGTCTGTGCATAATCTACACTTGTGCTGAAACTACTTCATACCCTGTTTAATGACATGAAATGAGAGTAAATGTCATGGCACTCCAGAAACGTTGACTGAGTGACTGCTGAGAGATAGGAGCAGAGTCACCTCATCCTCCTTTCTGCCACCTTTTTCTAGTCTTTTTCAAACACCATGAAAAAGGTCTTGCTCTCTGCTTCTGTTAGACTGTTCTATTTTCTACACTTACATTCTAGGCAGTGAGAAACTCAAATAAGAATAAAGGGCATTTATCTCACTCTAAAAGGCTGAGGTTTTTTCTGTGCTGCTGGGGCTCTCACTCTCCCAACTAAAGAGCTCAATAACAAAAAATAAAATTAGGAAGAGGAAGCAGGGAAAGGGAAGGAAAAAGGAAGAAAAGGAATGAACAGAGGTGGAAAAGAAGGATGATCAAGCATTAGAGCAGGCACTGATGCCCTCCCTACTGAGAACAGGAAGGAAGCTACATTTTGCAAAGCACCTGTTAATATAGCTTTTCTCTGGACAAAGTCCCTAGTGGAAACTGAGAGAGGAGTGAGCCCTTTTCCATTCTCATGATCACGTTAAAATGTGTAACTTCATTATCTGGCTCCTCATCAGCCCAAGAACGAGGGCAGCAAGTGCCTTGTGGTTTATTTTTATTTCTGATATCATCTCCCTGATCCCAGAGGAAGCCCAGTCTGGCTTATTTAAGGCCACATGATGTGACTATTAGTCTTGTGTGTGTCTGAAGAATGCTTCCTGTCTTTTATAGAGTGGAGAGAAAACCTGAGCTGAACCCCTTAGTTCTGTGGCCCTCACCTTCTAGCCAGTAAGCAGTTTAATAGTAACTGTGAACCACAGAATCAGCTCAATTATGCTCTAAGTCAATGAGCACACTAAGCAATTGCACCTGGTTCAGTGACCGTATTTTTAACAGATAACAGTTGCGGAGTACTTCCCGAACACAAGACTGTGCATGAGGGACAGTGGGTCTTTCCCATGGAGATAACATGATCTATGGTTTCAGGAGCTCCATAATCCTGGGAAAAGACTAATTCAATAATATATTAGTTTTGTATTGCTGCCTAAAAATTACTACAAACTTTGTGGCTTAAAATAGCATTCATTTGTTAGCTCATCATTCTGCAGTTCAAAAGTGCAGCATGGTGTAACTGGAATCTCTGTTCAGGGTCTTACAAGGCTAAAATCAAGTTATCAACTGATCTGCATTCTCATCTAGAGGCCCAGAGCTCTCTTCTAAACTCATGTGGCTGTGGTAGAATTCAGTTTGATGCAGTTACAAGACTGAAAGTACCCATTTTTTTGCTGGCTGTCAGCCAGGGGAGCCAATCTATGCTCTGAGAGACCACCCGCATTCTTTCTCATGTGGTCTCCTCCATATTGAAATCAGTAACAGCACTTTAATTCCTTCTTATGCTTTGAATCTCTGACTTCTCCTTCTGCCTTCCTTTCTGACACCAGCTGGAAAAAGTTTTCTGCTTTTAAGGGCTCCTTGATTTGATTAGGACTACTGAGATAATCTTTCTATCCAGAAGTCAACTGTGTCATATGATGTAATGTCATCAGAGGAGTGATATGTCAACTTATTAGGGAGTGGCACCTGGCTGGGGGTTAGGGGTACATTTTTAGAATTCTACCTACCACAAGTAATAAAAGGAAACTTGTATATATGTGTGCACCCACAAATGCTCTCTACCCCCGCTTATCACCATGCACAGATTTGCAGACCTATGAGTCCATAGACGAGTACATATCTAAGAGCCAGCAATAGTCAAAATTTCCCCCAACTTCTTCTTTTCTTGTCATCACTCTGGAAATATAATGATCCCACCATCTCAGAAAGCAGTGTAGTCCTTGAGCTTAAACCACAAAAGAGTGACTGCATTTACAGCTATGTTAGAATACTACTTTGTGAACAAATTTTCCTTCATGGCTGTCCAAAGAATATAAATCATTTTTGTTTCTTGGTTTTTACAAAAGTGCTCAATAGTGTGGGGCACTGTGTGGTGGCCCCTCACATTTCATAAGCTACCTCGGACCCCAAATCTCTTTGAGTTGTTGACTTCGAAAATATTAATACTTCTATTTATCTCAATGCTCATGACTTTTCCATCATTTAGAAACAAAATGAGCTTCTGACTGTGGTCCCATCTGACAGTCTAAAATATAAATTCAGAGAAGATAGTGCACGTGACTGAAGACATGAAAGCAGGATAGGTTAGAGTTAGTGGTGCAGCTGGGAATGAGGTTGAGTAGGGGTTAATATCTGTATTGCTATGAAGATTTACAGAAGAAAAGAAATATGCGTAGTTCTCCAGAACCCAGTAGGGATGGAAGATAAATATGATTATGTTTGGATGGTAGTATGCCAGCAATGCAAATGATAAATGTCCTTGAAATTTAAGGTGCATGAGGATTCTAGCTTTTTTCTAAAATAAATGGAGGAAGAATAAATTATAGAGGATGGCACCCATTTATACCTCCACTCTATATTTGAGTTATGCTTTATATCTATCATAGAGTACATTTTTATGGATTCATTTGAGCTTCTCAAGTACCCTGTAAAAAGAATGGCAATTCAAAAAAAAAAAAAAAAAGTCCTTCACCGTATTCACTAACTGAAACAACACTAGTCTGGTGAGAGCTCAGAAGTAAGGGACAATTGTGTTGTTAATGAGTTAATGTTCTATAGGACCGCTGACTCAGACCTAAAAGTATGGTGTGGAGATGGGCTGGTGCTGGCTGAGAGAGCAGAACTGTGAAAGAGCTTAGAGATCTGTGGGGAACTGTAGTGCCAGAGAGAGGAGGAAAGCTTGCATAACAATGAGAAATGCTTTTTTTCTTAAGTTGTTTGCCAAAGAGTTCAGAGTCTGGTTTAGGAACCTGGAATGCTACTGCATCAGAATTTTGTATAAGTAATGATAGCATGTTTGACCTAGAAAGGAAAGATGAAATATATAAGGGTCAGATAAAAAAAAAAACTTTGCATTCTTGGGGACAGGGGGGCTGAAACAGAATTGCAGCATTTGACTTGGAATATGAAAGTATAAGTAAATTTAACAAACCAATGAAAACTGTAAGAGCACAATTTACATTTTAATCTACAATAAGCTGAAATCAAAATAGAGATCATGTACATTTAATTTTCTTAATTGGCATTTACCTTGAACCAGATATTCCTATTCATGTTAGAAGTACAGCTGGCCATCCATATCCATGGGATCTTCATTCATGGATTCAACCAACCATGGATCAAAAATATTGAAAGAAAAGTACAATTTTTTTCTTATTGTTTTTCCCTAAGTGATGCAGTATGACAACTATTTACATAGTATTTATATTGTATTGCATATTATAAATAATCTAGAGATACATAAAGTATACAGGAGGATAAGAGTAGGCTATATGCAAATACTATGTCATTTTATATCATGAACTTGAACATCCATATGTTTTGGTATCCAAAGGGGTCCTGGATACTGAGGGACAACTCTACATAGTCTGTACCAAATAGTGAAGTGTGATAATCTGGCAGTGATACCTGGCTAATAATCCAAAATCCCTCCGGAGCTTGTTGCAAAACAGATTCCTAGGCTTCACTGTAGACCTATTAAGTCAGAATCTCCACAAACACATTTGAAGAGAAGCACCACAGAAACTGAAGGAAGGACTGGAATCTCGGGAACAGGGTTCTCAGAAAAGAAACCCCTTGATATGATTTGACTCTGTGTCCCCACACAGATCTCACCCTGAATTGTAATAATTCCCATGTGTCAAGGGCAGGACCAGCTGGAGAAAATTTAATCGTGGGGGCGGTTTCACCCCAAGCTGTTCCCGTCATAGTGAGTGAGTTCTCACAAGATCTGATGGTTTTATAAGGGGCTTACTCCTTTGCTCAGCTCTCACTCACTCACCTGCTGCCTTCTGAAGAGGTGTCTTCCACCATGATTGTAAATTTCCTGAGGCCTCCCCAGCCATGCAGAACTGTGAGTCAATTAAACCTCTTTTCTTTATAAATTACCCAGTTTGGGGTATTTCTTCATAGAAGCATGAGGATGGATTAATACAGTTAATTGGTACCGAGGTAGTAGGGTGTTGCTGTAAAGATACCCGAATATGTGGAAGTAACTTTGGAACTGTGTAATGGGCAGAGGTTGGAAGAGTTTGGAGGGCTCAGAAGAAGACAGGAAAATGTGGGAAACTTTGGAACTTCCTAGAGACTTATCAAATTGCTTTGACCAAAATTCTGATAGTGATATGGACAATGAAGTTCAGGCTGAGGTGGTCTCAGATGGAGATGAGGAACTTGTTGGGAACTGGAATAAAGGTGACTCTTGCTATGCTTTAGCAAAGAGACTGGCAGCATTTTGACCCTGCCCTAGAGGTCTGTCGAACTTTGAACTTGAGAGAGGTGATCTAGGGTGTCTGGCAGAAGAAATTTATAAGCAGCAAAGCATTAAGAGGAAGCAGAGCGTAAAAGTTTGGAAAATTTGCACCCTGACAATGTGATAGAAAAGAAAAACCCATTTTCTGGGGAGAAACTCAAGCTGGCTGCAGAAATTTGCATAAGTAATGAGGAGCCGAACGTTAACCACCAACACATTGGGGAAAATGTCTCCAGGGCATGTCAGAGACCTTCACAGCAGCCCCTCCCATCACAGGCCTGGAGGCCTAGGATGGAAAAATGGTTTCATGCGTCAGGCCCAGGGCCCCTGTGCTCTATGCAGCCTTGGGACACGGCACCCTGTGTCCCAGCTCCCTCACCTCCAGTGCTGTGGCTAAAAGGAGTCAAGGTACAGCTCAGGCCATTGCTTTAGAGGGTGCAAGCCCCATGCCTTGGCAGCTTACATGTGGTGTTAGGCCTATGGGTGCATAGAAGTCAATAATTAAGGTTTGGGAACCTCTGCCTAGATTTCAGAGGATGTATGGAAACGCCTGGATGTCCAGGCAGAAATTTGCTGCATAGACAGAGCCTTCATGGAGAACCTCTGCTAGGGCAGTGTGGAAGGGTGATGTGAGGTTGGAGCCCCCACACAGAGTCCCCACTGGGGCACTGCCTAGTGGAGCTGTGAGAAGAGGGCAACCATCCTCCAGACCCCAGAATGGTAGATCTACTGACATCTTGCACCATGCACCTGGAAAAACCATAGGCAGTCAACACTAGCCTGTGAAAGCAGCTGGGAAGAGGGCTGTACTCTGCAAAGCCATAGGGGCAGAGCTGCCCAAGGCCATGGGAGCCCACCTTTGTATCAGCATGACCTGGATGTGAGACATGGAGTTGAAGGAGATCATTTTGGAACTTTAAGGTTTAATGACTACCCTATTGGATTTCAGACTTGCATGGGCCCTGTAGCCCCTTTGTTTTGGTCAATTTCTCCCATTTGGAGTGGGTATATTTACTCAATGCCTGTACTCCCCTTGTATCTAGGAAGTAACTAACTTGCTTTTGATTTTACAGGCTCATAGGCGGAAGGGATTTGTCTTGTCTCAGATAAGACATTGGACTTGAACTTTTGGGTTAATGCTGGAATGAGCTAAGACTTTGGGAGACTGTAGGAAGGACATGATTGTTTTGAAATGTGAGGTCATGAGATTTGGGAGGGTCCAGCAGTGGAATAATATGCTTTGGCTCTGTGTCCCCACCCAAATCTTACTTTGAATTGTAATAATCCCCATGTGCCAAAGGCAGGACCAGATGGAGATAAGTGAATCATAGTGGCAGTTTCCCCCCACACTGTTCTCGTGATGGTAGGTGAGCTCTCAAGAGATCTGATGCTTTTATAAGGGGCTTTCCCCTTCACTCAGCACTCATTCTCTCTACTGCCACCCTCTGAAGAGGTGCCTTCTGCCATAATTGTAAGTTTTCCGAGGTCTCCACAGCTATGCAGAACCCAGTCTCAGGTATTTCTTCATAGCAGTGTGAGAATGGACTAATATACCCCTGGAATGCAGGAAAGGAGAGTTAGCTAGCAAGAGAGGCTACAAGGCTGTTCTCTGAAGGCCACACTGACCACTCATTTTCATTAGCAGGTATTAAAATTTATAATTTTTTTCTGATAAAGAAGCAGAGACTCAGAGAGGTTGAGGCTTGCCCAACATCACACAGTTAATTAAAGGCAGAGCCAGGTTTGGAACCATGTCTTCTGGCCTTTTTGGCAGCTTTCATTTCTAGGTTCTTGACCTTGAGTACATTATTGTTAGATATTATTGACTATGGCAAGGATTTAGGAAAAGAAGATTAGAGGACAAAAAAAGAGGCCCCCTCATTACACTTACCACAGACACTAAATAAGGGTAATCAAATAATGACCAAAATCATTGGTTACTTAGTGAGCTAAGTGATGGATGACAATCTAAAGATTCATAAAAATATGATATCTGTTGGTACAAATATATTAATTTTATAAAGAATTAATCTCACTGAATTGATAAACATTTTATTGTGCAGAACAAACAATCTTGGATGAGGATTTTGCAGGCTGAAGGGCAAGTATGTTGACTTGTGTCATCTCTTGGTGAATGATGACTTGCAGTCTAGCTGAAACTGCACATTTTATTTTTTTTTTAATTTTACTTTAAGTGCTGGCATACATGAGAACTGCACATTTTAAATGACCAAGAGTGAATCTAATTTCTAGAAGTGAAGAATGTAAAATCATAATATTGTGAGATATTGCAGTCATTCTTAGCGCTTGAGGAAAGAGCAAAAGAAGAATAAAGCATCACAGGCTTGACCACTTTGGGGGCTCAAGAAATAATACCCAAAAGTATGGCACTTTGACATGCTAAACTGAAAAAGCAGACTCGAAGATCCTCTGACCTTCCTTGCCTCCCTTTCTCTCAAACTTCTATCTCTTCCAAAGCACAGAATGAGGCTGTTCTCTGATGTTCCCTTATTTACTTTAAAACTGGACCCCCAAAGAATAACACAATTGCCTTCAATCTCTTCCCTGAAATTTCATTAACTAGAGAAGATTAAAACTCCTGTCATAGAGAAACTGAAAATTAAACACCACACCTATAATAGAGCCCAGACTACCTTTGTCCCAAACTATTGTTTGTTCTCAAATCCCATTCAATTCCCAAAAATAATTATTTACTAACCATTGTCTGAACATTGGGTCCATTCATTCCCCCTAAAAAACATTTACTCCAACAACCCTCATCTCCCCTTCCCCTATGAAGAAGGGTATATATGCTTCTGTACCCCACTGGGTTATGGTGTACTCATTCTGTGATTCCCCCATGCTACACACATTAACTAAATCTGTATGCCTTTTTCCATATTAATTTGCCTATTGTCAGTTCATTTTCAGTGAACTTTCATAGGACGAAGGGGAAAGCTCTCCGTCTTTGCCCCTACACCAACATAGCTGAGAAATTGCTCACTAAATGATCGATGTATTAACCTACCTTCCTCAAACGTGCCTTTGGGCTGGGGCCATGTAGCTAGTTCTGACCAATGGGAGTGATGTGTACCACTTCCAGGTCCAGGAGGTTAAGAGCTGGTGTTCCTCATCCATCTTTCCCTTTGCCCTTTGTGGTCTTAGATGCTATATATGAAGATGGTGGTATCACAGAAAGAAGGGAGCCTTAATCCCCAAGTCACTGCTTGGAAGAGAATCCCCACCAACCTGCATTAGACTTGATGAAATAAACTTTTGTTGTGTTGAGATGAATGAAACTTCAGTTTTCTTTTGTGGCAGTTAGCAGTTACTGATCCTAATGTAGTTACTAACCTTCATGGAAATATCCAATTTGGTCAGTTTTTTACATAATTCCCACATTCCCCCTCCATATGTCATTAAATGCATTTTAATTGTATGAAAAGATTGATGGTGAAATTGTATTGATACTATGGAAATTTATTTGTATCATTTTGTTGGAGGCCACTTATTCCATAAAACAATGTAGTTAAATTTTAGACATTTTCCAGGATTTCCAACAAGATTACTGATTATTGGTATAAGGAATACATTCAGAATCCAATCATAAATGTTTTAAAACTGGATTGTGGTGATGCTTGCACAACTCTATGAATACACTGAGAATAAATTGATCTTATGCTTAAAACAGGTAAATTTTATGATGTATAAAGTATATGTTAAGAAGGTTGTTTTTAAAAAAGCCAACAAGTTATGGGCATTTTCAGAAAGTTTTGTACATGTTTGCATATCGATCACAATTATTTTCAAATATACTTCAAGGATTCCTAAGTACATAGCCATCAATTACAGTATGCGCTAAATAATGCAGCCTTATAATCAGGAGAGCTAAGGATAATATACCCTGGCCCAAGAAGAAGTCTTGACAATAGCACCTAGATAGTGAGTTTGGGTATGGTTTCGGCTGGCAAGTCCCCAACAAGTGGGAGAGATGATGCAACATAAAAGATAGTACAGCAAGAGATAGTCCTCAGAACATGGAACACTTTAGAACCCTAAGAGAAAGCAGTTCTCATAGATTACTAATCTCTCACCTATATCATAAGGAGCAGAAGCTAGAGAGTTAGCTCCTGCTGAGACACAGACTGATGACTACAGGCAATTCTGAACAGGGCCATCCTTAAGGAAAAGGGACAAATAGCTCAAGGTTGCCTCTGGAATGCGTTTCTTCACTTCTCTTCCCAAACCTTTCCCTGGAGTCCTTATGTTGCCCATCTGTCCGGGAGTAGAGGAAAATAAGACATCACATAATATTAAGCACAAGAAACTATTGGGAGCATATTCCCAATGAAGCTTGTAAGAAGTAGCTGGAATGAACAAGGCATAAACCAAAAGAATAACTCCATAATAGTAAAAGTAGAGATGGAAATGACAAGCTGGAGTGGAAGATATTATTTTAGTAAAGCAGCCTGCCAAATACTCCTGAACTGATACCACATAGGCAACTGTCTATTTTGTAGTAGTAATAATAAATAACTAATGTTTATTGAGCATTTACTATGTATCAGGCCCCATGCTCAGTGCTTCATAACATTACAGTATTTAATACTCTCAACCAACATATGAGATGGGTATTATTATCCTCAGGCTACAGATCAGGAACACAGAGGTTAAATATCTTGTTAGAGACTGCACAGTTAAGAAACAGTTTCTTGTCTACCCCTTACACATTACAAAGTGCTCTGTACATTATTGAGATAGTTCAACAGAGAAACCACATATCCAGAATAGAAAAAGAAAAAGAAAAAAGGCTGACATAATTGAGTGCGTAGATGCCAGGTTCAATACGATGCATATTCTCAGGTATAATCTTGTTTCACCCTCAGTATAATCCTTCATGACCATTAGTATTGTCCCTACTACAGATGAATAAACAGTCTCATTCCTTCAACAAATGTTAACTGAGTGCCTATTGTGTGCCAGTAGGATGCCTGCACCAGAGCAGTCAACAAATAAGGCTCATTGCTTGGTTTTGTAGAATTTACATTTTAGTGGGAGGGAGAGAGAAACAATAAATAAATGTGCTATGAAGAAAAATAAAACAGAATAAAGAAGGATAAGGATTCCTTGTTTCCTTCCTCAAAAATAACCACTCTCCTGAATGTGTTGTTTATTATTTTATTATTTACTGTTTATTATTCCTGTTTGTATTACATACACATACATTACATATGTTCTGGCATATGAACATTGCATAGTTCAGTTTTTCATGTATTTCAAACCTAGTACCATACAACAACAAGCATTTACTCTCTTGTTCCCAGGTCTCTATGTCAGCTGGGGCAGCAATCATTCATGCATTTTCATTCTGAGGCTGAAACTGAAGGGATAGTCTCAAGTGACATGTGCTTCTTATTGTGGAGGTCAGAAACTCCGAAAGAAACAAAACAAAAATATGATGCTTCTTAAGGCCTTGACTCAGAATTCTTACATTATCGGTTCTACCCAAATACTCTACTGGACAAAGTGAATCTCATGGCCAAGGCATCAATAGACTGGGAAACTATACTCTTCCAAAAGATGTAGTGTGAGGCGGCATGAATAATTGATGAACAAAAATATATTCCATAACAAATATGTAGTATTGTTTTACATGTTTTCAAACTTTATGGAAAAGGTATACTCTGAAGCCATTCTGCAACTTGCTTTACTCACTCAACATTATGATTTTTAGATGGATTCACACATGTGACTCCAAGTCATTCATTATAACTTCCATTAAATAAATATATCAAATTTATTTTTCTAATTCTCCCACTGGTAAATATTTGACATTTTCTATTCCAGATATCAATGACATTGACAGTCATGACTGTAAATGTCTTTGTCTGCTGTTGTGCTAGAGTTTCTCCACAGCAAATTCATAGAGGTGAAATTACATATACACCTAGATCTTCATCTTTCCAAGATATTGACAAATTCTTCTCCAAAGCGTCTATGCCAATTTATATTTGAGCCAGCAATGATGACAGTTCTTATTTCTTTCCAACACTTGCTATAAATGGGCTTTTACATTTTTACCAAACTTACGGATACAAATTGTATCTTCTTGTTACTTTAATATATATTTCCCTGAGTTTAGGTAGTTAAGCATCCTATCAAGTTTCCTCCTAAGTTAATTACTCAATCATACCCTCTGCCTGTGTTTTATTTTTATTGAGTTATTTATGTTTTCCTTATTGATTTGTAGCTCTTTAAATTGTTTTCATATTAATCCTTCATTAGCTTTACCTTTACGAATATTTTCTCCCAGTCTGAGGCTTACCCTTTCATTTTGCTTATGATACTGTTCATTAATGAGGCTTTTTAAAGTAGCAAATGTATCTTTTTGATCACAGGTGCACCATTAGTTGGCTGGGAGTGCTTCCTCACTCCAGGATCCAGGCTGTTTTCAACAAGAGTACTTTGTGTCACCGTGGGAGAGGGAAAGGAGATCTCTAGAAGGACTCACACTGGCAAATACTAATAATCCAGCTTGGAAGTGGCACACATCACTGCTGCTCACAACCCACTAGCTACAACTAGTCACACGGGCCACTCCCAACAGAAGGGGACCAGAAAAGTCAAGCTGACCTTTTCATTAAACAGACGTTTTCAAATTTTAATTTGGTCAAGTGTATCATTCTTTTGATTTATGGGCTGTGCTTTTTGTGTCTTTTTTAGAAGTTCCTTTCTATATTAAAGTCAAAACAATATTTTTTCTAAATTATCTTTTCAAAGTTTGAATTGTTTCACATTTAGGTCATTAATCCATCTGGAATTAAGTTCTTATAGATAGAGTGTTTTAGGGATATAATTTCATTTCCGAAATATTATCATTTATTGAATTTGTCTATCCTTCCCTCATTGATTAATAATGCTATTTCTATCATATCTATCTAGTTTCCTTATAATCATGAGTGTGTTTCTTGATCCTCTATTCTGTTCCATTTATCCATTTGTTCATCTCTATGTCACTACCACACTTGTTAATCATTATAGCGTTAAGTCTTGAAATCTGAACACAAATGTGAAGATGAGCATGTAAATTTACACTAAAAAAAGATAGAATATTTATTGGAACGGCCTTGAATTTATAAATTCATTCTGAAAAAAACCTGACATGCTTTAAAAAAGATCTCAAGTCTTTCCATTCATGAAACCTATTTATGAATCCTTTTTGTCTTTTCCCATGTTGCTTTATAACTTTTCTGCATCTTTTGTAAGATTTAGTCTTAGGTACCCTATATTTTTTGTTGCAATTGTGAGCTGCAATATCTTTGTCCTTTTTTTCTGTTTTAAACTAGAATGCTTCTAATTTTTTTTTTTTATTTAGTACAATGTTTGCTAGAGGCTTGACAGATATCTGTTACCAGGGTAGAATATTCCTTTTTTAATTTTTTTTTTTTTTTTTTTTTTTTTTTTTTTTGAGACGGAGTCTCGCTCTGTCGCCAAGGCTGGAGTGCAGTGGCGTGATCTCGGCTCACTGCAAGCTCCACCTCCCGGGTTCACGCCATTCTCCTGCCTCAGCCTCCCGAGTAGCTGGGACTACAGGCGCCCGCCACCATGCCCGGCTAATTTTTTGTATTTTTAGTAGAGACGGGGTTTCACCGTGTTAGCCAGGATGGTCTCGATCTCCTGACCTCGTGATCCACCCGCCTCAGCCTCCCAAAGTGCTGGGATTACAGGCGTGAGCCACTGCACCTGGCCAGAATATGCCTTTTTAGTCTCAGTTTGCTAAAACTTTTTTGTCATTGATGTCTTAGAGTTGTAATAGTAGAGATAAGAGAAGTGTGTATATAAGGAATATATTTTGGAAGTAGACTTGTTAAGATTTGCACATGGATTGGAGGTAGCAGCCCAGGGAAGGAAAAACATCAGAGATTATTCCCAGATTTTGGCAGAAGCGCTGGTGGGGTTGGAGGAGAAAACTAATAATTTCCTGTTGCACAGGTTAAATTTGAGCAACATGACTATGTTTAAATCAGAGCATCATCAGCATGTAAATGAGATCACCCGGGGAGATTCTAGATATCGAGAGGAGCTGTGTACCCTGGATCATTTCAACACTGGGAGGTTGAACATAGACAGATGATCCAAAAAAGGATGAGAAGGGCCACCCAAGGAGGTAGAAGGGAAAACCCGGTAAGTATAGTGCCCTTTAGTTAGTAAGATGCGGATGATTACAAGGAATGGGTTTAGGATTGGAAGATTTGGATCTTGGTTATGGATATGTACACTCTGTCAAGTCTACTAGACATCCAAGTAGAGACATGGAGTAAGTAGTTGAACATTTGAGCCTGAAGTTCAGAGACGTTTGGCCTAGAGATATTAACTTGGGAGTCATCAGTACTTAAGTCAGTGGTTATCAGTCTAGGCTGAACATTAAAATCACATGATGGCTTACAAAATTTATATATATCCAGGCCCTACCCTAGACCAATTAAATTAGAGCTTCTGAAAGTAGATATTGGCACTAGAAAATCATAGTTGATTCTGGTTTGCAATAGAAGATGATAACCATTGATGCAGATCAGTGCCTCTCAAACTTCAATGCAAATGAATCACTTAGGGATCTTGTTAAAATGCAGATTCTGATTCAGTAGGTCTGAAGTGGAGCCAAGATTCTAAATTTCTAATACATTCTCAATGTGATACTGACACTTTTGGACCATAGCCCACCCTTTGTGTAGCAAGGGTATAGATAACATGTAAAGCCATGAGATTGAATGAACTCACCAAGGGGGTGAGAATAGACAAGGAAAAGGTGCAAGGTAGCTAGTTTTTCTCTCTAAATAGTTGAGAACTTAGTGCAAGCATCGAGCAGGGAAATTATTACGTTTAACCAGGGCTGGGTTTTTTTTTTTTTTTGATAAATATATGGCAGAATTAAAGAGGGGAAAAGAGTGGAACATTTATGCAAGGGGTGATTACAATGATAAACTAGGGACTCTAGTTGTGTAACTAGGATGGGGTCAAATAGTTGGTAGAGTTGGGATGTTAAAAATCATGAGATGAAAGAATAAGAAGTGTTGGTCAGGAATGGGAGATTTGACATCAGGACTTTAGTGATTGTGTGTTTATTGTTGATGTCAAGAGTGGGAGCTACAAAGGTTGGGTAGAAAAAAAAATATTATTGGAGGTAAAGAAGTCAAAGAGTTTAGAGGCCAGTAAATTGGAAGAGTGGTTCACATGATGTTGAAATTTCTAAAAGGATGAAAGAAATAAAAATAGAGAAGAGACTGAGCCAGGTGCTAAAGTCCTTATGAATGAGGGATGACTAGGAGGTCAGTAGATGATAGCAAAAATAAAGAGAGGGTGGAAAGGTGTAGTGGCATCTACAGATTCTGACTCAGTTGAACTGGGATGGACAAAAGCATGAAAATTTTTAAAAAGCTTCCCAGGAGATTCTAATGTTGACCAGGATTAAAAATCACTACATTAGAATAATCAATGCAAATTAAAATGAATGGGGCCACCGAATGATTAACTCCTTCTATAGTTGCTGAGAATTGTGGAGTCAATAGCCAGTGTTATCTTAGAATGTTAGTAAGCTCAGTTAACTGCCTTGCCCAAGGACACACAGCTAATAAATGTTTGAGCTGAGATTCAAACCTTGATTTGTCCGACTACAAATCCTGGACCGACTTCACTTTACCATGTTGCCTAGGAGGGCAATATTTTAGTGCAGAAGATACTGAGATATCTTCGAAAGAAAGTCGAAGTGTCCCAAATGAAATTCTAATAAGCCACAGTGGGAGGAGACACTGTTTCTCTGGAGTGGTTCTGATATTTACCTCTTTATTTACCCTTTGTCCCTCTTGAACTTTCTACCAGCTTTGATTCTCATCTGTAGTTTCTACCACCTCTTCTAATGTCTCTTTCATGTAGCAGAGACACTACATGAAAGGGAGGCAACATCAGGGTCCTGCCAATGTGGATGCTGGCTGGCCCTGATACCCCCCACCCCCGCCACCCCCTGACTCCCAAGTACTGTTCTCTGGGCCTCGTTTCTAGAGGGGGAGGAAGGAGAAGAATACAGCATTGCCATCAAAACCTAGCATTTTGTCTCCCCCTACTTCTGCCTCCTAACATATCAGCAGCTCTGTATAATGAAAATCTAAATTATTTGTGTGCACACATAGCAACTGTTTATTTGCTGTTAGCTTTGAGGACTCAGTGGGGGTTTGACGAGTTTAGAGAAGAGATCTGGGAGATCTCCCTGGGAGAGCCAAATCTCAGAAGTAGATGAAAAAATGAAGCTTAAAATGCATTTCTCTACATCTGACAGAGAGGCCAGTAATAAGTATCTTTCAACTCCAGCCTCACTGCAGCTCAGAAAATACTCTTTAACCAAGGACACAAGGTAGCTATGATTCTTTGGAAGAGCCCTGACTGCTGTCTACTAAGAAAGCTTTACTGGGTATGGCTGGAGATTGATTGTGAGTTCTAGAAATAGCACACCTTTCCCCTCAAGCCAACAAGTAGGATGCCTTCCATCCTTTACAAAATATATTCAGTATTAGTTTTCTTGAAAGTTCCATTTTTCCCATCACTGGGCTTCCTAGGGACCAAATACCATCTTGAAACTACTTTAAATTAATACGAATGTTTCTACAGAGAGTGAATACCAGACTCAGAAGAAAGTGTCCCCATCATATATTGAAGGAGCTAGACCTTTCCTTAGTACAATTTGTTTGACAAATTTATAAAGCCTCTGCTTCCCAGAAGCTTCCTCATTCCCTCATCCTCACAGGGTTTTCCCTCATCCAGCCAAGGCTTCGTATTGCCATCTACTCTTGCATAAGCCAGAACTCCTTTCCCAGAGACCAGAACCTTTCCATCTTGGCTCAGGTCACACGCTCGCTCCCGCGAGGCAGAACCCACTGCCTGGAAGTCACTAGCAGCTGTAAGTGAATGAAGGAAGCTACTCCTCTGAGAGCAGAGGTAATGAGGTGTGACATTAGAGAGACAGCACCACTGAAGACATACCCTAGTGACTTAACACTTGCTAGCCCAGGTGTAGAAATTTCAATCCTCTAGACACAAAAGCATGCCAATTGGGAAGTTGTTGCCCATCTGAGATTATTTTCTGAAAGGAGTATCTTGCAAAATGGGCTCTTATGAAATACTAAATGGACTGTGAGTTAGCCCAGATGAATCACCTCCTATCTCTCACCCCTCCCCAAGATCTAAGTGGTTCCAGGGTCAGAATGGGCCCATAGTTAGGCACTCGACCTGCATGCCCAGGTAAAGAACATGACAGCCAGCTAGGCATGGGACAAACTGCAGAGTCTCTTAGGTTCTCACTTCATTCATTCAGCCTCCACCTGACCCATGGACTCTCCTTCCTTTCTGTACAATAGCAGCCCAAGATGCAGATTTAGCTTCTAAGTTTGCTCCAGGCCATGGGGAAAAGAACCAAGTCTTGTCAGGCGTCTATGTAAAAACAAGGCCTGGCAGGAGGCAGGAAAGAAACCAGACATAGGCAAGGAGGAATTTTAATTCGAATTGAACATGGGGCTAGATACCTCTTTGAATATAAGCCCCTGAAGACCTGGTTTCTTCACAGAAAAAAATATATATATATCTTTTAAATCCAGTTTCCTTTCATTGGAAAAGAGGAGAAAACATTCCAACTTACTTCACCTGCAACTAACTCCTCCAAGGTGATAGTTATTTAAAGTGTTCTTTCAAATTAACCCCTTCCTCTTCAGTCTCCTTTCCAGGGTCCAATTACTTCACAGTGTGTTTAAGCATCTGGGCCATGGAGGAAAGCAAAGCATATACTTCCTGGGAAGCAGTGCATAAGGCAATGGCATTGTCTGGTGGCTAAGAGCACTCACTGAAATGTTATTTTCCATTGGCCCCTCATAACCCCAATCCCAAGCTTCATTCTCCACCCTTCCCTGCCATGCTCTGTGCCAAAGGAGTCTGACCTCAATGGGCTATTGCAACAGGCTTCTTTGCCAGCTGCCATTTGGCTGGGTCTGGCCAATGATAGGCACTGGCAGGAGATCAAAGAGTGGAAAGAGAGTGAGATATGGGTGTTCATTCCCCTCTCTCCCTCCTTACTGCATTTGGGCAGAGACTACATTGTGCTACCTGAAGCAACAGCTCCTGTGAGGCAGCCCCTCTTGTACATGTGCAGTGCTTACTGGGTGCCAATAACACTGTATCTTCCCTTTGTCCTTTCAGTGTTAGGAGTAATAATAATAACAGCCCCTCACTGTTCATAGTCTTTCTATGCCTCACAATCACTGGTAAGTTCCCTTAACCCTGCACACGCCATCATAAATTGTCCCTTCACTAAGCTCATCTCAGCTAAACTCCTTGAGTATACCATCTGTTTCTCAGCAGGATTCTGACTTATACACTCACTTTGACAAAGTCTATCCTACAGAATTCCAGAAGGTTGCCTAGCCTGAAAAGAGAGATCACCTGATCCAACTACCTTTTCTGAAGTGAGCTATCTGCCTTTTCTCAAATATTTGACATATTCTCTATACAGTGGGTCCTCCTAAATTAAGGTTACATTATTGTGTCTACACAATAAAACTGAGGTTTAAGCTAGTTGCATTTTTGTTTTAGCTGTTCTTAGTCATCTTTCTTAAAGAAAGGAGATGCTGCAAACACATTACATTGCTTCCTTCCCAGTGAGGTATGTTCAAGTTGGCCTTACCTTAAACACTTAATGCAGTTCCATGAGGGATATAATACTTGACATGAATTCAATCACCAGTTCCCTACCACCTGTTATTCATCTTGCATTTGCCATCTTGATGATAGGAGTCGCCCACATACCGGAGTGGTCATCCCAAAATTTTCACTTGCCAATACCTACACATATCCATTAGACAATAAATCCTGTGGCATGTACTTCCTAAATATCTTCTTTCAAATTCATCCATCTGCTCCAGCCTCACAATCACTACCTTCCTCCAGGCCTTGACCATTTTATAGCTAGATTATTGAAATATCTCTAGTTCTCCTTGTCTTTTCTTTCATTCTCCTCACTTTAGCCAAACTTATCTTTGAAAGCTACAAGTTTGTTCATGTCACTTCCCTTTCAATGACCCTTCTTTAGGATAAAATTCAAACGCCTTATTCTGGAGTAAAAGGTCCCACAGAATCTGGCTACTACTTCCCTTTTCAACTTCAGCTTTTGCCACCCCTCTTTTTACACCCATATGTCATTCTAATGCTGTCTCCATGACTTGGGTGCCATCATTGCTTGTCTCGTGTACTCTTTACCTTTTCTAACAAAGCTCCTGCTATTCATCTCTTGGACCCATCTTCTTTGCTAGGATGCTTTCCCATGAACCCTTTCATGCCAAGTTGGTTTAATGGCTTCTCTGTGATCCTTTAGCTACTCTTCTTCACTTTTCTAGCACTAAATACACTGACGAGTACTTATTGACATGTCTCTCAATACCTCACCACTATCCCTTTTAAGGTGAAAAACTGTCTTTGTCCTTTTATCCCCAGAACTTAGCACAGAATCTGTCATAGAGTAACATGCTCAAGAAATGTTTTCTAAATGAGTGACTCAATGAATGAATCAACTATAGATGGAGGAAGCATTTAAATTCACTTACCTATGTAAAGCCAATATAAGAACTCTGACCTCTCATGAGATAGCATATAACTTATGAAGCCAGTTTTTTTCTATTTTCTATCCCTCTAGGTAGTGCTGTACCAAAACCATGCTGGAATTATTAAGAATAGAAACAGATGAGCTGGCCTTTTGAATCACAGGCCCTCCCCATTCCCTAAAGCTGTAGTTACGGAACAATAGAGCTGGCCTGAATTAACTGGGGGGGAGGAGCGAGACAAAGTCTGCCCCCAGGAGACACCAAGTTCTTCTACACCATCCATCGACCTTGAGCACAGATGGGATGGAGTCCAGGCCTAAAAATACATCAGCCCTAGGTGACATCAGTGCTGTGTTCTTTTGTGGCTAACTCGCCCCAGATGGAGGAGAGATCATTTGATGAACAGTCTTTGAAACAGGCAGATGAACTTATGTCACATTAAGAGTGACTATAGGGGGTAAAAGGCCACTGTGGATTTCCTAGTCAATAAAAATGATCTCTGATAGAAATTTCAATAAGTATCTAGCAGAAACATCCTTGTCACTGTCACCATGAATTTAAATTTATTGAGTGCCCCACAAATGCTAGTCTATTCTCAGTACATTTGATGAACACCATTTCTTTATCTCTAAAGGATGAGAGAATATTTGCTACTATATATTTTTTTTGCTCATCACCCAGCCAGAATACAAATGGAACTCCTATGAATATTCTAAAGCATAATGAGGAAGGGGCTCCAGGCTAAATGCAAGTATCCTTGATTAATGTTTTCCCCACCACTGGGAATCACCCTCCCCCGCTCCCCTGAAGCTTCCCCACAAGGTGCGGGGGGAAGCAGGAGAAAAAAAGGAAGAGCCAAGGTATACTCCTGATAACGACACAAAAATTGAGCAGTAGTACTCCAGAGATGTTTGGGGGTGACAATAAATACTTGGGAATGAACTGATGAACTGTGTGAATGGAGTGGTAGGAACCAGCTCTGCCCATCTCGTGCTCCCTCCCTGCACAACTATTCTTACCCAGCCTTAGCTTTGGATCCTATTTTGCATAAAGGGGTACTTTGGGTCTTCGGGTTAGCACGACTTGCCAGTTGGGTAAATGTCTGAGAATGTTTCCTCTGATGAATTTTATAAACAGCCAGTGACCTACTGGCTTAAAGATAAGTGAAAATGAACGACAATTAGTTTAAAAAGCATGCAAACACTAGGCTATGCTAATGACAGTCAGATGACAAATGGCCTAATCCTTAGTACCTCTTTTCAGGGCTCCCTCCTCCCCTTTCCCACCCTCTCCAATCTTCTTTCAAAGCTCAAGGTTTGAGGCAATGGTCAAGCTCCATAGCATAAGAATTGGTATTCCTCATGATGCTCTCCACCAATATGACAGGCTTGGGGTTTCTTCCAGCAAAGCAAGAGAGCCAGGTGCAGATCAACATGGCTGCAGCTGCTCCACCTCCAGCACAGTAATAGGCCCAGCCAAGCCGACAGGTACCTGTGAGAACAGGGACAGAGAATGAGGATTGGGTTGTCTTTTCATATTTTCTCTTTGGTAATGAACTATAGAAATGATTCCAGAAAGTACAGTTTTTATACATTCTCTTTGGGATGCTATGGTTAGGGTGAGAATAGGAAACAGCGAATGTCCCTGGGCTTCCTATTTTCTTCTTTCCTTCTGTGCTGACTGCTGATCTTTGCTTCAGCAAGAGGTTGTAAGATTTTATTTTTTTGTTAGAGTAGGAGCCTGGGGGTGGTATGGGTGGCAATGCTAATGACAATGATGACAAGAACAACTTGATAAGATGTCAAGCATTATGCTAAGCTCTTTAAACATATACCTCATTGATCATTACAGTAATTATATGAGATAGGTACTCTTATTATCCCTGTTTTACAAAGGACGAAGCAACTGAGGCACACACAGCTACAGAAGATGAGGCAACTGAAAACCACACAGCCGGCAAGTGGTAAAGATACAAATGCTGACTCATCCTAACTTCAAAACTCCACACTTTGAACCACAGTGATAGAATACTGTACATGGGCTGCCTGCATCATCAGGGGATTAGACAGGTAAAATAAAATCAACTCCCTCTTACATCATGTCTCTATCCTAACCTAGCCTTTCAACACCCAGGAAAGCAATATGCATTGGAATCAAAGCCAAGCTTTGAAGTGGGTAGTTTTCTCTTTAAAAGGTAATGGGAAAGGTCACCTGCTCAAAAACATCCACCCCGCCACCTGCTATTCCATCAGAGACAGGTTCCTTTGTCTGAAAGATTTGTGACTTTTCAGCCATCCTTCAGAAAATGTCAATGCCTAGAAAAATAAGAGCTATTACTTTACAAGGTATCAAAGTGGCTAACTGCTAAAATAAAGTGCTTAAGCAAACAGGACTCCAGAAATTATGGTAGGGTCCCAGTGATACAAAATTGCAGAGAGTCCCTGAGAAGAGAGATAGGCAGCAACTTTCACCTATCTCTCTCTATCTAAATCTTGAAGAAAGTTAATCCTGACTACAGTCAGTGGAGGATGTCAAGATTGATCTGTATGACAATTTATTTTTTAAAGGCTAAATTCAAATAACTAATTATTTATTTTCACATACTACCTGGTGAACCTTAATTTTACTGCTTTTAGTTGATTAGTTGGTGTCTCCTAGAAAGAGTCTAAGATGGGCCCAAGCTTGGCTGCTTCGCTTTCCCATTCAGGCCAGCCTAATTTATCCCCACATTTCCCATCTCAGAAATAAAATAGTCTACCACCAAGTCATGTCTCATGCTGTTTCTCCTGCCAGAAACATCTTCTCTCCTCTTATTCACCAATTTATAGCTTCCTCAGAACACTATCCAGAACTTGGCACCTGCTTGAAGCCCTCCCTTGATTCACTCCGCTGGGCTCATGTCACCTCAACCAGGTAGCCCTCCCGGAATGTATCCGTATACTCCATTGACAGATGTACCTGCTGGACAAAATATTGGGAGAAAGATTTACATTTCACATTTTTTTATCTGCCCTTTCCTCTCTTCCAGATTGCTGGCTCAATAGTACAGATGCATTTGTTTCTTTTCGTGATTATGCTTTCATGTGCTCTATCCACTGTGGGTACCATTTCAGTATGTGTGATTTAGCCTAACAGTACTTCAAAGCTGAGGACATTGGCATTTTCAACCCTTAACACCTAAAACTATGGCTTAAATTTTGAATTAAAGTTGAAAAACCAGCGAATATAGTATTTTATTTCTTTCTGGAATGTGCCCTGATCCCTTGTACTTTAAGGCTTATGCACATTCTGTTTCCTTTGCCTAAAACATTCACTGCATGTGCACGTGTACGCATATACTTTCCACTACTTTCTTTACTTAGTCAATATTTAATAATTCCTCAGAACTAAACATAATCATTAATTCTTCAGTGAAGTTTTCTCTGACCTTCCTAAGTCAACTTCCCTCATCAGAGGCTCTCACAATACCATGTATCCTTCCTTTCTACTTGAATGGGTGAATGGATCCCTTATCCCCTCTTATGACCAGTGTCAAGTGTTACAGTCCTTCAGAGGAAATAGTACTTTACCAATAGACCTGGGCAGTCTAAAGTTCCTGAACTCCTGTGGTCCCACCCAAAATCATGGTGAAAGCCCAATTACAGCAGCTATGAAAATAGTGCCTCTGAAGGCTCAGAAAGAGCAAATTTGAAAGAGAAGCCTCCTTTGAGAAAGGAGCTCAACTATCTCCAAAGTAGTTTAAACGTGAACAACAATGGTGGACTCTCAAGACAGTAAACTGAAGAATACCATATAGAGACAAGCAGCCTGTAGAGCTGTATCCCCTCCTTGTTGCTCCTCCCCCTGGACACACACACACAAACACACACACTCCCTGGTTCACATACACAAAGTAGGAAGGTTTGAAAAATGTTTTGGAATTCACAGAGTGAAAACTCCAGAGACTGGAAAACCTTCAACTTCTGCCATCAGTGGGAAGAAGACTGCAGACTTTATTGCACCTACTTCACAAACCATAATATGAGGCTCCGGTGATAGCCCTGGGAACTCTCTCAGAAGCAGAGAGGTAGAGGCAGAAATCCAGACCAAGTGTCTTTACTCCCAATTCAGTGCTCTGCCCTCTGCAGTTTTGTTTTCATCACACCCAAAAGCATTTTTCTCTTACAGGGCCCTTGACCTGTAAGCCCTAAGGAGGGGGGGCTCCTAAGTCAAGTTGTAGTAGACTCACCTGAGCTTCTCTTCTAACCCCCTTCAACAAAAATCTCCTGTAGTCACCTGGCAGAGCAGACAGGAGCCAGCTCTGAGGTGGGCCCATTGCCAAGCAACTTCATCCTCCCCAGCTTATTCCAAATCTAGTCTAGACAAGGCATCAGAACTCTCATTCTGTTTCTTCAGCTGCTTGTCAGGTCATCCCCTCATTTGAGTAGCAAGGATATTTCTATTAGGTACATGCCCCATGGGATCAGGGAAAGACTCATTTCTCTGAATGAAGAGAATAAATGCATAGCATGCCATTAGCCCAAAGCCCTAGGCAGGAAGAAAACTGACAGAGTGGTCAGCTCCAGAGTGAAGAGCTGGCTAGAAAGGCCCCAATAAACCTCACTGAAGTCAGAACCAGGTATCACTGAGCTAGGAGCCAACACTAAAGTGCTCCTATTGCCACCCCAAGTGCCTTGTGAATTCCCTCTCACAGAAATTTCTGTTAGACCTCTGAAGGCATCTAAGCCCCAGACTGCTGTCATAAAGGAAACTAAGGAGAAAGAGGGGAAATGTATCTTCCATCCACATCCCTCCCCACAACTCTACCTGTTATCTACCGGAGGAAAAAAAGAGATTATATTCATTGGCACTGTAAAAGAAAAAGAAAAAGCAGACCTTTTAAGAACTACCTTACCATTTGGAAAGCCACTGTCAGCACTCAGTTACTTCACAGAAAACTTGCATGCTGATCTGATGGCCCACTGAGGAAATCGTCTATGGAAGGGTGCAAAAGTAGGGAGCAGGTGGCAATGAGTTGCCATATTTTGCCTCTTGTTGCCTTTTAGTGAAGTCCTATGGACCATCATCCATTCCCAAATCCCATTATTTAAACTACTATTGATCCTTATTTTCATCTGACAAACATGTATTGAGTACCGACTATATGCTAGGCATTTTTAATACACAATCTCATTTAATTCTCATAACAGCCATGATTATTTCCATTTACTGCTCAGGGAACTGAGTTTCAGAAAGGTAAATGACTTGGCCCACTTATAAGTGTCAGAATTGCAATTTGACTGCCAGACCTAACTCAAAGTTCATGATTATCCATTTCAACCATGCTAGGAGAATGAAACCAAGAACACAAATTACTACAGTCCAAGTCTTGCGAGAATATACAATGCCTTCGGCCAATTACTTCACCTTTCTGGACCTCAGTTTCCTTTACTTTCAGTGGAAGGATTTACTGAAGAGAATCCTAAAAGCCCCTTCCAGATCATATTTTCTATTGTAGTATGAATATGATAAGTGCTTTAAGAGATATATTTGTAAAATACTATAGGAATATCCAGGGAAGGAGGAATTATTTGCAGCTGGGAAAATTTGAGCTCAGGTAAGCCTTTGTAGATGCTACATTTCATCTTGGCTTTAGTAGTAGGAAGTGGGCATTCTAGGCAGAGGGAGTGGTTGGCGTGAGCAAAGTTATGTGAGTGAGAAAGCACATGACATGTTTCAGAGAAAGCATAACATTCAGAGCTGTTTCCAAAAAGGAGCTATAGTTGACAAAATAATAAACTGAATCTACACCAGGAGAGGCCATGAAATCTGTCATCTTTCCTACAAGCAGTGTGAAACAATGGAAAGTTTCTGAGCAGGGAACGATACGCTAGAGCAAGGTTTCTCGACCTTGGCGCTATTGACATTTTGGGTTGGACATTTACTTGGTGTGGGGGCAGGGGCAGGGGGCGGTTTTCCTGTACACTGTAACACCCTGGCTTCTACCCACTATATGTCTATAGCAACTTATTCTTCCTCCCCACCAAGTTGTGAAAACCAAAAATGTCACCAGACATTGCCAGATGTCCCCCGGTATGAGGGGAGGTTGCTTTCTATTGAGAACCACTAAGTTAGAGGTATTGCCTGGAAATATTAACCTGAAAGGTCTGTGTCAAATAGATTGGAGGCAAATGGAGGATATAGACAGAGAGAGTTACCAGAGGTCACGGACACTGCTACACATCCAACAATACATAAAAGAGTTCTCCACAACAAAAAATGATCTGGCCAAAAAGTGTCGATATTGTCTACGTTGAGCAATCCTCATGTAGACAAACACCAGATATTTATACTTTAAATTCTATTCAAAATAAATCTTGATGACTAAAAGATTAGCCCAACAGAATGGAATTTCCTCCCTTAAGAACGGCCATGCATGGTTCCTTCTTGACCTGGGAAGCAGACTGGGACTGAGGCATGGTCAGTCTTGAGCATTCTAGTATGTTACCCCATGGAAGGCAAGGGAAGCTCAAGGGGAGAGATCTCACAAGGTATTGAGGAGGAAGCACTGATTCCCTGGGAGTAAGGAGACAGGATAAATATTTGAATAAATGTTTTAACTCCACCAGGTCTCAGCTCTTTAACCCTTAAAATGTGGAAAAATAATTAAGTACCTGGCTAAAGACGTCACATTAAGACCAGATGCGTCCTTAAAGTCCCTTGAGAAACACCAAACTAACTGCTTCCTTGCCTTCAGATTAAATGCACTGACTCTACTTCCACGCTAGAATTGTTTAAAAGTCTGTGTCCTTAGAAGATACTGCAGGGAGATGACATCACACCTAGAAATTTTCTCTATATCCATGCATGGGTGTCTGTGAAGAGAAGGATCGGTGGCAGGATAGGGGGAGAAAAGAGGTTCTAACTGCAAATGAGCTTTATGCAAAGCTTCTGGATGAGCCCTGAGATAAGCCTATTCCTTTTTGTGCTCTTCTGTATCATTTCTAACACTCTATCTGTGAGTCACTGAATTCCAGTGTTGAATTTGCTGTGACAGAATCTCTCATACAAGTTATTAAATCATCACTCAGCAGTGGGCCTGACATTTAAATCAAGACACGTTGCTTTTATTCCAAGTTGCACATCAAATTGGATTGGAATTTGACTCTGTTTCCTTTGATTCAGCACGATGTTATGTTTTACAGCTCACTGTTTAGAGATAAATTGTCACTGGCGGCCACTTAAACTGACCACCCTCCCTAGAGCCGCAGTCCTATGCCCTTCAGGGTTGTGGTGTCTGGCTAGCTGTCAATGGGTCATGATGAGCTATGGGGAGTTAGCCCCAAACCAATGCTTGTGGTGGGATCTAGCATTGCTGTGGGCATCAAAATTATGGACCGGAGTGAGTCAGAATCTGATAGAGTGGCTCCCCCATTCAGGGAGCATGTGCAGAATGCCAGCTTAGAAGCCAAGAATGCTGGAGAGTGAATCCAAAAAAGGAGTTCTCTTTGGAGGAAGAAGGAAACAATGTTGAAAAGAAAGGGCATAAAAAGAGAATGAGGTAAGTCTGTCTTTTGAGTGAGTTGAGTCTTCTCTTTCAGAGAATCATCTGATGAAATTCCAGGCTCCTGAAAGGTTGGAGGAAGAGTCAGGGAAGCAGGGATATAGCAAGCCCATAATGACAACTAACACCTCCAAAACTGAATAGGGCTAGATGAAATGTAATGGAACCTTCAGATATATGAAGATTTAATTTCGCACAAGTGTTGCCAACAGTCATGTTCTGAGAGCTGCTACTGTAGAAGGAAAAAACAAGCATGCTAGGACCCCGGATTATGGTAAGAAGTGTTGGATATTGGTGTGGCAGGGGAGAGGCTCATGAAGATGGGGTAAGAATTGTGAAGTGGTTTGGAGTTTCAGGGTCAGGCAAGAAGGGAAAAATCCATTTGGACAATGTGAATAGTTCAAGGGTGTAGATTGTATTCCACCAGAAAGATAAGATCCAAATTCTAGGAATTATTGGAATTAGAAGACTGGAGGGTGTTTCAGGTAAGGGGCAAAGAGAACAATATTAGCATTTGTTTTTTCGTCTAATATACTCCAATAATCAGGAAGTTTAAGAGACACTGCCCTGGCCTTAGATAGGCAAAAGAAGGGAAGGAATGACACCAAGGATAGAGAAGAACCTAAAATGGGAACCTGCATATCATCCTCAACTTCACCACCCAGTGTAGAGGAGCAGGACAGATATACAGAGAAATCTGCCTGGGAGTGACCTGGGGGCCTTGATGGCTTTCACAGGCTTCCACATATCAAGCCAGGTAGCCTATAGTGGCCCTGAGGACAAAAACCTCAGCTACAGAGAAGCACCTAGGAATCCTTTGGAATTTGATAGAGTAGGGTGTGAGGGGAAGGAATAGAGAGAAATCAAAGAAGAGAAAGGGACTAAAGGAGAATCAATGGGGTGGGTGGAAGATTAGAACAATAGAGATACTAAAGGAGAGTTGATGGGGTGGGTGGAAGATTAGAACACTAGACATAGAGATCATGGCACATGGAGACTGATGGCTGGGGAGGGTTAAGCTTTTACAGACCTCTTCCTATTGAGGGTATTATTTTTTTCTGAAAATAATAAAACAAGTTCAGGAAATAATAAACAAGTTCAGGAAATAATAAACACAGTTCAGGAAAGCCAGCTGTTCTTCTCATCATTGTGGCACCATCTAAAGTCATGAAACCAGGTAACAACCCATCTCCCAAACTACCGTTTGGTACACATGGTAGGGTAAGGGAGGGGTGGTTGCTATTTGCTGACTCAATGCATTTTTGCCATGAAGACCTGAATTTTATGTTAGCAAGAAAAGTAGGGGTTTGGAAGGAGCTGGTGGTCCCATCTATTCAGAGACATACTGCTGACTTTAGGGTCTTTATAGGTAGCAACATAAAAACATTTTTAATGCAGCCAAGCTAAATGAACAGAGAACTTTCTCTGCTAGGTTCAGCAAACACAGATGAATAATCCACAAAGATAAAGCAAAGCCAACGAATTCAAGAGCAATTGCCAAACACCCTACCACCCCCACCCCGGCCCCCAGTAAAAAGACAGCCAAAGCTATGAGAACATCTCTCTTCTCACTCTCCAAGCTGGGCGTGAGTGTCAACAGCAGCCCAGATTGGAGGCCCAGAACCTACTGAAGATTCCAGAAGCCTGCCAGGCTCCTTTGCCAGAGAAGAAGAATAAAAAACAACCCACTGAAAACTTCAGTTGTTCAGGTAAATATGTTATTGTGAGTAGCCACTGACTTTTTGGTCCAGTCAGGTCTGCTGGAGGGGTAGGACATTCTGGGTTTTCAACTTCATCACGGTTCAACCCAATGTTCCAAAGGGTAAGGGAAGACCAGGACACTTGCTAGAAAGTCCATGGGAGTACTCAAAGAAGAGCCAAGTCCTCATGACGACAGAAATGCCCTGATTTGGCTGATTTTTCTTTTCTCTCTCACACACTTCTGCCGAACAAATTGAGTCCTTCGATTAAAATCTTCCTCGCCACTATTGAGCATTAGCTTCCGACCTTTCCTCATGTTTTGCCAACCTGTATTGCTTATTTATATCACTTTTCATATAGCTATCCTGAGTTTTAGCTACTCTGCTCATCTTCCATGTCTCAGGCCAAGTTAAATTGTGCTTCTAGGTCTTTCTCCAGATTTACCTTTAGCTGCCTCTGAAAAACACTTCTGGGTCACCCCGTGTTGCCTTTTATACAGCCTGTCAGCTACACCTGGAGCAGATTCTCAGAAGAGCTTTGGGCGCTCTCCTCAAGGAGACGGGTTAAAACCCATCTGACCAAATATTGGATGTATTCGATTCAGCGCTAGCTCTTGAGGACACTTAGCCTCTAGGAAATTGGTTCCTCTCCCCTAACATCTGCTCAGTAGTCCTCTGCTTGCTTCCACTTGAACTTTCTCAGCTAAATAAGTCAGTTACTGGAATAGTAATAGCTAATATTGGTTAAATGTTTCTATATGCCAGTCACTATAGTAAGCTCTGTAAACATATTGTTTTCTCATAGGTAAGATCAACAAACTAGATGAGTGAAAGGGAGCCAGAAGCAGAAACGGGACAAGGAAATAGACTATTAGTGTGACAAGCGCTCCGATATGGACTGCCACAAGGATATAGGTGAGAGATATCAAATCCAGTTGAAAGGAGCTGGGGAGTTTTCAGGGAAAAATAAGAAGTTAGCTAGGTAAGGAAGGGAAGAAGGGCATTCCCAGCAAAGGGAGTAACACATGCAAAGTTGCAAAGGGGTGGAGGAACATGGTATTTTCGAGGTGGCTGGGCAAGAGAAGAAGACAGGGTGGTGATGGAAGTGATAGCCAGAGTCCCTGTAGGCCTTGCTAAAGAATCTGGACTTTATCCTGAAGGCAATGGGGAACCACTGCTAAAGAAGGATAATGACATCAGATTTGCATTTTAGAAACATCAGTTTGTCCACAGGATGGGAGATAGATAAAGGCGTTGATGTGCAGTACCTTTGTGGAACAGGGAGAGAGAGAGTCAGGGGCTATTTTCAGTAACCTAGATGAGAACTTACATAAAGAGAAGGAAGATAGATTCTAGAGTTCTCATTGTGTGTCTTAGCGTAACAACAGTAATTTACTCCTTCTGACGACACTACACATTTGTGATTGACATCATTATGGCTGCTTTTGTTAGATTCCATCTGTGTGTGTGTGTGTGTGTGTGTGTGTATGGATCATGTCTCCTCAAATTAACTACAGGCTTGTTGAAGACTATATCCTTAAATTCTTTGTAGTTTTTACAATGCCTTATTCAGCATCTTGAATACAGTGAATGTTCAGAATATGCTTTTTGAGTGACTGTTATTAATTTTTGACATAATCCTTGAACATTCAAGAATGCTAGAAAGCCAGACCCAGTGAGCTGATTTACCTCAGGACTCAGAAGTGCATGTTCCCTCATTCTAGCCATTAAATTAGCCCCATACCAGCAATGCCAGCTTTGAACATTAGCTATTTCCATCCATGCTTTATCAGCCAACGGATATACACCACAGAGACTTTTCCAGGTCCAAGGTTCCTGGGTAATGACAAATGCCACAAATAATACCACCCAATATGAGTTTAGTACTTTATCATTTTTAAGGTATTTTGTGATCCATTATCTCATTTATTTATTTTTCATTTGTTTTATTCATTCGTCAAGTCCCAGCCAGAGGCAGGAATTATTATAGAGGAAAGAATCGAACAGCCAGATAAAGTGTCTGACCAAGGTCCCCACTTAGAGAAAATAGAGACTGAGCCCAGGTCTGTGTGTGCTCAGGAAGTCAGTGTGGTACAGGGAGAAGAGTCTGGGATGAGAGTTACAGGGAACTGTGCTAGAAATCACGTCCTTTCACAAAATGAACCTGTGAGGCAAGCCATTTCTCCTTTCTGTGTTTCAGCTTCTCCGTGAGTAAAATGGAAGTGATACCACCTATCTCACAGAGCAGCTCTGAAGGCCAAAAAGATGACACATACAAAGCACTTAGCACCATGCCTAGAATAATTAATACTTCTCAGATCCTCTTTATCTCAGCTCAACACACTCCCAACTGGTCCAACAAGTTCCCAAAAGTGTCTGAGAGAGCTGTAAAATACAGATTCCTAGGCTCCACTCCAGATCTACAAAATTAGTATGTCTGGGGAGAAGGCCCAGATGATTCTGATACACATTTCCATGGGGAACCACTGGATAGGACCATATCATTAGCCCACATCAGTCTAACTTTCAGAGGAAAAGCAAGAGGAATCCACATTTTTTGGAAACCTACACTGTGCTTGATGCAGTGCTAGCAGCTTTCACTTGAAAGATACATTTGTCTCTTTCTCATAATTTCTCACAGTTCACCAGGGTGAGGCTAGGTGACAATGATTTGAAAAAGTTATATGACACAGAACACAGATATAACATATATTTTCATCCCTGTAACTCTAGCCTCGCCAGGGAATTGCTCCTGGGATTACAGTTGACCCTAGTTTTCCTCCTGGTTCCTGCGTTTGAAACCCATTTCACTTTATTAAAAAACCTTCTATATTGTCCAACCTATACTAATAACAATAGTAATACTATCAGTTAATGTCAGGCCAAGCAGCTCATGCCTGTAATCCCAGCACTTTAAGAGGCCGAGCTGGGCAGCTTAGATGAGTCCAGCAATTTGAGACCAGCCTGGGCAACATGGTGAAGCCCCGTCTCAACAAAAAATATTAAAAAAAATAAATAAAAATTTATATTTTTTGTTGAGACGGGGCTTCACCATGTTGCCCAGGCATTAACTGGAAGAAACAGAAACAAGGAATTAAGTGTGTTCACATTCTTTGATCTAAGGACTAGAGGCAGGACTGAGAAAGCAGCAGAGAATGAATTCACCTGACTTTACTGCCATCGTGTGGTCGTCTCATGCATAGACAACTGGCTCACAATTCTGCATTCATTTTTCCAGTCATTGAGCCTACTAGGCCCTCTGCAAGGCAATGTGAAAATAAGGCCAATTGAATCAGAAGACCTGACCTTGAGGCTATTGTAACAGCCTTGCTTTCCTCTGGAGTCACCAAGCTGGAAGTCACCTTAGTCACCAACTACTCCAGGGGTGAGCACCTCATTCTCATGCAGACTATGTCAGAAAAGATAGAAATGTTTATAAGCACCGTCATTATTTTTCTATTCAAAATGAAAGTAGCTTAGTGGCCTATGGGATGTATAGAGTCTCATTACTTTAAGCACCTCACTATTTTTAATAGAAGATGATCAGTGAGAAAATCTAATGGTAAATTAGCTTTCTAATCTGTTATGCCTTGTACCTGTAGAGCATTGTTTTCATAAAGCACATTTATCTGCATGTTGTCATGTTATGGCCAAAACAATTTTGGAAGGTAGGTATATTAGTCCATTCTCATGCTGCTATGAAGAAATACCTGAAACTGGGTAATTTAAAAAAAAAAAAAAAAAAAGCCGGGCGCAGTGGCTCACGCCTGTAATCCCAGCACTTTGGGAGGCTGAGACGGGTGGATCACGAGGTCAGGAGTTCGAGACCAGCCTGACCAACATGGTGAAACCCTGTCTCTACTAAAAATACAAAAATTAGCCGGGCGTGGTGGTGCATGCCTGTAATCTCAGCTACTCAGGAGGCTGAGACAGAAGAATTGCTTGAGCCTGGGGGTCAGAGGCTGCAGTGAGCCGAGATCGTGCCACTGCACTTCAGCCTGGGCTACAGAGCCAGACTCCGTCTCAAAAAAAAAAAAAAAAAAAAAGAAAAAGAGGTTTACTTGACTCACAGTTCCACATGGCTGGGGAGGCCTCAGGAAACTTATCATCATGCCAGAAGGCACCTCTTCACAGAGCAGCAGGAGAGAGAATGAGTGCAAGCAGGGGAAATGCCAGATGCTTATAAAGTCATCAGATCTTGTGAGACTCGCTTATTATCATGAGAACAGCATGGGGGAAACTTTCGCCATGATTCAGTTATCTCCACCTAGTCCTGCCCTAGACACGTGGGGATTATTACAATTCAAGGTGAGATTTTGATGGGGACACAGAGTCAAACCATATCAGTAGGTATTATCATCCTCACTTTAGTCGTGGGGAAACAGGTTTAAAGAAGTGAAATTACTTATCTATGGTGATACAGTCAGATAGCAACAGAGCCACCCTACAATTTGTTCGTTCCATTCAGTGCAACACTGAGCATGCCAAGCACTACGGACGTGCGGTTGAAATCATGTCCTGTCACAAACTTAACCTCTGGGGCAAGTCATCAAACCTTTTTGAGTTTCAGCTCCCCATGAGTAAAACAGAAGCGATACCAACTACCTCCTCACAGAGCAGCTGCTTAAGTTGCCTTTTAACTGACTGATTCCCCCACTGCCTGCTCCAGCTCAGCACAGCTTCTTCTCTGGCTGGATACTCCTCTCTGTGTGGGCTAGATGGGCAACTAAAAAATCTTAAGCAACACCTAAGCCATGGATTTTCAAGGACTGCCTGCCAGGGCATTCTAGCTGATGCTGCAGGAAAATTGTGAGGGGCGGATGGCCTCCTATGGATGAGTTGCTTTGGACAATCCCTTTGGCCAATCTCTGGCCCCTCCTTCCATGGGTGGGTATTACTTTCTTTTTTTTTCTTTTCCTCTATAACTTAATCTTGATGGGGTGGGTATTACTAAAAAGCTCCTCTCCTCTAGAAGGGATGCCTTAAGTAGATTGCTTTAGTTTTTATTGTACATTTTTAACATATACAATATGATGTTTTTATATACCTATAGTGAAATGATTACTACAGTCAAGCAAATTAGCATATATTTCTCCTGTTTGTGTGTGTGTGTGTGTGTGTGTGTGTACACATTAAGAGGACCTGATATCTGCTCTTCTGTTATTTAAATACAAAATAGGTAGACGTGAAATTAGATCAAAGACCTCACCATAAAAGTAGGCATATCACAACACAGGGAGCTAGGCATGTATCTGGGGCCTCTGAGTACTTATCGATCTAGTCCAATGCTCTCTATGTGAAAACAAGGAAACTAAGGGTCAGAGTGCCAAAGTGAGGTGCCCAGGCAAGCTTAGGAAAATCAAAACCCAGGTGCCCTGATACCCTGGCCATGGTTGTTTCTACCACACTTTGATGCCCTGCTATGGGCATGGAAATGTATTAGACTGCTTCTTTGTGCTGTGGTGAGCACAAGAAAACAAACTGTCCATAAAGAAGGAAACTGACAGAAAGAAAAGGTAACAGGAAATGCCTGGAAACTGAACCCACAAAGGTCAAACCCCAAGTCACCATAAAAGGCTTTGAACTGGCAAGAATGAGCAGAAATGATGGGAGAGCAAAGGAAATGAACCTCCAGGAGAGGAAACACAGGGAGCACACACATGGCTTTTGGGTAGCCTCTACTGCAGGCCTTTGCCAAGTGTGTGTTGGAGGGGGTCCCTCCTTCCCTCCCAGAAGCCAAGTCTGGGGCATCCCCTCCAAAAAGGCTCTTGAGACCTAGGCTGCTACTAATAGCAAGTTACATATAATGCAGCCTATTGTGCTTTGTATGTGTCTATACTTCACTTAATCTTCTCATTAACCCTACGGAGAGAAATACTATTACCAATCCTCATTAATGGAGGCTTGCACAACTTGTAAATGGTAAGGCTCATATTTGAACCCAGGTCATTCTACTATTAACCTGTGCATTTAGCCTTCATGCTGCATATACTGGCTCCTTGCTGTAATAGGTCCTTTTTCTGAAAACTAAAGTACTGGGAACATTTTTATTTTAACAACTGGTATCAGGATGATGATGATGATGATGATGATATCAGATATCAACTATTGACTGGTTACTATGTACCAAATACTATACTGTATGTATTGCATGCATTATCTCATCTAATTCTCACAACAATCCATGAGGTAGTAACAAACTCACAAATGCTGAATAATTTGCCCAAGGTCACAGAGCTAAGAATGTAGCTATGCAAAAGCCCGGTCTTACAACTAGGCAATCTATGCCCAACCCTCTCTTTCAATTAGAGGCTTGATGAAGAATAGCATCAATTTAGAATTGGACTTCTCAAGAATTCATCTGTGTGGCATCAAGTCCATAAAATCTTCATTTGATGGCTGGAGTTCAATTAACAAGCAGCAAAGCATTTTTCTCAGCTTGAATTTTTCATTTATTTAATAAAATTAAGGTATATGAAAAGCATTGCACTTGACAGGGCTGTTGCAAGGAGCCTTTACCTGTTTTCTCCCTCTTGTTGAATGGGTGATTCATTCAAGAAACAGATACTGGGTTGCCATTAAGCAGCATCTACCGTATACGTGGGAGTAAGGAAACTAGTCCTAGGTCACTAGTTGTGGGGCCTTCAGAAAGTCACCTGCCCTTATTTGCCCCACTGACTGATCTCAAGGTCCCTCTCAGTTTAAGTTTCAGTGCAGGTTCCCGGTTAATGTTTGTTCATTTTCTGTTTTAAATATTTGGCTGTTAGTTTCTTCTTTAAGTGAAGAAAAGAAGTAAAGGAGTCAATTTCCTAAACTGTTCAACTGAAGACTCTGGTGGGACAGGGTCAGGTACATAATTTTCCAGGAGGGTAGAGTGGACACCAAGGGAGTCCCGGGACAGCAAGGGACCTGGAAGAAGGACTGGAAGACACAAGAGAAGAACCTGGAAACAAAACAGGCAATGGAAGGAAGGAGGTCAAACTTTCCTGGTTTGCGGGGGGAGGGGGGGTGCGGGGGCTGGTAGATTCTTTTTGCAATTGTACGGTTTTGTTTTCAAGGCTGTATCTTCCCCAAACCCCCTCCAATCTTTCATCCTCCCTATCCCCCAAACACATACCCCAGAAGACCAGAGAGAGGCCCTAGATAAACTGTATATAATCTTAGAACATGTGGAACACAAAAATTTTTGTAGATCTTTCTTATTTGATTGACTTTAGCAGGACCATTTAGGTTCCTTTATTAGTGCAAGTCAAATCTAGAGGCATTTAAGAATTTCCCATATATATTCATTCCAATGGGGATCTCTTTCAGAATCCCATCAGGTCCAGCCACTTCCTGATTTATGTTTAATCTGATTATACTAAAAGATTGATGGGGGACTGGGGGTGGAGATAGGGGTTGAGGTGGGGAGACAGGATGCATCACTAGGTACTTTCCATGATGTTTCAGACATTTGTTTCTGAAAACAATAGAGCTGAAGTGTATCCTAAAGAAAAAAAATTCTCAAATGACTCAAGACATACCCTCACCAATGGAGAGGAAAAAAGTCATTGTAGCACACAGGCAGTGAGTTAGAAGATAGGCTCCATTCATTATTCTGCCTTTAATTTGCTGTGTGACCTTACACAAGTCACTTTAGCTCTCCATCTCAGGTTTTCCTCATCATAAAAATGGCATATTACTGTCAGCCATGGTTGAGTTTTTTAGGGTCTTATTATATTGTGTTCATGAGAACATGTTGCGAATGTGATCCATTGATGGACAATACAGACATTACCCTAGAATTAAGTGCTATTTATAACACGACAGTTTTATAAGCTTACTTAAAAGCAGCTGTGTCTCATTAGAGACCTGGAACCATAAAAACCCTAGAAGAAAACCTAGGCAATACCATTCAGGACATAGGCATGGGCAAGGACTTCATGACTAAAATATCAAAAGCAATGGCAACAAAAGCCAAAATTGACAAATGGGATCTAATTAAACTAAAGAGCTTCTGTACAGCAAAAGAAACTATCATCAGAGTGAACAGGCAACCTACAGAATGGGAGAAAATTTTTGCAATCTATCCATCTGACAAAGGGCTAATATCCAGAATCTACAAGGAACTTAAACAAATTTACAAGAAAAAAAACAACTCCATCAAAAAGTGGGCAAAGGATATGAACAGACACTTCTCAAAAGAGGACATTTATGCGGCAAACAAACATATGAAAAAAAGCTCATCATCACTGGTCATTAGAGAAATGCAAATCAAAACCACAATGAGATACCATCTCACACCAGTTAGGATGGTGATCATTAAAAAGTCAGGGAATAAACAGATGCTGGAGAGGATGTGGAGAAATAAGAACACTTTTACACTGTTGGTGGGAGTGTAAATTAGTTCAACCATTGTGGAAGACAGTTTGGCAATTCCTCAAGAATCTAGAAACAGAAATACCATTTGACCCAGCAATCCCATTACTGGGTATATACCCAAAGGATTATAAATCATTCCACTATAAAGACACATGCACACCTATGTTTATTGCAGCATTATTCACAATAGCAAAGACTTGGAGCCAACCCAAATGCCCACCAGTGATAGAGTGGATAAAGAAAATGTGGCACATATACACCATGGAATACTATGCATCCATAAAAAAGGATGAGTTCATGTCCTTTGCAGGGACATGGGTGAAGCTGGAAACCATCATTTTCAGCCAATTAACAGAGGAACAGAAAACCAAACACTGCATGATCTCACTCATAAGTGCTAGTTGAACAATGAGAACACATGGACACAGTGAGGGAAACATCACACACCGGGGCCTGTTGGGGGGTGGGGGGCTAGGGGAGGGATAGCATTAGGAGAAATACCTAATGTAGATGATGGGTTGATGGGTGCGGCAAACCACCATGGCACGTGTATACCTATGTAACAAACCTGCACGTTCTGCACATGTATCCCAAAACTTAAAGTATAATTGTTAAAAAAGAATATCCTTAATAATGTGGTTTAGGGACAGATGGCCATACAAAAATAACCAAGTTTACCAAAATGATGGTTAAAATGCCACATTTCTCTGAACATTGTCACTGAGCAACAGGAGTGAAATTCAAGATTTTTATGTCCTCTTCCTCAGAACTAAAGAGTAAAGGAAAATAACAGTATAAGAATCAGCTAAAAAAAATCTGTTTGCTGATCATTTTATTTTAATTAAACTAAAGCTTTAACATAGGAATATTTTGACTTCTACCTTAATAGACTAGAACTTAAAGTATTAAAAAAAACAAACTCACAAAGCTGTGTTCTCTTTTCCCCTATGCTGGACAAAATAGGACTTCTTAAATTATTTTATCTTCCACCTTTTTCATCTGTAAAATAAAAATTTCAACATTAAAAAAAGAAATTTATGTATTTATTTATTCTCCAAATATTAATGAGGACATTTATTATGGACTCTGTGTTAGGTATAGAAGGTATAAGTTGAAACATATTATTTTTATCTTGCAATCACAACCTAGTCTCCCATACCTTGACAATAGATTGACTCTATTACCAACAAATAGTGCTTTCAATAATAGGAAGTAGTAAATATTGTTCAACAAGGGACCAAGTTCTCTACTAAGATACTTCTCACTTCTTGCATGTACAGTGTTATTTTCTTAAGCTAATTTAATATAAATGAACCCATATTTAAAATTAAAATGTATTCTTACTTTAGCTCCCAATTGTTTTAAAGCATACTTCTTTTTTTTTATTATACTTTAAGTTTTAGGGTACATGTGCACAACGTGCAGGTTAGTTACATATGTATACATGTGCCATGTTGGTGTGCTGCACCCATTAACTCGTCATTTAACATTAGGTATATCTCTAAAAGCATACTTATTTTTCATTTGCTTTATATTTGGACCAGGACTTTCTTATATATTTTTATTGCATGTTTGTTTACCTGGGCATTTCTAATCTTCTTTTTATCTGTCATCTGACATTTTCCTATTCACAAATTATCCTAACCTTTCAGTTAGAATTTCTCCTTCTTCAAGACTCCCTTTTCCTTAGCAACCTTTTCACTGAAGGCCATAAGCCTCCTCCAATTGTGAACAATTGCCTTCTAATGTGTTACAGAGGCTTCATTCATGCTATTCTTCAAAGATTTGCACACTTTATGGTTTCCTGGATTACTTGCCTTCCTCTTTTGGGATTTATTCTCTCCTTTGACTGTAATATATCTTCCAATATTCCCCTATGAAAAATACACGAGAGATAAATGTTATGTGGCCTTCCATGTTGAAAATCTTCATTATTTTATTTTACTTGAATGACAGTTTTTCTGGGTATAAAATTTTAAAAGCATTGTACCTTTTTCATCTAGCATCCATTGGCTTTGATAAAATATATTATGCCAGAATGATTTTGTTATTTATATGTATTTTGTCTTTTATAACTTTTTTCTTCTCTACAAGTTTTTAAGGTGTTCTGTTTAATGTTCTGAAATTTTGTCATAATATGTATATTCATGAATCCTTTTATTCTCATTGTGCAGAGTAATCAGGGAGGCCTTTTATGTTGCTGGACATGACTTCTCACATCCCTTTTTTCATGTGTGGAACAAATAAACATCTAGTTTTTTGTGAAAAAAAAAAAAGTATATAGCTTCTCTAAGTTTTTAGTGGGACCTATTTGGGTGTCCCCTGTCTATATGCCATTGGGTATGAAAGAATTTTCTAGTGGTGTGTGGATTTAAGAGGATTTTGAAAATCTCATCAAAGTTGCAATTAGTGTATTAAGAAATCACTTGAAATATCTGTTCAGGGTTCTTACTTAGATTTCTTTATAATACAGTAGAAAAAAAAATTCCTCCTCATTGCACCCTCGGTTTCTCAGAGACTTTGCTTTTTTGCATCATTCTCTCTCCACTACAGGATCATTCCCATCAGCATCCAAGCATTTGGTCATCTTAGAAAAGGCCTTTCTTCATCCCGCATTCTCCTCCAGCTGCTGCTCACTTTCTCTGCTCTCCTTCTTAGCAAAATTGCTTGAAAGAACTATCTACACACATTGCCTTCATTTTCCTCATCTTACAATACTACCAGTATCTGTAACTCCAAAACTTCTCTTCTAGGTCACCTTTGTCTGACTGACTGCAATGGTCACTTCTCTGTCCTCATCGAGTTTAATGCAGCAGCATTAAACATAGTTGGTTACACCTTCTTTTTTGACATACATTTTTCTCTTGGCTGCTGTGACCCCCACATTCCTGATTTTCTTTTTTATGTTTCTCTGGCTACCCCTCTGAGTCTCCTTAGTAAGTTTCTGTACAGAGAAGCAACTAACAGCACAGACTCTCTCAAGTCGTGCTGTCCAATATGGTAGCCACTAGTCGCATTGTGCCTATTACACTTAATAAAATTACATCAGATTAATTAATAAAATTAGATATTTATTTAATAAAATTAAAAGTAACAATTCAGTTCCTCAGTCCCATTAGCCATATTTTAATTGTTCAACAACATGTGACTAGGAACACATGAGACAGCAACACACAGAACATTTCCATCATTGCAAAAACTTCTGTTAGATGGTGTTGCTTAGATCAGACTTCTATCTGCCACTCCACAGCTGAATGACCTTAGGCAAGTTACTTAATCTCTCTTAACCTCAATTTCCCTTTCTGTAAATGAGGCTAATAATATCTTCTTTATAGATTGTGGCAAAGATGTAATGAGCTCTTGTATGTATAGTGAGTGCCATATAGGAGTTCGCTATGATTGCCCAATCTTTATACATGAAGAATTTCCCATTACTTAGACTGGGCTCTCTTCTCTTCTCACTCAACTCTTTCTCCCTAGCTAAATTCATCTTGGATAAGTCTCTTTACCTTTCTGTGAACTTCTCATCCTCATGATAAGATGAAGATAATGACAGCACCTATTTCACTTGGTTGCTGTGAAAATTAAATGAGATGATACATATAAAACACTTGGAACATTGCCTGGCACATAGGTCATAGTCAGTAGGTGATAACCACTGTTAGTATTACAATCCTCTTTCCCATTACTTTAAACATCATCTATGTACTAAGAACTCCCAATTTCTAAACTCAAGGTCAGAGACCTCACTGAGCTCCAGACTGCTTGCTTGACATCTCCACTTGGATTTCTCACACAGGTATCTCCAAAACCTATCTAAAACTGAGTTTCCTTCTCTTTTCTCAATCCCAGCCACAGTTGCTTCTCCTCTAGTCTTCCCCATTTTTGGACATCTCTTCCATACCCATATCAAATCTATCACCTGTACAATTGATTACACTTTAAAATATATTTTGAAACAGCCTACTTTCCCCAGCTCCACTGTCACCTTTGCAACCCTCATGTCTTTGCCTAGACTATGGCTCAGCCTCCTGACTGGCCTCCTGCTTCCACTCTCGTCACCATCCCCATAGCCATTCTCTACAACACTGCCAGAGGAAACTTCCTAGAATAGAAATCATATCTTATCTCTTTTCTTCCTCAAACCCTGCAATGGTTTCTCATTGCAGTTAGGATAAAATACAAAGTCCTTATATTCTGACTAATGCCTACGTCTCTGAGATCATCTATTACTCTTCCCATTACTCACTCTTCTGATTCAGCAAAACTGGCCTTAGAGTAGTACCCAAATACAACATGTGCTTTCGCACATTAGAGCCTTTATAGCATTCTACTTCTTTGTGTGGAACTCTCTTCTTCATGTAGTTCACTTGGTTAAGCCTACCCACCCTTCAGGTTTCTTCTTAAATCTTACCTTCTTAGAGAGGCCTTCTCTAATAATCCTCTAATTTAAGTCAGATGCCCCTCTAGAATTCTCTCACCAAACCCTGTCTCTTCCTTCATATCATTTATCAACACTAATTAGACACCATCAGAACATCTACCATTTTTATAACCACCGAAGTTCCTTCCCTCCTAGCACAGTGCCTGCCTGCGAGTCAGAAAGCCTACGGTGTGTGATCTTGGCAAGTCCTTTTCCAGGCCTCAGGTTTCTTGTCTTTACCTTGAGGAGGTTGGATTAGATTTATTTGCTCAATAAGCCTCTGTTGAATGTGAAAAAGGACACACAAGGTCTGGGCCAACATGAAGCTTACATTCTAATAAGGAACACAGGTAATCAAATAAGCAAATCTAATAATTATATATTGTGATTAGTGCTACAAAAGACACCAAAAAGATGTGTGATAGAAAAGTATGATGATGGGGGACTTTGAGGTGGTGACATTGAAGATAAATGATAATAAAGAACCAGCCAAACCCAAATGATAGCTAAGATCTATTTTGTTTGGACATTCTATGATTCTGTATAAAATATGCCACACATAGCTAAATATGCCAAGCATCATAAAGGAGGGAGCTGCCTCATTAAAGCTGGCACCAAGGGCTTTGTGCTATCAGTTGAGGTATATGAGAGTCTTATTCTTCCTCTCAGGATAATGTCAGTAGATGAAATCAACCTGACAGAATAGTTTTAAGAAACCAGTATGGTAATGAATTTAACGTTCATAGCACAATCACCATAATAAGTGTATACAACATTTTTAAGACCTCCAAATTCAAGATTGTAGTTACTTCTGGAGGCACAGAGATGTAATTGGGGCAGGATATAGAAAGATTCAAACATATTGGTAAGGTTTTATTTTCTAACCTGGAATTCAAATCCCACCTCTGCCACTCTACCAGCTGAGTGAGTGAACTTAGGCAAGCTACATAACTTTAAGTAGCTACTTAATCGGTAATAGGTACGTGGATGTTCATGGTATTACTTCATATCTTTAAAAATATTTGAAGTATTGCATAATAATTCTAAAATGTAATTAATATGAAGCCTATGCAAGCATTCAATAAATGATAGCAATTATTATTACGTAATGATCACAGCACCTAAGTAATGGTTGAAAGCTAGGGCAATGGAGACTCCCAGGCCTGGGTTTAAATCCTGGTTCTGCCAATTACAAGCTCTGTGCCCTGGGGTAACTTAATAACCACCTTCTCAAGAATTTTGCTCCTTCAGTTATTCCCTCTCTAACTGTCATCAAGGTTTAAGTAAAATAATGTATGGGATATAGTAAATGCTCAAAAACATATTAATTATCGTTAACATCATTTTTATTCTCCTCAATCCCATGCACAGAAAAAAGAAAGAGTTAGGAACAAGTGAATGGAAAGGATAAAGTGGGTCTCCTATTCTCTGCTCCCTCCCTTTCTATTCCTTTTCCTTGCTGAAGGAAGATGGCATATGCTGAAAACTGTTCTCTCCAAGAGAAGCAGCATGAGGTCCTTCGATGGCAAGCCTGCCTGGGAGTTGGAGATGAGCTGCTAGAAAGGGCTTTGACTCCAAGTTAAAATAGACCAAGGCAAATCTCAGGAACATTCTCATCAGGGTCTGAAATCAAAGTAGACTTAAAATAAATGGATAAAAGTTAAGAATTTTTAAAGAATTGTAATTGCAAATTAGACACTGTTACCTTTTAAAGTTGCTAGAGTTGAATATATTATTTGAAATGAGCAATAAAAATGAAATGTTATTTAATCCTTTTCATAATTATTGAAATGCAGATTAAAAGAAGATACCAGAGTGGAAGAAACTGAAATGTTGACAATCCACAAAACTGAGGAGGCTATGGGACATCAGGCAAACTCACATTGTGGGTTGGAGAATAATTTAGTACAGTCTCTTTGGAGAGCATTTAATTCATCAATGACTTCTGAAAATTTAAAATAACCATTAACCCAATCATTCCACTCCTAGGAATTTGTCCTACAGATAAACTAGTATGCTAAGACATATACATAAAGTTGTTCCCTGAAATATGTTTTGGAAAAGCCAAAAACTGGAAGCAACCTAAATGTGCATAAAGAAGTGGTTAATGATCATATGATTCAATCATTCAACAAATATTCAGTACTATTTGGTACTCTTTAAGCAGGCACTGGGGAGATAGCAATAAACAACACAGACAAAAATCTATGCCCTCACAGAGCATGTTATTATGTTATCCCTGCAATGGAAAAATATGGCATACCTAAAATATAGAAGGAAGATCTATAAACATTGATAGGTTTTCAAGAGATATGAATAAGCGAAAAACGCAAGGTGCAGAACAGTGTAGCTAGATAGATAGAGAGCTAGATAATATGATCCCATTGGATATTGGAACAAATATTGGAAAAAATATTTTATATTTATTAAAAATTATATTTATATTTATGTTTATATTTATTATTTATATTTATTAAAAATTCTGGAGAATATAAAAGGAACTTAATGGTCATTTTGGGGAATGGTATCGAGGTCAGAAAAAAAGACTGATTTTAAGTTTTAAACCTTTATATATGTATTGTTTTATTTTGTCACATACATGAATTATTTTTATTTAAAATAACGATCTGAAATATGGTTTGGCATTTTTCTGGTTATCCATTGTTGTATGACAGACTACCTCAGAGCACAGCAGCTTAAAACAACCATTTTATTATATCTCATGGTTTCACAATTGTTCAGAGCTCAGGTGGGCAATTCTTCTACTTTAAATGGCATTAACTGATGTCATTCAGTGATATTCAGTTAACCGGTATGGAGGGTTCAGAACAACTTCACTCACATGTCTAGTGCCTTGGCAGGAATGGCTGTACTAGCTGAACTTTTCTGTCTTTAAGTAACTCTTGGAAATCCCATGTGGTCTCTCCAAGATAGTCAAACTTTTTATATGATGACTCAGAGCTCCAAGAGACCAAGAAGGAAACTGCAAGTTCTTTAGACCACAGGCCTAGAATAAGCTTGATGTCACTTCTGTCATACTCTATTTATCTTCTATAATGAAGCTAATTAGAGTATTAAGTCTAATGATCCAATTAGATGTAATTAGATTAACTTAAAGCAGCTGTACACCAGTGAAGATTTGGGGAATAGGAATTGGAGACAGACCCAGCTTCTCTATGGGAAAAGTATCAAGAAATTTGTGGCTATCTTTAATCCAATGCAGACATCAAGATCAGTGCCTTAATATAAGTTGTATCTTTGATCATTCAAATTAGGACTAAAAAATAGTGTGGATGGTTTAGGATAACTTGAATGAAAACCTAAGAAAAGATAGGTTGAAGACATGAATGTGATCTCTTCATATAGGAGGCTGCAGAAAGCCTATCAGAGTAGCAGAGTGGTAAATCCTTTTTACTTACTCTGATGGATTGATAATGCCCGCCTCTATTCTCCTCCCTACCTTCTTCATCTCTCTGAACCATGTCAGGGTAAAAAGCTTATTCCTCTGGTAGGGACCATGTCTTTTCTTTTTTGGCTCTGTGTATCTCCCTTCCCAAGTAGCTGGGACTATAGGTGAACATCACCATGCCCAGCTAATTATTTTTATTTTTTGTAAAGAGAGGGTTTCACCATGTTTCCCAGGCTGGTCTTGAACTCCTGGGCTCAAGTGATCCATCCACCTCAGATTCCAAAAGTGCTGGGATTACAAGCATGAGCCACTGCACTCAGCCCAGAACTACTCATTTATGAACTAGGTCCTTAGGTGGTGATTAGGGCAAAAAACAAAGTTGGTAATCTCCATGCAAATCACATATCCAACTTTTTACTTTGGCATTTTACCTTAATCAAAGTAGAATCATAGGAACTCATTCTGTAAAGCCAATATTACCTTAATACCAAAAGTCAATGAACACATCACAAGAAAAGAAATATACAGGTCAATATCCCTAATAAATATAGATGCAAAAGCCCTTAACAAAATCGTAGAAAACTAAATCCAGCAAGGTATAGAATGAATTATACACCATGACCAACTGTGATTTATCCAAGAAATGCAAGGTTGGTTTAACATATGAAAATCAATCAATGAAATGCATCATATTGAAAGGATAAAAGACAAAAATTACATGATTATCTCAGTAAATGAAGAAAAGGCATCTGATTAACTCCAACACCCTTTCATTGTGAACACAATCAGCAAACTAAGAATAGAAGGGAACTTCTTCAACCTAATAAAGGTCCTCCATCTATTAAAAAAAAAACATAGCTAACATCAATGCTTAATGATGAAAAACTGGATATTTTACCGCTAACACCAGTGATAAGGATCTCCATTCTCACAAGTTCTATTCAACATTGTCCTGGAGGTTCTTGCAAGGGCAATTAGGCAAGGAAAACAAGCAAAAGACATCCAGATTGGAAAGGAAGAAGTAAAATTGTCTCTATTCTCAGATAACATGATTGTTGTATCTAGAAAATTTTAAGGAATACACTTAAAAGTTATTAGAATTAATAAAGGAGTTCAGCAAGGTTGCAGGATACAAGGCCAACATGCAAAAATCATTTGTACATATACTCCTCAATTTACAGTGGGGTTACATCCCAACAAACTCATTGTAACTTAAAAATATTGTAAGTCAAAAATGTATTTAATATGCCTAATCCACTGAATGGAATAGCTTCACCTAGCCTACCCTAAAGGTGCTCAGAACACTTATAATGTTACAGTTCAGCAAAACCACTGGGCAACACAGTATGCTGTAGAGTATGGGTTGTTGGTGCCTGACTGAGAGCTGTGGCTCACTACTGTGGCCCAGCATCTCAAAAGTGTATCATACTCCAAATCTCTAACCTAAAAAGAGGTCAAAATTCAAAATTAGAAGTACAGTTTCTACTAAATGTGTATCATTTTTGCACCATTGCAAAGTTGAAAAATCATAAGTCAAACCATAGTATGTTGGGGGACCATCTTTATTTCTGTATAATAACAATAAGGAATCTTAAAATAAAATAAAAGCATAAAACAATTCTGTGTTAATAGGCCTGCTTTACTTATTAAAAAATAACAATAAAATACTTATGAACAAATTTATCCAAATAAGTGAAAATGTTCTACACTGAAAATGACAAAACATCATTCAAAGGAATTCAAAGTGACCTAACTAAATAGAAAGTCATCTCAGGTTCATGGATTGGAAAACTTCATATTATTAAGGTAGCAATACTCCCCAAACTAATCTACAGATTCAATACAATTCCTATCAAAATATCAGCTTGATTTTGTGTAGAAATTGACAAGCTAAATCTAAAATTCCGATGGAAATGCAAAGGAATCAGAATAGCCAAAGCAGTATTAAAAGAGAAGGAAAACTCATACTTCCGATTTCAGAACTTGCTACAAATCTATGATAATCAATACAGTGTGGTACTGGCATAGGAATACACATATATATCAATGGAATAGAACGAAGAATCCAGATATAAACCCTTACATTTATGGACAATTGACTTTTCAACAAGGATACCAAGACCATTCAATGAGGGGAAATAATAGACTTTTCAAGAAATGGTGCTACAACAACTGGATATTCACATCCAAAAGAATGAATATGGACCTATATCTCATACCACTTTCAAAATTAACTCAAAACAGAACAAAGGCCTAACTATAAGAGCTAAAATTATAAAACTCTTAGAGGAAAACCTAGGGGTAAATCTTTTTGATGTTGGATTTATCAATGTATTCTTAAATATGACACCTAAAACAGAAGCAAAAAAAAAAAAAAGAAAAAGGAAAATAGATAAATTAGATTTGATCAAAATTATTTTTGTACTTCAAAGAATGTCATCAAGAAAGTGAAAAGACAACCTACAGAATGGGAGAAAATATTTAAAAATCATATATCCAAAAAGGGTCTTGTATCCAGAACACATAAAACAATCTTACAGCTCAACAACAACGAGGACAACAACAGCAAATAACCCAATTAAAAATAAGCAAAGGATGGCTGGTTGCAGTGGCTCACACCTGTAATCCCAGTCCTTTGGAAGCCGAGGCAGGCAGATCACTTGAGGTCAGGAGTTCAAGAATGCCTGGCCAACATAGTGAAACCCCATCTCTCCTAAAAAATACAAAAATTAGCAGGGTGTGGTGGCAGGTGCCTGTAATCCCAGCTACTCAGGAGGCTGAGGCAGGAGAATCACTTGAACCTGGGAGGCGGAGGTTGCAGTGAGCAGAGATCGCACCACTGCACTCCAGCCTGAGTGACAAAGTGTTACTCCATCTCAAAAAACAAAAAAAAAAAAGAAAAAAGAAAAAAAAAAAACCAAGCAAATGATTTCAATGCACATTTCTCCAAAGGAGATGTAAAAACAGCCAATAAGTACACAAAAAGATGTTCGAAATCATCAGTCATCAGGGAAATGAAAATCAAAACCACAATAAGATAGCACTTTACTCCCACTAGGACAGCTATAACAAAAAGTGGAAAATAAGTATTGAGGAAGATGTTGAGAAAATTGAAACCATTGTACATTGTTGGTGGGAATGTAAAATGATGCAGTCATTCTGGAAAGCCTGGCAGTTCCTCAAAAGGTTTAAACATAGAGTTAATATTTGACTCAGCAATTTTGAGATATATACCCAAAAGAAATGAAAATATGTCCACACAAAAATGTGTACACAAATATTTATAGAAATATTATATAATAATAGCCAAAAAGTAGAAACAATTCAAGTATTCATCAAATGATAAATGGATAAATAAAATGTGTTACATTTATACCATGGAATATTATTCAGACATGAAAAGAAATAAAGTACTGGTACATGCTACTACATGTATACATCTTGAAAACTTCTCGCTCAGTGAAAAAGCCAGACACACAAAAAAACACATATTATATGATTCCATTTACATAAAATATCCAAAATAGGTAAATCCATATTGACAGTGGTTACCAGCAGCTGGGAGCAAAGGGAAATAGTCACTGACTGCTAATGGGTAAGAGGTTTCTTTTTGGGCTGATGAAAATGTTCTGGGGCAGGGTGCGGTGGCTCCCTGTAATCCCAGCACTTTGGGAGGCAAAGGTAGGCGGATCACCTGAGGTCAGCAGTTTGAACCATGGCGGAAACCCCTCCTCCACACCCTGTCTCTACTAAAAATACAAAAATTAGTTGGGCGTAGTGGCGCGAGCCTGTAGTCCCAGCCACTTGAGAGGCTGAGTCAGGAGAATCGCTTGAACCTGGGAGGCAGAGGTTGTAATGACCTGAGATCGCACCACTGCACTCCAGCCTGGGTGACAGAGGGCGGCTCCATCTCAAAAAAAAAAAATTCTGGAATTGGATAGTGGTGATGGTTAGACAATGTTGTGATTATACTAAAACCCGGTGATTATATGCATTAAATGGGTACATTTGATAATATAAGAATTATATATCAACGAAACTGTCATTTTCAAAAAGTAGAATCAGTCCCACAACCAACTAGGAAAAATTTGCTGAATCTTTAGCTTTTACCCCAGCTAGCAGGACTAGTGGCTTGCTTCCCTTTCTTCAACACCTGCCCCAAGTATTTACTCATTCTTTTATCTATGGCAGAAATATTATGTTTACCAGTCAGCCTTGTCCTGAGTGAAGAACACTGGACATTTGAGCATCCACACTAGTTACACCTTCCCTCATGTTATGTTTGCACAGGGAACAACTTTCTCAAAAATGAGTCAAGCAAGACTCAAAAATCAATCTGAGGCAACAGAGAGAAAGGGAAGTATTGGAGCACAAGCTATATGTGGTTGGATGGCCTTGTTGTTCCCAAATCCTTTTGTACAATTGAGAATACCCAAGGAAACCTAGACATTCCCTCTCCTACTCTCTTTCATCATGATAGGTGGGGGAATATTTCTGAAGTCTTCCAATTAGAATCTAATATATTATCAACTCACAATAGTGAACCTGAGACATTCTCAGTGAAAACTGGCAACCAGAGAATGGTTCAGGGCTACTTCTGTCACCTACTCTAATATTTAACAGCTCTTGCCGTTAGAAACAATTTTGAATATTTATCTAGGTTCCTCATGCTTCAGGTAAACTAAATAACCTCGTGTTACATCTTCAGTGGAGATTGACAAACGATACTGTTGACTTACATTTGAAAAATGGTGCCTAGAAGGAAACACCAGTAGGAACTAGGATTTATTCAGAAGATGGCAGATTGTTAGTCTCCAAGCATTTTAAATCCCTCTGAAGATAGGGTTGCCCTAAACTGGTCATAGGTCCCCGGGCAAAACTGCATAAATTGTATGGAGAGATAGTTAAAGAAGGGGAATTTACAGCCAACTCTTGTGAGTTAAGCTACCACTTCCCATAAGCTAACACAGTGAGAGAGATTCAGGCAAGTACCACTAGCAGAGTGCCCTCCAAGTGGTAAAGCACTTTGGAAAACACATTTCCCATGAACCATCACTGCCATCTGCCCAGGCCACCTTACCTAACTGAAATTGATTGGAGACATTCCCACATGTTTGCATTATCTCCGGGCTATTCCATCCTAAAGGGTATAAGGCACAGCCTGAGCTTATCAGCAGCCCTAGAAAGAAAGCATACACACAGACAGAAAAAATATAACGTCTTCTGTCACCCCAACATTCCCTTTGGATTAGTTCAGCTCAAATTCTGCCTCCTCAACTGAGCTTACACTTCCCCCTTTACCCTAAATTTCTATGAGAGTACCAACTCAACAGGATTTTATTTTTGGCCATGCCACAGGTAGTGGAGTGTAATAGGTAGCAGAGGGGACAACTCATAAATTTAAAAAATGTTGAAAAATGAGACAGGCCAATATACTTTTTACAGCCAAAATACTTTTGTCAATGACTTACAAGGCTGGGTTGGCTTTTCCAACCTCTTTTGCCTTGGTCTGATACACAGAGAATAACAATGTAAATGTTACTACTCTTTCCCAAAATCCAGCTGTTTCTAAACATCAGGCAGGTCCCTACCAGCTGAAAATATGTAATGATTCCTGTAACTTGGAGTCAGCTGCTGGACCGATGAGCAGGGAACCACACTCCTCCCCCGATAAATCATTCCAGCTTTATACCAAGCAGTCCTCCCCTCTTTGGTTTCCATATGCCTTACACCATGACGCCTTACGCTAAATAAAAGGATGAAGGCCCTTTTATTTAGGTTTTTTAGTCATTACAGGGAAATTTTGTTGTACCTTAGTGATAATCTTATTCTTCCAACCAGAGATACAAATCTGGGTCTGCTTGCCAACACTGCCTTCTAAGGGCAACTATGTTGCTCACAACTTTTTCTTGCTGCGTACGTTTTCACATTTTATATCCTACGGCTCTTACCCTGCCTCTGGCCACAGAGGATTGTATCAAGCATTGGCATCTGACAACTAAGACAAATTCATTGGCTGGTCAGTGATGGGTGACATTGTAGCCTGGCATGAAGAGGTGACCTGGGCTAGTTTCTTGTTTCTGGAATTTTTAATTGAGAAGCATAAAGATGACTGGTCTGAAGGTAGTGAGTTGTCTCAATTGATTGTTCACAGTCAGTTATGGATTGAACTTATTGTTCTACTCTTTCCCCGTTCTCACTACTGCACTTGACTAGTCTGTTTAAAAATGGAGGGGAAAAAATCATAAAGATGCTGAGCTAGTTAACAGATAATGCAGAAGTTGAAAACAACCCCACAACACCAGAAGGTAGAATCAAGTCTGTGTCAAGCTAAAGCCAAGTTCAATTCAAAGTTATGAGTGAGTATCAATTCTGGATAAGCTGAGCAAACTGATTGGTAGAGGGAGAGAATAGAGGAGAATAGTGACATGAAACAGACATACCATGAGAAAAACTCCATACTGTCAGTGAAACTGCTAGAAAAAAGAGAAGCCAGGCCTTCCTGATGGCTTTCCAAATCTACTTTCCTTATGTTATAATAAATTCCCTTTTCACTGAGGCAACTCAAGTGAGTTTCTGCTACTTGCAACCAAAAGAGCCTAATTACAATCACGCCATACTTGGGTGCCACACTAATGAACATGGGAGGGACACTTGTCATGAATGTGGACACAGAAAGTAAGACATAGCACAGAACCATCACAAAGCAGCTGCTTGATCAATGGTGAATGAATAGCATATTTATAGGTTCCAGAGCTCTGGGGCTCAACTGGACAGTGAAAAGCGGGCTGCTCTAGGGACTGCCAGCTTCATCTTCACTTCTCTTTCCTCACTGAGGAAGAGTCCATATATACTCTAAGAAACTCATATTGCCTTCAGATGAATCCTTTAGGAAGATCTCAAAGTAGCCTCCAAGCTTGGCTGCCCCACGGCAACTAGCTTTTCTCAGTACTCATTGAGGCCGCAGAAGAAGAGAAGGACCTTAAGAAATAGCAAGAAGGATTTAAATAAGAAAATAGGGAGAATTTACTGACAGTGAGAATGGTTTTAGAAACTAAAACAATGACCAATTAAGGTTAGAAATTCTCTTCAGTGGAATGCTTAAAATTAGAAAGCATTCTTATCTGTCTCGTGGTATCACAGGAAGTGAAACTGGTCACTCAAAGACCTTTCTAGGCCCTGGAATTCATCCAGTGGCAATACAACAACACCCCCTGTTTTTTCCACAGATAAACTGAAATCCTAGGATATGAAGAGGTCGTCCAGAGTACGCACATTGGGTTAAGGACAAAAGTAGAAATGAAACCTAAGCCTTTTCCTGCTGCCAGTATATACCCTTTGAGGGAAAATTTAATAAAGACTGAGTTTTCCCACACAGACTAGGAAGAAAAGAACACAAGTTTATAAAAGAACACCAGCTCTATTTTCTAACCTTCACATTCAGATCCCTGGGACTGGCACGAACTCTGCCTTCTCAAGCGGAAACTAGAGCTGGCCAAGTGCCTTTCTTGGCACAGTAGAGGGAACCTTCCATCTTCTTCAGACCCCTGCCCCTCAGATCTTACCATACTGAGGAGCCCAGGTCAAGGATTTCCTTCTCCAGGAAGTCTTCCCTCGCTATCCCCAACCCCCAGGCTAAATTACACGCTCCTTCTTTCTGTTCCCATAGCACCCAGTGCTTACTCCTGTGACTAAAATAGCCTGTAATATATATTCTTTACAAAAGTTTATCATCTGCCTCCCTCACTAGAGTGTGTATTCCTTGAAGGCAGGAGACATACTTATCTTCAATTCTGTGTCCTTGGCACATGGTAGATAATAGGTACTCGATAAATGCATCTGTTTCAGAGTATGCACAGTCTATATAACAGACAGCTTCCTTTGCCCACACTGCCCAAGGGGAAAGTCCCTTCTGAAGGGACTTCCATGTCAGGGCTGGGAAATCATCCCAGACATCTGACACCATAAAAAAAAAATAGAAAGGAAAACGTTTTTGGACATAACCTACGCTAATCTCTCCTTGTTACAGATGTGAATGTTGAAACACAGAAAGGGAAAATGATTTACCCAAGGTCACATAGCTAGTAACTAGCAATGCCCTTTTTCCCCGATCAAAGAGATCATCAACAACCCTTAGAGGCTCTGTCCTTCTAGAGACATGTGTCCTGGGATGATTACCTCTTGGCAACAATATCTCTAGCAAGGCACTAGGAATTTGCTAGGCATTAGATTGAGAGTTGCAGCACAACATGGTGGCTTAAAACAATGGGTTCTGTAGTCAGACTGCAGAACTAGACCTGAATTCAAATTCCAGCCCTGCCACCTGAAAGCTGTGTGAGTTTACGCAAGTTACTTAATTTCTCTGTGCCTCATTCACCTCATCTGTAAAATCAGAGTAATAATAATACACTTGTCCCTCGGTATTCACAGGGGATTGGTTCCAGGACCCCTGCAGATAGCAAAACCTGTGCATACTCAAATCCCTTATACAAAATGATGTAGTGTTTGCATATAACCTAGCACATCTTCTTGTATATTTTAAACCATCTCTAGATTACTTATAATACCTAATGCAATGTAAATGGTATGTAAATAGTTGTTGTATTCTTGTTGGATTTTTAAAAATATTTTTGAGTTATGGTTGGTTGAATCTGTGGACACAGAACCTACAGATACGGAAGGCTGACTGTATTTTATGGAGGTGTTCCAAGAATTAATATACATAAAGTGCCTCGTACATAGCAAGTGCTCAAGAAAAATTTATTATTCTTATACAGCTGACTCTCCCTGTGGCTCCTCTCCCAGTTTCTACCTGTGTTCTCCATGCTAATTTCTTCCTCATCTCTTTAACCTCATAACAAACAGCTAAAAAGTCAAAACCTGAACAGGGCTTGATTCAAAAGCTGCCTTGTTGGAGTTATCTTGCAATTTTGCACAGGTACCCGCTGAAAGAACAGGAATCTCTGCAAAGCATTTGTTCAGGTCTAGTGCATGTAGCTCCGTGCTCTGCCCAACCTGCCCTCCCACCCCCGCCATCTTCCCCAGTACTCCATCCTCCCTTTTAGACAGGTGAGCACATTAGGTTGTAAACATACTTCATGGACATATTTGACTTGTAACTGACAGCTGATTCCATTACATTTTATCATAGCTGGAGAAAGATGCCCCTGGGAACACATTAAAAATAAAAATGGATTCATAGAGTAATTCATTCTCAATTATATTTGTCTCCAGCAGTTCTCATTAATTTGGAGTTGTGAAGATGTGCTTCAAGTAGCAACAGGGAAGTCATTTACAAGTGTCAGTCCCTGCCACCTTCTGAAAGAATGGAGGTTCATTAAAAATGTGGATTCTTGGACCTCAGCCCCAGGTATTTGATTCAGTAACTGCAGCCCAGGAATATGCATTTTAAAAGCACCCTGTAATGTGGACGTATCTTGTCCTGGTACCAACATTTAAGAAAAACACCACTAAAAATGTTAAGAGCAGAAGCTCTGGTGGCAGAGAAAACTTGTTTAAATCCCAGCCCTGCCACATATGAGCTGCAGCCCTGGCTCTCACTTCTCTTCTGTGTCATTGCTAACTCCCAGTTTGACTTCCCCTCCAACCACATATGCCCCTTGAAGAAGTCTGTCTCTTTTTTTTTTTTTTTCCTTTTTTTTGAGTCGGAGTCTCACTCTGTCACCCAGGCTGGAGTACAATGGCACGATCTCCGCTCACTGCAACCTCCGCCTCCCAGGTTCAAGCGATTCTCCCGTCTCAGCTTCCCTAGTAGCTGGGATTATAAGTGCGTGCCATCACACCTGACTAATGTTTGTATTTTTAGTAGAGACGGGGTTTCACCATGTTGCCCAGGCTGGTGTCAGACTCCTGAGCGCAGGCAATCCACCTGCCTCGGCCTCCCAAAGTGCTAGGATTACAGGCGTGAGCCACCGCGCCAGGCCTGAAGAAGTCTGTTTCAACTGCATATGCTTAGCTGGGAACTTTTCTAATCTCACATGCCTCTAGGAAGGAAAAGAAAGCCTTTAGAGTGTGTTACTGTCTTTACTCCCCTACTACACGTGGGAAGATGTCCAATAGGCTGCCATTTTGTTTCTCTTCCTCAGCTGCTCCCCTCCCTAAGAATCCCCTATCACAAAACATACCAAATGTTCTCCCCGACATAGTTGCCATGGTTTGAATTTACTGAGCTGACCAAGAAGAGGGCTGGAGTTAGACATTTTATTCAGCTTCAGCCCTTGTGGAAACTGGGACACCAATACACACCTTCAGGTGCAAAATCTGAGACAGAACTTGGAGCCCTCCTTCCAGCCACACCACAGCTGCCTTCAACTTTCCCCTGTTCCCAGCATTACTAATTGCCCATATCCCAGCTGCTATATAATCCTCTCCCAACTACACATTCTCAAATAGGTAGATGCCTAATCTTTGTCTTCTGGCAGGGATAACCTCCTCATTGGGTATTACCAACTCCCTTTGCACACCCCTCCACTATTCACAAGTGCAACTGTTGGGTGGGCATTTGTTAAACTTCCTGCTCTTGTTCTCAATTCCCTTGTCTTTGCATAGCTGCCAATCCTACTTTCCAAACATAATTATTGGGTAGCTTGGATTTACTGCCCTGAGCAGAAGCCTAGTATGGGTTAATTTGTTATTATAACAACTTCGACTCAAACACAAACCAGTGGAAAATTTACAAGCCTGACTTTCAACTATATCTCAGCTTTCCCTTCCTAGGGAGTTCCTTCACTTACCACCCCCCCAGCCCCCGCCATTCATTCTACCCCATATTCCTCTTGGAGTTACAGGATCGTTCATATCTGCTAAAGATGTCAAAAGTAGATCAGGGAAGGCTTCACAGAAGGGCTGCATTGGACCTGGCCTTTGAGAGATAGGTAGATATTTACAGGGAGGGATAGAAGAAAAGGGAATTCCAGAAAGAAGCAACACCCTAAACAAGGCTGAGCAGAGTTTCTCAAATTTTAGTGTGTACTGGAATCATGATAGTGAATGATAAATAACAACTCCCAGACAGTTGTTACCTTTTCAGTGGGGACAAGGGAATGTGATCAGGGTATAAAGGAGGCTTCAGCTATATTGCTAATATTCCATTTCTTACACAGAGTAGTGAGTACATCTGAAATATTTCATAATATATTTTCAAAAATATATGAGCATGAGAGGTTGTGTAATACGCACTTTAGCAGGCACTGGTGCAGTCTGCAGCACTAAGGAATCTGTAATAACAAGCACCCCAGGTAATTCTTAATCCAAGCGGTTCATGGACCACTGTGGAAAACACTGTGATAGCATTTCTTTTCCAAAAGAGAAAAGAAAAAAAATTCAAGAGCATCAGTGTATGAAGCACAGGACTGAGAGTCAGGAGCACTGGACCATATTCCCAGCTCTGCTCCAATTTGCTACATAAGTCTTTGCTAGTGGGTTAACTTCCTTGAATACCACTTCCCAAACAGAAAATCGCTTTCATAATCCTTTCTCAGCATGGTAAGGATAAATAAAATGATATCTGGTAAAACTCTGAAGGACTTTCCAGGAAAAAAATAGTTTCCAGAGATGATGATGGTTTTTAGAAACATGGCACTCTTCCTGAAATCAAGTTCTCAGTGATATGTCTCCAATGGCAACTTTTATTCAGTTTGAAGCATGTAATATTAGGACCTTACATGGAGAAAAGCACTGGTGTGTTGAATGCTGTTCTCTTAACAACAAAAAAATAATGTCCAGGGTAGTGATCCTCCCTTAGGCTGGGGAAAGGGAACACACATACACATCAAAGTCACTGGGGAGATTTGACTAAATATGCAACCTTACACCTGTTGTTGTGTACATCAGAATGGGAAACGAGACCAGAGAGTTGGAAAGCTCACATTTTTAAGCACCCCAGGTGATTCTGATACATTCCTTGGTCGAGAAAGATTCTTGGCCTCCCATGAGTAACCTGATTCAAGATCTTACATTGTTTTTCTGCCAAGAAGTTCCTTATGTGTACTACTCACCTATTTGTTCTTTGTTTAGCTCTCACTGAAGATAGAGGATCTCATAAGCATCTTGCATATGTATAAACAGGGGAATGTGAATAGTGGCTATGTTCTCAGGGACTGGGGGCCAGCTGTTTAGAAATCTCAGCATCCCCAGTGTTGACATAATCTCCTGGCCAGGTGTTTCCTTCATTGATTGGAGCAGGGCATGGAGGTCCCAGTGGAAGGCTCTCTGGACCCTGGGCTTATCCAGATGGATCAGCTACAGGTGGAGCAAATGGGACCCATGGGCCCCATCAGGTCACTTTGCTGAGTATGAGTCAGGCCAGCAGCTCTTTATTTCTTCCTGTCTCTCCCACTTCCCACCACTCATCTCTGTGGGCAGCCGCCAAACTGGGGAGCAAGAGTCAGGCAGGGGAAGGGGGTAGTTCTTAATGGATACTCCATCTCTTCAGTGGTTTGGGGTCTGGCAGAGAGAAACCAGACCTGACAAAAATTGACTACTCCCCCAATGTATTTCGGTTAATGCGCTAGCTGCCAAGAAGCAGCCAGACCTGAAGCAACAAAATCAATTCCCCTCAGCTACACAAGTTTGAACTTAATCCCCCAAACTCTTTCTCTTGTGTCTTTATCCATGGGGCCCAAAATGCTGCCCAGCCTTGGTTTCCTTCCACTGGCAAAGCCTGTCTCAGAAGGTCAGGCCGAAGATGTCCAAAGATCCTTAGGTCACAGTCATATGTCAAGGGGCTCCTAGTGAGTTCATCCAAGCAACCCTCACCATTCTTTCACATCTGATATAACCTGGACAGCCACCAGTCTCTAGAAAGGAGGCAGGAATGGTTCTTAATTGGCTGGTGTTACAGATGGGGAAGCTGTGGAGGTCTAGCGATCTGTCCCAATATCAATCCCCTGCCCAGGGATAAACCTGATAGCACACCCAGGGTCTTGAAGACTTGTAGGACTACTGCCAAATGGCATTTTCTTCTTCAGCTTTAAAGACCCTCATCTACATGTGAACACTGTGACTATGTTCCTATGAGCAAGGCTCACGTGGATATAGAATGGCAGAATCATGTGAAACTAAAATGATGCTCGTGTTTTTATTTCCTCTATGTGACACCTGCCACTCAAAGTTCTGTCCCGCCTAACCTGTGAATATCCAAATCTCCACTACCTTCCTACATCCCCTATCAACAATTTCCTTTGAGTTTCTATACCTAGTAGGTGAAATCAACTGAAATGCATCATATGGAGAATTATGAATGCTTTGTGAAAGTCTCAGTTGAGCCCAAAAGAGGAAGCAACCTGGGGGTATGGGAGCCACTTTAATGTGTGGAATCTGATGGAGGCTGTTGCTAGGCTTTCTGATTCCTGACAGTTAGCCCCTCCTCACTCTGCTGGAAACTCTTAGAAATACAAGTGAAGCTAAACTGTCACTCTTTTGTCAGAAGAGAAGAGAGCTCAGGGTGCTAACAGCCCTGCATGGAAGCCTGGAAAAAGAGGAAAGGATGTGAACTAATCCAGCTCTCACATATTCAGTTTATCCCAACATATGCTAGATATTGCCTTAGCCATGCATTCATTCTTTCTACAGTTACTGAACATCTGCTTTGTGCCAGCCAGGCACGGAACTGGGCTCCAGGGCTATAAATATGAATTGCAAGGATGACCCCTCTGCCCTATCAGCCAAGTGTCACTTCCTGAAATAATGTGTTCATAGCAGTGCTGAGTTAATTATAGCGTGTTTAAAAATAAAAGTGAAAGGTAAGCCTAAGACCTATTTGTAATACCCATGGAGCTTCCAAAGCCAGCTAAGATAATTGGCTTAGATCAGCCTTAGCAACTGGTTTAGTATTACAGTTTTCAAAGGGAAGAAACTAACTTAATTGTACATTCCAATGTGGCTAAAAACCCATCAGTGGCTAAACGGTGGGAAAAATTTTAGAAATGACGGAGGCTAGAATGGTAATTCAGATTTAAAACTTTTACAGCTAGTCTGAGAAAAGAGGAAACCAGAAAGCATCACTTTAATTGGTATCACAAACAGAATCTGATGCTTTTCATAATCAAGCCAGGAAAGCTTGGTAGCCTAGCCCAGGGTTTCTCAAACTTAGAACTATTGACATTTTGGCTGGATACCTCTTTGTTGTTGTGGGTGAGTGTTGTCCTCATCTTGTGCATTGTAGACGTTCATCACCATCCCTCACCTTCACCCACTTGATGTCAGTAGGACCTTCCCCAAGTTGTGACAATTTAAAATGCCTTCAGACATTACCAAATGTCTTCCAGGGGGGAGGGGCATGCAAAAGTAGTCCCCATTGAGACCCACTGTCTTAGCTCATCACTGCCATCTCACTCCAAGGCCACATGAATGCAGTCATTGGACAGAAGAAAGAAAGATCAGATCTGGGCTATATCACCAGGGGACAAATTCAAAGGAAGTGAAGCATAGGAAAAGTCATGTCATTTTCCCACTATGGTCACAGAGCAACTTGGTGAAAAAAACAGAAGTGAAATCCAAGTTTCCTGGCTCTAGTGACCCACACTGTCATGCTAATGGAGATAATAATGATAATGAATTGGGTAATAATTCTAAAACTCTGTAACAACAAACTTCAGCAGTAGATTCTACCAGCACTTTTTCCCAGTGCCCAATCTAGGTTTTGCAAAATACTCAAATATTCACATATATGTTTTCCTGTCTTTCTAAATTTGTTTTTTCTTCTCAGACAGTTCAAATTATACAGCTGTCACTGTCTTCCTGAAGTCTGCCATTTTTGCATTTTGCTCTTTTCTAGCCAATCCAGACACTGCCAATATCTCAGGTTCCCTGCACTAAAGTTAGGGGGAGCCTGAATGAGGGGAAGGACAAGTAAGGTGGGTCAAGGTCACAAGAAATCTGGGTAGACTGCTAATAGCTGCCAGACAGGGCTAGCCTTAGATGTGGTCCAGATAAGTAGTCATCTACAGTTTTTGTGGTACACAACATTTCACTATTAGAGGTGTATTTCTTTGATGAGAACTGTTAGTAATTTGCACCTGTGTGTATGTGTTTATTAGATCACTGTTCTCTGAGATAACTACCAGAGAGCAGGGCTCCTAGAAATTAAGTTTATGTTGGAGCAGTAATACTACAGTGTATGTTGCTGACTCTGGAAGGCAGACATATTAATAGATAATGTTTTTAAATGGGCAACCTGCAGGCAGATGAAGGTGACAAAAATAGAGGGTAAACAACAGATATCAATTCTGCCTACTAGCCAAATTTGCTGTGAATAAAACTCTGATATTGATTGCACTTTGGGAAGTCCTAGACTAAATATTTTAAAGGAGACTTCATTCATAGCCTTAGAGTTGGACAAAGTGAAGGGGGTGAGAATGGGTTTCCCCATAAGGCTACACTCCCCACTCCTCCCTGCCCCAAAGCTACCCAACCTACCCAATCCCAGAAGCACAGTCTTACCTCCAACAAACTGCGCTGCTCCCATGCAACGTCCCATCATTCTGGAGATGAGCTCCTCCATGCAGCAACCCAGGACAGCAGCTAGTGCCACCAGGAGCAGCAGAGCACAGCCGGCACCTGTCACCACTGTGCACATCTGCCAGGCCAGGCTTGGGATGGCATTGAAGCTGGCATAGCGCCCACATTCTTCCACCATGATCAGACTGTGTCCCTCTCCCCGCACAGGGTAGTTGCACCTCCGGAATGTGCTGAATGACACTGGCTTCCCCATCTGGGATCCAAAGAGCCAGTAAGGTAGGAAGTAACTGGTAGAACTGGTCACAGCAGTAACAAGGGACAGGAAGGCCCAGAGGGTTCCCACCATGGTCAGGCTGCTCCTCATGGTCACAGGTTTCTCTGCAGGGATGGGGAGATGAGTTGGATCACAGCACCAAATGCAGTAAGTTACCATGTAGGCTCCACTGGCCTATTTTTCATCTGGTTGGCCAGTCCTGGGGCTCAATTATGTGCCACTTGGTCATTGCTTCTGGATAAGATTATTCTCTCGAGGACCATTTGGATCCCTGTGGGATTTTGCTTTTCAGTACTTTTCCCACCTTCCCTTCCTTCTGCCTGATTTAGAGTTCTATGGTCTTTAGGCTGCAATGGAGGAACCAGATAACTGAATTAGGGTCTGCTCTGCCAATTCAAATACAGCCGGATCAGACAGCTTTTAACTCTTGACATACATCGTGGAACAAGTGGCAGGAAAGGAGCCTAAATGAAAACAAGGTTGCTGTCCCGGCTTCCAGCTGAATGGACTTCCTGGCCTGGTAGCTTGGAAGGAGGCAATATCTGAAGAGGATCAGGAGCAAAGTTGTTTTCAGTGAGTGAAGGAGAAGGAAGACAACTTATCAAGACCCGCCCCTACTATAAGGGGTGAGAGGGAAAGAGACCTCGCCACAGAGTTACAGGTTGTTCCCATTTGACTTGGGTAACATGTCCAGCAGTGTGTTAGTGCGCGCTTTTCAACTGGGATGCATCAGCCAGGTTTAAATGGATAGAATAAAATAAGGAGTGTCTAGTCTCATACCCTATACTTGTCACTGAGAGAGCACTGATCAGTCACTTTTCCCACAATCAAAATGGGAGGCAACTTTCCAACCAGGAGAGGTTATCTCTGGAATGGCTATTAAGAAAAGCTTCCTTGTCCTTTGCTGGATATAATCCAAAAAGCTTCTCAAAGTTCTGAAATAGATCAGGATCAGGCACTCCCTACCTTGCAGCAGGAACATATAGCTGTAAGGACCTTTCAAGGTCCCTTTTGGAACAAGTAATCTTGTAATCAAGACGCTGAGAGTCTTTCCAGATCTAGTTCTTCAGCTCAGCTCACAAATGGTTTTCACAGACCCCTCTGTCAAAAATCAACCACTTTCCTCCCAACTCCATTAATCTGCCATTGCTTTCTGGCCTGTTTCTCTATTGGGCCGGCTAGAGACCACACTGCAGCTTGATGACAGCACTGTGAATGTCTCCAGCAGGCAGATGGTGGAATATGTTTCAAAAACTTCTCCATGATTCACCACCATTACTTAAAGTTATATGTGGTGGTGTAGAGGACTGGGAAGGAGGTTGGGGGACCCAAAGCAGGGGAAGCGCAGGAACTGGCTGTATGGGGTCATCGCCACATTGCCAATTTTAGACACTGACAGGAACAAGCAGCAGAGGCACTAAGTGTCTCAGGGTCTCAGTCATGAGCCCTTTCACAACCATTGTCAAACAGTGCCTGACACAGAGCAGGCAGTCCATTTCAAGTTTGTTTAGTGAAACCCATTTCATAGAATCATTCAATTTCCAGATGGGTAGGGAACTTAATGAATCATTTAATCCAACCTTCTTGTTTTACATATGGGAGAATTTTGCCCAGTAAAGGAGGAAGTGATTTTCTTCAAGTCACAGAGTAAGTTAGCAAGCAGCAACATCAGAACCTGAAACCTGATCTGCAGATGCCTAGGCCAGTACTTTTCTACCACACAATGTTAAACTACCCCCTCTCCATGACTTTACAGGTGGGAATATGGAGAGGAAGTGATTTACTCAAGGGTGAAGGGCTAGTGAGGTACACTGGCCAGATCAGAGCCCAGTTATTTGATTCTTAATATAATGCTCTTTTTTTACTCAACCACAATTCCCCTATTGATACATATGTATTTTGTGCTACGTGTTTTGTGCAGGAAGGGAGCAGAGATCGTAAATTGCAGGTGCTTACTCTGGAATGTTAGGGCTTGGGAAGAAAGTGCCCTGAGCTGGGCCCCTGGGAATTAGGCTTTGTGGCTGAGAATGGGAGAAATGAGAGAAAGATGTGATGAGGGATTGAAAGGCAACAGGGGGAGAAGTGGAACTAGTTTTGAGTAATTGCTGTTAGACAGCAGGTATGGTTGGCCGCAATGAGGTAATGCCTCTGCTTGTTGTATTAGAGTTTGTAAGATTACAAAAAGTGCAAGCAGCCCTCCATTACAGACTCATTTCCTGATGAAGCAGCCCAGGCCAGAGGAGGAGAGGAAACAAGCTGACAAACAGTTATTAGCTGTGTCATCACAATCCCTTCCAAATCCATTATTATATGTGCTCTGCCCAACGGTCTTCTTAGGTTAGTAAGAAAGATATTATCCTAAATTTACAAATGAGCAAATTGGGCTTCAGAAAGACAAGCGACCTACCCAAGGGTACACAGTGATTCAACGGCAAAGCCATAATTTCTCACTTTTCTTTTACCTGAAGCCTTCCCCTACAGTATTACCCCAAAAGTATTACAATTAAAAGCCTCCATGATTTCCCATAGAGATTTTCAAAAAATATTGAAGACAGAAGGAAACCCAATTTCTCCAGACATAGTGCAAACACCATCAGGGCAAGTATATAATTTCTTTCAATCTCAGCACTTGTAGTCAAAACTAACTCCGAATGTCCCTCATGGACATCATCACCTGGAGATGAAAAGTCCCAGTATGAAGCAAAAAGAACAAATCTGGAAGCATCATACTACCTGATTTCAAACTATACTATAAGGCCATAGTCACCAAAACAGCGTGGCACTGGTATAAAAATAGGCGCATAGACCAATGGAACAGAATAGAGAACCCAGAAAAACCCAAATACAGCCAACTGATCTTCAACAAAGCAAACAAAAACATAAAGTGGGGAAAGGACATCCTTTTCAACAACTAGTGCTGGGATAATTGGCTAGCCACATGTAGGAGAATGAAACTGGATCCTTATCTCTCACCTTATACAAAAATCAACTGAGGATGGAATAAGGACTTAAACCCAAGACATGAAACCATAAAGATTCTAGAAGATAACATTGAAAAAACCCTTCTAGACATTGGCTTAGGCAAGGATTTCATGACCAAGAACCCAAAAGCAAATGCAATAAAAACAAAGATAAATAGCGGGGACCTAATTGAACTAAAGAGCTTTTGCACAGCAAAAGGAACAGTCAGCAGAGTAAGCAGACAACCCACAGAGAGAGAAAATCTTCACAATCTATACATCTGACAAAGTACTAATATCCAGAATCTACAACGAACTCAAACAAATCAGTAAGAAAAAAAAAATCCCATCAGAAAGTAGGCTAAAGACATGAATAGACAATTATTAAAAAAGATATACAAATGGCCAACAGATATATGAAAAAATGCTCAACATCACTAATGATCAGGGAAATGCAAATCAAAACCACAATGCAATGCCACCTTTCTCCTGCAAGAATGGCCATAATCAAAAAATCAAAAAACAGTAAATGTTGGCATGGATGCAGTGAACAGGGAACACTTCTACACTGGTGGTGGGAATGTACACTAGCACAGCCACTATAGAAAACAGTGTGGAGATTCCCTAAAGAACTAAAAGTAGAACTACCATTTGATCCAGCAATCCCACTACTGGGTATCTGCCTAGAGAAAAAGAAGTCATTATTGCAGCGACCTGGATGAGATTGGAGACTATTATTCTAAGTGATGTAACTCAGGAATGGAAAACTGAACATCATATTTCTCACGGATATGTGGGAGCTAAGCTATGAGGATGCAAAGGCATAAGAATGACACAATAGACTTTGGGGACTTTGGGGACTTGGGGGGAAGGCGAGGGATAAAAGATTACAAATACGGTGCAGTGTATACTACTCGGGTGATGGGTGCGCCAAAATCTCACAAATCACCACTAAAGAACTTACTCATGTAACCAAATATCACCTGTACCCCCAATAACTTATGGAAAAATAAAATTTTTTAAAAAGTCCCAATATAACAACCAGTAGGAGGGGCAGAGAACTTAAGGCAGAGGAACGGACTATCTCTGTGTAGTGCCGTGACTACAGTAGAAATGAGGGGAGGGGTTGTAATATATGGTTGTCCTCACCTGTGACAAATGAAGCTGTTAAATTAAACTACAATACTATCAACTACTGTCACCATGATTTCAGTTTAAAAGCGACGTTTTGAAGCCAAGACATAGGAAGACAAATTCTCAAAATTCAATTTAAATTAAATGTGTTTAGCTTTAGAAAAACTCATTGTCCTTCAGAATTTAGATGAAGTACTTTCAACTTTAGGAAAAACGCATAGTCCTTATTTCATTTATGACTAGGGTGACCAACTATGTCAGTTTTCCTGGGACTCAGGGGTTTCCTGGGATGTGGAATTTTTAGTGATAAAACCAGGAAAGTCCCAAAAAACCTTGGATGAAATGGTCACCCTATTTAGGACTAGAGATGTTGTGGGCTAGCACAATCCGTGGACAGCAGGTTAAGAATCACTGCCACAGATAATTCTCTAATATTCTCTTTTCAGGACTCAAACAATATAAAGTTAAAAGTGACTATGGAATTAAACATTGAAGATATGAAGCTTATACACTTTAAATGCAAACCTTTCTAAATCATCGACTTGACTTGAACGCAATCAAGAAAGAGATCTCAGAGATCCAATTACTTAATAGCTTCTGAACACAATATGAGTCTCAGCCCAACTTCCCTTGTGGCTGGATAGAGAGGCTGCAGGGCACATGGAGTCTGTTCACACACTGCTTTATGTTCACATGTGGTGGACAGTGAAGTGTATTCTAGAAAATGCTTTTAGTTATGCCACCTGCAATGGAGTAATCTCCTTCATGACAACCCTCCAAAGCAATCCAAGTTCATTCCCAGAAACCGGTTAAGTCGCTTTATATTTACATAACTAGAAATCACAAACAATGCTATATTTTATTCTATCTTAATTCCTGTTGTATACTTCATGTATGTAACAGCTTTGTTTCCCTGTCCTGGAATATCCAGCCAAACAGCCACACTGGATTTCAGGAACCAAGAACTCACCCTGATGCTCTTGTAGAGTGGTCAAGTTACCAGGCATTGATAGGATTGCAGTTGAACCTCTCTCTTTAGGTGTCACATTATCCCTCATTCCTCAGGTTTTTAAATCTGCTAGATGGGCCGCAAGCCTGTTTCCGAGATTGGTTGTATGAGATGCAGTGGATGTTGCCAGAAAGTTGTAATAAATAGGATAAAAATATGAGTTCTGTTCTGAATTTGCTATCCTTACTAAAGCCTAATGTTTGCTCATCTTTAGAGATAATGCTAGCCATTCTAGCACAGCCTCGTGGGTAGAAGTCACCTCAACCTATATGATGCAGGAAACCCACCTAAACCATACATGGCAAATGGTTATCTCCATTACTTTTAAAGAACTCTAGGAAAGGGAAATCTATAATATCTCTTAGTAGCTTAACAACTCTCACCGTCAATAAATAATTTGTTATATGCCTTTATAAACTTTTCTTGTTGCAACCTAAGGCCAGATCCTTTTGTTGGGTCCTCAGAGGTAATGGAGAACAGCTAGCCACCATCTTCCAAATGAGAGCCCTTCATCAACTCAGATTGCTAGCAGGAGACCTTTAGCCTTTTTCCCCATAATGAGCATTCTCCCTCTCCCTGTGGTGTCCAATTGCCAAGCCTTTAATCATTTGTTCTCACTTTTTTCACTTTCTTGTATACCTACTAATGTATGGGCACTTACAATGAAGTATCAATGAAAGTGAAACGTTGCTTTTATATTTCTCTTGGTGGAGAAAAACAAAGCTATTCCTTCCTGTATCACCTCCTCCCCAGTACCCACAGAAAAAGACACAAATCCTTTTGTTTCCACTTGAGCTTGTTGTGCAACTTCTGAGTTAAGGAAAGCACTGCCTTTCCCAGGGTAAGAGGGTACAGGCAAAACAGTAAGCAAATTAAAGACTAGAACATGAAGTGGTAAGAAAGGGAGTCAGTGACTTAACAGCTGCTGAGGGAAACATGCCTGCAAGACTGCTGGTTTAGGACTGGTCTGTGAAGAGCAGCTTTCTTGGCACTGGTGTTGGCAAAGGAACGTGAACAGGCCTTTCTCCTCACGCCCCCAGACAGTGTGCATTGTCTTCCTGCCAATCCTGTTACAAATACATCTTACTCAGAGTTGAGACTTCCCTAGGAAATGAATGAGATATGCAGGCATATGTTTCCAGTGGGTAAATAGAGTCCTGCTCCAGAGAAACGTGTTGGACCGATGTGACTCCTTATATCAAGTTGGGTATATAAGCAGCCTGACCATGCTAGATCTTTCTGTTTCAGACAAAGCTTCAAAAAAAAAAAAAAATACTGCTACTCCCCAAACATTTCTCTCCTCATGTTCTGCTACCTGTCTCCCTCAGGGGTTTCTTCTCCTCTGGCTATCTCCATTATGAGAAGTGCTCTGAGTTCTCCTGTGCCTGAAATCATCTCATGATGTACTCACTCATCTTGGTGACTCTAAGAAGATCTCTCTTTTGACTTGTGTCTTTTATTTCAAATTCCTCAGATTTCATGTTTGCTGAACTTCTTTCTGGGCCTTCTTCTTCCTTCCCTCCTTTTTTAGTTTGGGGTAGAAAGACCAGCAAAACTGTGTTGGGTGAGTTTATGTGTTTATTTGCATCTCTCCATCCAGAGGTGGGAATGCTCACAAGCAGGTAAGGCATTAAAAGGCAGGAAGCCAGAGACTAAGTGGAGAGAAAGGACTAACTGAGCAATTGATAACTTTGAAATGATCAACTCTAAATAAATATATTTGACCATGCAGAGACAAAGAGAGCTCATAAAAAGAACCTCCACATCAGGCCCTGGGCTATTTCCTTTCTCCAGAGTTTGAGACTGGAAAGGTAGGAACTGGAATAACCTCCCCAAATTTCATATGAGCTTCTCTCTCCTTCCCTCTCCCCAAGATGCTGCTCCTTGAGCTCCCCATCTATCCTATGATTTTAAAAGTGAGGTACCAATGAGAGATCTTCATCTCAGTTCTTATTCTGGCTAGACAGGTGCCATCATCTTCAGTGATAAGCTGGTTGGCTACGAGTTCTATCTCACACTCTCAGCTGGTTAGAAACTACCCCTATCAAGATCCCTGGCAAGACATTGTTAAGCCCTAAACCCCAGCCCTGTTATTGTTGCCCATTAGTCTCTCCACTCCATTGTATAAGCTGGGAATAAAATGTCACCACAGCTGACCACTTCTATTGAGTGAATCTGGCCCATATGGGAAGAAGATGGGCTGATTGCTTTTCCAATCACTTCAGAGAAGTTGAGAGGCAGCATGGTATATCAAGAATGTTTGTCTCAACAGAATCACTTTCAATGCTTGTTCAGAATCACTTTCAATGCTTGTTCAAAATGCAGACTATGTCACCCCCTCCTTGATTCACTGAATTCGAATTTATGGGAATTCATATTGTTAAAAATCCTCAATTTATTCTAATGGGAACTAATGATTGAGGAATACTGTTTTAGTGGAAAAGTCACAATTTTGGAATCAGATCAGAGACAGAGTCCTGAGGTCTGCCCCTTACAGGCTATATGCACATAAAAAGATCACTTAAAACCTCTGAGTTTTGGTTTCATTTATAAAATGGAAATGATTAAGCATAAAATTCAAGTGAAACATCTGCACTATACCTAACACCAGAGTAGGTATCAATTCTCTCCCTTTCTACCAGAAAAGACCCTATTCTCTCATAAGTAATGGAAAAGACTTGAAACCACCTAAGATTTAGAACATCTCTCCTTTCCCCTTTCTCTCCCCACAACCACTCCATGGGTGATTTTTCCTCACCCCTAGGCTTCATTCTATTTTCAGTTCCCCACCACAAAATGAAACCACTTGGCCAAGTGTTCTTTGCAAGAATGGATTTATAGTTTAAGTATTTCAGGTTCTTCTGGAAATTGTCATGCCTTGGCACATAGTAGGAACTCATAAATATTTACCAAATGGATGCATTCTTTTATTTCCAGCCTGAGAGGCCTCAATATTTGCATTTCAGTTTAACTTCATTACCCCATTTCCGTCGCATAACCCCTTAGATTTAGGCAAATCCAGGAGATCAACCTACCACATTAGCAAACCGGATCCATTTTTACTTGTATAGACAGGTCATAACAAAATCACTCTCTCCACTCCCAGAAACAGGCACTTCATCTCCTCAGGTTACCAACTCCCCTGGGGAAACCAACTAGCACTTAACCCTTAGGTCCTCAAATCTTGTCAATATGAAATAGGAATCCAGCCCTGATTCATCTTAGCCTCTGTGCAAACAACGGACTATGAAGAAATAAAAAAGCACCAGGCTGCCCTCGGGTAGAAAACGGCTTCTCTGAGCTTTGAGATGAAAGGACAGGAAACCTGAGAAAGGAAGGGGAGAAGGGGGGGCTGAGCAAGGGGAGAGCAAAGCAGTTTCTTATCCAGCTGTTTGAATTGCATTTGGCCCAAGTTGCATATTTACCTTCTGACCACGAAGGCTGACTGACTTGTTCCCTCTCTTCAGGCTCAGATCTCAGAAACAACTTCTCCTTACAGCTTGTTAGACAAGGATGGGAATACTAGCTGCCCTTTGCAGTGATGCCTGAAAACCTTGCTTTACCTTTGGGAGAAAGGGGCGGAGTCCAACCTAATGGGGATTAACTCCAAACACGCTGGAGGCTTCAAACCCAGCCTCAGACATACAGGCACTTGAAATAGAAAGTAGCTTAGTGGGCACAGAGTCCCCAAACCTCCAACCTCACAGCGGACAAAGCAGCTCTGTGTGTGTGTGTGTGTGTGTGCGCGCGCGCGCGCGCGCGCGCGTGTGTGTGTATGTGTGTCCGCGCGAGCGCGCGCGCATGCGCGCAGGCATGCCCGCGCTTGAACTGCGTTATCTTACTTCCTCACTTGCTGCCCAAAAGCCTGCTGAGGAACAGAGATTTTCTCTAATTTTCCTCCAATGCCCTAGATAATCTCTACCATGGTAGGTAGCAGACCCATGTGGCTAGAAGTGACTGAGAGAACACATGCCTAAATAGAATAAGACAGAACAACCTCTTCTCCCCAAACTGATTTCCATTGCCTGATGGGGAAGATGCTCCAGCAGAGCAATCTTTGGCTCCAAGATGTAATGAGCTTACATTTCAGAATTTGTGGAAATCATACATTGAAAGGAATAACTAATATATTTTTATAGTAATAATACAATCAAAAGTCAGTGTTTAATTTATCCCAGTGCACTAATAACTGCTACTCTGCTTGGGAAAAGAGCTGAGTGGTCTGGAGATGAATGGAGCTTTGCCTGATGTTCTACTCCAACCCGATGTCATATTTCCCACCTGTGAATGTCCCTGACACTTCATATTTGGGGAAACTTATTATCTTCTACCTAGTATCATTATTATTATTATTATTTTCGTACATGTCTCTTTTCCCCTCCTAGATGGCCTGTGAATGGGGAACTTTGCTGAACAAATCCAAATGATTTAGAAGGAAGAATGGTTACATTAACAGAGCACACTGGACTGATCCAAAGTATCCATGCTTCTCTGATGGCCCAGTTCCCTCACCAGAATGCTACAAAGGTGATTAGGCCTATTTTCTAGCATGTTGTGGCAATAATTCAAAATATGACCGTAAATTAACATATTAATTGTACCGTGATTATTTAATGAACTTACAAAGTTTCTCCTGCCTTCTGTGTATACCACCTGTGTCCTGCCTTTTATCAGTGATATGATCCTATATTCATGCATGTATTTGTCTATCTAGCAACTTTCCATCAGCAATTTTTACCGTTTTGTTCTACAACACAGTGATAAATCCATTCCCATCTGTAATCATGGCTTACTGAGGCCATCATGTTTCTGGGGGAAGCACAGATGACTCCTTAGGTGGAATGTTAGACTTTTGGCAGTGTAAGCCCCCCAACTAAGTTTTATAACCTCCCAGCTGTCATTCCCTTAAGAACCATTGCTTCAGACATAGGATTATGTAAAAAGAAATGTTAGGCCCTCCTTCATTAAATATAGGTTAATATTAACTGACACGTAGTAACTGTGTGAGATACGGCTGAAAATGTTGACATATAAAAAATAGATGATCCCCACTCTATGCACAGCAGTAAATATTGCCCTTTGCTTAGTGACTACACCTGTCATTTGGGGAACCTATCATTATTTGAAACTCTAAGAAGAATACCATTTTACTTTCCTCTTTTATCCTCTTTTCTCTATAGACACTTAAGTGTATAATAAATAATAATCTAATTTATTGGACAAAATTTTATTTCCTGTTCTTAACAGTTGAACGCTCTCTCAGAAAAAAATTGCTTGCATCTTGTGGCTCTTGATATGTTTTCAATTAAAAATGCTCTTCAGCCTTGCTTTCGTAAGATTATGTGGAAAGGCTTGAGAAAGGAACACTTCTTGTAATGTATTTAGGGGACAGGATGGTGCTAAAATGGGTATTGGAAAGGAAACTAGGGAATACCTAAATCCTGCCTTCAATCAGTCTGGAATAAGAGATTCTGCAAGGGTAAGATATGGGTAACAGGTGATTCTGATATATACCCCCATCCCCATCCTTCATTTGCCAAACACTGTTGTATACAATAGCATTTCCCAAATGAGATGAACACCCCCACAGCATTTTGCAGTCTAGACAAGGGGTCAGCAAGCCGGAGACTGTGCATGCCAAATCCAGTAGGCTGTCTGTTTTTGTAAAGTTTTATTGGCACACTCCCACTGTTTATTCACTTATGTATCATCTATGGCTGCTTTCATGCTACACTTGCAGAGTTGAGTAGTTGTGACAGAGATCTTATGGTCCACAAAGCCTAAAAATATTTACTAAGTGACTCTTTACGGAGAAAAGATGTTGACCCCTGGTTAAACACACATCAGTATATTATAGTAGAGACATTGTGTTGATTACGAGGAGAAAGAGGTTGGAAAGGAAGGGAAAATTGTGAAATAAAAATAAATGCTGCTTGCTGTCAGCTTTGTTAAGGTGCCAGTTAACCCACACTAGTTAAAATCTATTCCCTGTGAGTTAGCAACACACAGGAATTCAGCTAAGCCAAACATTTGGTAGTTTTATGAAAATATATTTTTCTGTTAATTATCCTTTGAACCTCTGTTGATGTTGTTTTCCAACATATTTTAAGTTATTTTTTCCTCTTTTGTCAGAGCGTCTTCTTCTCTTATTAGTATGTTCTGTTCTAGTCTTCCAAGACAGAAGCATTTATTTTGTAAAAAAAATCATTTCTAGAATCCCATTGCCCTTGAACTTCGGGAAATTTGTATATATGTGTTTGCAAATTTAAAACCATGTGAACTCCATGACCTGTCACCAATACAGATTGGATATGGAAGGTACTCCTTGCCTAAACTATAGTTTCAGTTATAGATTGAAAACCTAGAGATGAAACTTATATTTCTTTAGTATATAAAAATGAGAACCAATAACTCTTTTGTTGAGTTTCCTTTTTGACCTCGAAGGATGAACTGATAGTGTTAAGCAGTGATGTGGTGTGTTGGTAAACATTTAGTAACTGGCTTCAGGAGGTGGGAGGTGGAGGGCTGCAAAAGAGCCCTGATTTGTGGCATCTGCTGATTGCCATAGTATAAATACTCCCATCACAGCCAATTTCAAGCTACCAGCTTGACATCAGTAAAAGTAGAATTGGGAAGAGATACACACAATCGATTCTTAGAAGCTGCTACAAGCCAGCTTCAGCATACCACTGGAACTCGGATTCAAGAAGTTACTTCTATCTTGGTCTGTGTAGATTTATAAGCTACACACAATATTAACAAAAATGGGATTGCTGTTATAGTTGTTTCATATGTTACACATAGGCTTCTCTCCACTACACAATATGTTTCAAAATATATTTTAAAATGCATTTCAAAAATATTTTGCTGCACCAACTTTTAAGCTTTTGCAGTGCAATTTGTGTATTATTCAGAAGTAAACCAAAAATAAATTTGCTCATGGATCTTGCTGCCTGCTTTAACAGCTTTTGAGGGAGGATTTTTATTATATTTATAGTAGATGAAAATAAAACAGATTGCAAATCCTTTTTTTAACTAAAATCATGTACCAAATTTTGGGTCCAAATTGAATAGGGTAAGTTAAACTAAATTGCATTATATTCACACTACTATGAGTATCTTTCTGTAAGCATATTTATGTTTAAGTAAACTTTAAAAAAACAGATTTAGGAAGATAGAGAGTAGATTGATGATTACCAGAGGCCTCGGAAACCAGCGGGGAAGGAGGATGAGTACAGGTTGGCCAATGGGTATAAATATACAGTTAGAATAAGACCTAGTGTGTGATAGATCAGTATGGTGACTATAGTTAACATTAATCTATTGTACACTTCCAAATAGCTAGCAGAGAATAATTCAAATGTTCCTAAGATAAAGAAAAGAGAATTATTTAAGGCAATAGATGTTCCAATTACCCTGATTTAATCTTTACACATTATATGAATGTATCAAATTATCATTTGTGCTCTGAAAATATGTACATGTATTATGTACCAATACAAACAGATTTAGTGGCCAGGCGCGGTAGCTCATGCTTGTAATTCCAGCACTTGGGGAGGCCGAGGCAGGTGGATCACTTGAGGTCAGGAGTTTGAGACTAGTTTAGCCAACATGTTGAAACCCCATCTCTACTAAAAGTACAAAAATTGGCTGGGCATGCTGGTGGGCACCTGCAATCCCAGCTACTCGGGAGGCTGAGGAAGGAGAATCATTTGAACCTGGGAGGTGGAGGTTGCAGTGAGCCGAGATCACATCACTGCACTCCAGCCTGGGCGACAGAGTGAGATTCCATCTCAAAATAAATAATTAAATAAATGAAAACAGATTTAGTGAAAATTTCCATCAAGATGTTAATACAAAACTCTTTTTTTATTATTATACTTTAAGTTCTAGGGTACATGTGCACAATGTGCAGGTTTGTTACATATGTATACATGTGCCATGTTGGTGTGCTGCACCCATTAACTCTTCATTTACATTAGGTATATCTCCTAATGCTATCCCTCCTCCCTCCCCGTAGCCCACAAGAGACCCTGGTCTGTGATGTTCCCCACCCTGTGTCCAAGTGTTCTCATTGTTCAATTCCCACCTATGAGTGAGAACATGCGGTGTTTGGTTTTTTGTCCTTGCGATAGTTTGCTCAGAATCATGGTTTCCAGCTTCATCCATGTCCCTACAAAGGACATGAACTCATCATTTTTTATGGCTGCATAGTATTCCATGGTGTATATGTGCCACATTTTCTTAATCCAGTCTATCATTGTTAGACATTTGGGTTGGTTCCAAGTCTTTGCTATTGTGAATAGTGCTGCAATAAACATAACGTGTGCATGTGTCTTTATAGCAGCATGATTTATAATCCTTTGGGTATATGCCCAGTGATGGGATGGCTGGGTCAAATGGTATTTCTCGTTCTAGATCCTTGAGGAATCACCACACTGTCTTCCACAATGGTTGAACTAGTTTACAGTCCCACCAACAGTGTAAAAGTGTTCCTGTTTCTCCACATCCTCTCCAGCACCTGTTGTTTCCTGAGTTTTTAATGATCGCCATTCTAACTGGTGTGAGATGGTATCTCATTGTGGTTTTGATTTGCATTTCTCTGATGGCCAGTGATGATGAGCATTTTTTCATGCATCTGTTGGCTGCATAAATGTCTTCTTTTGAGAAGTGTCTGTTCATATCCTTTGCCCACTTTTTGATGGGGTTGCTTGATTTTGCTTGTAAATTTGTTTAAGTTCTTTGTAGCTTCTGATATTAGCCCTTTGTCAGATGGGTAAATTGCAAACATTTTCTCCCATTCTGTAGGTTGCCTGTTCACTCTGATGGTAGTTTCTTTTGCTGTACAGAAGCTCTTTAGTTTAATTAGATCCCATTTGTCAATTTTGGCTTTTGTTGCCATTGCTTTTGGTGTTTCAGTCATGAAGTCCTTGCCCATGCCTATGTCCTGAATGGTATTGCCTAGGTTTTCTTCCAGGGTTTTTATGGTTTTAGGTCTAACAAGTAAGTCTTTAATCCATCTTGAATTAATTTTTGTGTAAGATGTAAGGAAGGGATCCAGTTTCAGCTTTCTACATATGGCTAGCCAGTTTTCCCAGCACCATTTATTAAATAGGGAATCCTTTCCCCATTTCTTGTTTTTGTCAGGTTTGTCAAAGATCAGATGGTTGTAGATGTGTGGTATTATTTCTGGGGGCTCTATTCTGTTCCATTGGTCTATATCTCTGTTTTGGTAAAAGTTCCATGCTGTTTTGGTTACTGTAGCCTTGTAGTATAGTTTGAAGTCAGGTAGTGTGATGCTTCCAGCTTTGTTCTTTTGGCTTAGGATTGTCTTGGCAATGCAGGCTCTTTTTTGGTTCCATATGAACTTTAAAGTAGTTTTTTCCAATTCTGTGAGGAAAGTCATTGGTAGCTTGATGGGGATGGCATTGAATCTATAAATTACCTTGGGCAGTATGGCCATTTTCACATTGTTCATTCTTCCTATCCATGAGCATGGAATGTTCTTCCATTTGTTTGTGTCATCTTTTATTTCGTTGAGCAGTGGTTTGTAGTTCTCCTTGAAGAGGTCCTTCACATCCCTTGTAAGTTGGATTCCTAGGTATTGTATTCTGTTTGAAGCAATTGTGAATGGGAGTTCACTCATGATTTGGCTCTCTGTTTGTCTGTTATTGGTGTATAGGAATGCTTGTGATTTTTGTACATTGATTTTGTATCCTGAGACTTTGCTGAAGTTGCTTATCAGCTTAAGGAGACTTTGGGCTGAGACGATGGGGTTTTTTAAATATACAGTCATGTCATCTGCAAACAGGGACAATTTGACTTCCTGTTTTCCTAATTGGATACCCTTTATTTCTTTCTCCTGCCTGATTGCCCTAGCCAGAACTTTCAACACTATGCTGAATAGGAGTGGTGAGAGAGGGCACCCCTGTCTTGTGCCAGTTTTCAAAGGGAATGCTTCCAGTTTTTGCCCATTTAAATACAAAACTCAAAAAGTCCTATATACCAGAATTCTATATACCTTGGGCCCCTGTATTAAAAGTACCTCAATGCTGAACTAATTATGGGATTGGTTTGCTTAGGAACAGAAAGTCCACTCTCTCATGGTCCAGTTAATGAAGATTTGAGTAGAATTTTACTCTTCAGGCAGTGTCCTAAATGATGGTCCAGAGAGCTGAAAGAACAAATCCTCTCCCAACTTTCTCAACAGTATTTCCTCTGTCATTCTTCCTCATCCCACCTCTCTTACCACAAAGCCATCAGTGTCTTTCAAAGACTTTCTAACATAAACATCCCTCTCTTCTCAGTCAGCCAAATCATGTGGAAGAGTGGCCATTGGTGGCATGGCTGATTTTCCAGACCACCCTAATTCATTTCATGGAGAATTTTTTCTAAAACTCAGTTTTAGAAAATTCAGTGAAACAAGAGAAACAGCATTCCAGAACCAAGAAATTATTGTTCTTGCCTCTGTCTCCTAAAGCAAGTCATGGAGCTTTGTCAATTTTGGGACCTCACTCACAAAGACTTTGGTTTCTAGGCATCTCGTTGGTTATTACAGCATTACAATAGTTTCCTGGCTTTGCTGAATAGTATAGCCATCCAGGCTCCTCCAAAAAACCTGGGCAACCACACCACAGAAGGACATCAAAACAGCTAAAAGGATGAACATGTCTTCTGCCATTTCAGTGCTCGCTTAGAGGCTGAAGGAAAAGTGAAGGCTACAAGATAGCCTCCCCCATCCCCCAAAAAATGCTCAGGAAATGAGACACAGAGCTCAGAAAATACATAGCAACCTTTTCTACGGGGAAATCTGATAGGGCCAGTGGCTGGCCAGCGGAGGCAGTTCTACAAACTAGACTACTTGCCCACCAAATCCCATGAAGCAACAGCTGCAGGAAGCAAAGATGATACAATAAGAAAAGCCCTACTCTATAAACCTCAGCTTTGTTCTCTGGCTAAGTATTTGGGTGCTGGCTTACGACCACCCCAGAGCACATTTGGGCATTTGCCTAGTGACCTACAATATAAACCATGTTTTCTTGGCAGCAATGAGTAAAGCAATTGACAGCCAAACAACTTCGTTTCATCACTTCTTGGTATGTAATTCTGATCTCTGGGGAAATCATAGGCACATTGGTGGATTCTAACATGCCTTCTATTTAGAAGATCTGCCCAGGAGGCTGTCATTAAGAATATTTGCTGGGAATTACAGGCAAACATTGCCTAATCCTTGCAAGCAGGCCTTGCCTTTTAATGAGTAATGATTCCTAAAATTTGAATAGTAAAGTTGATCCTCACAATAAACTTATGAAATAAACATTACCCCCATTTTCAGAGCAGGAAACTGAAGCTTAGAAAAGTTAAATGACTTTTCCAAAGCCACAGAGCTCTTAGGTCTGTTGAGTAACAGATTCAGAAAAAAAAAAAAAAACCTGGAGAAAGAAGAAAGGCTGGATGAGGACAGAAGGCAGGGTCCAAAAGGGTGTAAGGGAAAGGGAGAAATATTTTATGAATCCTAAATTTCTGCTTTGAGAAAATCGGTGCATAGATATATCCTTCATGAAAATAAGAACACAGGCACACAGCAGTATCCCCACCTCTCCACACTCTTTCTCCCTGGTAGTGGACAGTGAGGATCAGTAAATTATTGAGATCAGCTTGGCTATTAGGTTCAAAGCATCTCTGTACATCCCAGTGGAGATGTACAATAAACATAGTTATATGGGTCTAGGGCTCAGGGGAAAGTTCCAGGCTGAAAGTTCATGTGTGGAAAATACAAGCCTAAGGGTAGATGATAGAACAAAGGTATTTGTCAAATACGAGGGCCAGGGACAGGAGCAACCCTGAGAAACACTCACACTTAAGGGATAGGTAAAGAAACAAGGACTTGTGAAGGAGACAAAGATTGGTCAGACCTCCTCCAACCACCCTGTTTCCCACATACCACAGCTTCTCAAGGACAAGAGGTGGCTCAGGAAGAAGTGGCTCAGGAAGGATGTGGGGACTGGGGGCAAAGTGGTTACACATCCTTCCAGCTTTAAGTGCTGTATCGACCAACTATTGTCCGGTGGTAACTAGGGATGAGCTGTGAGAAACCAATCTTACTCAGAAATGAAACAGTATTTCCAGCTTCCTTAATCATTCTTTTTCATTTTTAATGAGTTCTAAGGGGCGACTCAATGGCTGATACTTGCTGTGCTTGGCAAAGAGCCATCAACTCTGGTACCACCTGGTTTTCTTTCTTGAATTTAGACAAACTTTGAGGAAATACAGGGAGGCTGGAAGCAGGTCCAAGCACCTTGAATTTGGCCTTGAGTAGCTTCAAACCATGTGTCTCTTGTGTCTTTCTCCCTTTACTCTTGTGGGATACCACAAGCTAAATTATTGCTGTGAGAATTGCTCCACAAATCAAAGATTCTCTCTTTCACCTTGGGCCACCACTTTCACCCTTCTCAGGACTTAATTCTAGGGAAAAAAGTTTAAAAAATTTTAAAAATTATCATTATACTATGGGAACAAATCATTAAGTAGCAAAATAATTTTGAGGTAATTGTTATTAGTATTACTACTACTTGTGGGACCACTACATTCATTCTATAATAATTTGTTGACCACCTATTATGTGTCAGAGACTAGAAAGACAATGATAACAGGACAGACAAGATTCTTGCTCTCGCAGAGCTCACATATTAGTAGGAAAGACAGCCAATAAAACAAGTGAACATTAATGAAGTAGAGAGATAAGTTTTAAAACAAAAATAAAATTTGGTGATAGGATAGAGTGTTGGAGTGGGAATAAGGACAACTTTAGATTAGATGGGGTAGTTAGGACCCTCTGATAAGGTGGTATTTCACATGAGACCTAAAAAGTCAGAAGCCAGCCATACAAGGAAGAGAGGTAAGAAAATTCCAAGCAAAGGAAACAGCAAATAAGGAAACCTCAAGTTATACAAATGATCAACGCGTTTAAGGAACAAAAAGCAGGTTAAGGACAACTGTATATTTATATGCAAAAGAATAAAGTTGAACCTCTACCTCATCTCACACCATATACAGAAATTAATTTAAAATGTATCAAAGAATTCAATATAAGAGCTAAAATCATAAACCTCACAGCATACATAGGTATAAATCATTGTGACCTTGAATCAGGCAATGTGTTTTAGATATGACACCAAAAGCACAAGCAACAAAAGAAAAAAAGATAAATTGCACTTCAAAATTAAAAGCTTCTGTGTATCAAAGGACACTATCAAGAGAGTGAAAAGATAACCCACATGGGGGGGGGGAATGTTTTCAAATCATATATCTGATAAGGGCCTAGTATCTAGAATATATAAAGAACGTGAAGGCAACCTAATTTTAAGACACCCCAAAGACTGGAGTAGATATTTCTACAAAGAATATATGCAAAAGGTCAATAACTACATGAGAGGATGCTCAAAATTATTAGTCATTAGGATAATACAAATAGAAACACATGAGATGGACTAGGGAACAATACAGTCAGGATGGCTGAAGGTGACCACAAGAAACCAAAGGGCAAGATGTCTGCTTATGCCTTCTTTGCGCAGACATGCAGAGAAGAACATAAGAAGAAAAACCCAGAGGTCCCTGTCAATTTTGTAGAATTTTCCAAGAAGTGCTCTGAGAAGCGGAAGACCATGTCTGGGAAAGAGAAGACCAAATTTGATGAAATGGCAAAGGTGGATAAAGTACACTATGATCAGGAAATGAAGGATAATGGACCAGTTGAGGGAGGCAAGAAGAAGGACCCTAATGCCCTCAAAAGGCCACTGTCTGGATTCTTCCTGTTCTGTTCAGAATTCCACCCCAAGATCAAATCCACAAATCCTGGCATCTCTATTGGAGACATGGCAAAAAAGCTGGGTGAGATGTGGATTAACTATAGTGACAGGGAAAAGCAGCCTTACATCACTAAGGCAGCAGACCTGAAGGAGAAGTATGAGAAGGATGTTGCTGACTATAAGTCTAAAGGAAAGTTTGATAGTGCAAAGGGTCCCACTAAAATTGCCTGGAAAAAGGTGAAAGAGAAAGACAAAGAAGATGAGGAGGAAGAAGAGGAGGAGGAAGAGAAGAAGGAGGAGGGGGAATAAAAAAACTGTTTATCTGTCATCTTATGAATGCCTTAGAGTAGGGGAGTGTCATAATTGACATATCTCTTATTTGAGAAGTGTCTGTTGCCCTCATTAAGTTTAATTACAAAATTTGATTATGATCATATTGTAGTCTCTCGAAGTGCTCTAGAAATTGTCAGTGGTTTACATGAAGTGGTTGGATGTCCGGAGCATCCTGAAACTGTATCAAAGTTGTACATATTTCAAACAGTTTAAAAATGAAAAGTCACTCTGGTATTCTCCCTACTCTGTGTACATTGCAGTTGGAGTGACAAGGCATTTAAAGATGTTTCTGGCAGTTTTTTTATTTTTAAGGTGGTATTAAGTCTATGGTTATTGGCTAGAAATGCTGAGTTATCAACTGCATATATCTATAATTTGTAAAAAAGAAAAAACAACCCCGACAAACTCTTCATGCTCCTTGCTTGGCATTGAGGCTGTGGGGGAAGACGCCTTTTGGAGGGGCTGTAGCTCAGGGTGTGCTGCTGTGAGGCTCCACCTGTTGACTCTGCATGGGCATCCATTTAGCTTCAGGTGGTCTTGTTTCTGTGTATAGTGACATAGCATTCTGCTGCCATTCTTAGCTGTGGACAAAGGGGGGTCAGCTGGCATGAGAAGTGTTCGGTTTTTTGTTTTTAGTGAAGTGTGGTAGTTTCAAAACTGTTTTTAAACAAACTCTAGAATTCTTAATTGCTAGCAAAATAAAGAGCCACTGGATCAATGAAAGTTCAAGAACCTTCTGTACTTAAATACGATTTGCAATGTTCTGTTATTTTTTCCTATGTTTAGAATGCTGAAATTTTTTTTAAGTTAAATAAACAGTATCATACTTAAAAAAAATGAGATACCACTTTAGACCCACTAGGGTAACTATAATAACAACAATTTTAAAAACAGAAAATAAGTGTTGGGAGGGAGTAGAGAATTTGGAACCCTTGTACTTTTCTGGTAGAGGTGCAAAATCATGCAGCTGCTGTGAAAAACAGCTTGGCAGTTCCTCAAAAAAGTCAACACAGAGTTACTATGTGACCCAGCAAGTCTACTTCTAGGTATACACACTCCAAAATCAAAGCCAGGTACTCAGGCAAAAACTTGAGCATAAATATTCACAGTAGCTATGAGTATTCACAGTGTTTATAGTTTCACAGTGGCGAAAAAAATAGAAATAGCTCAAATGTTCACTAACCAATGAATAGATGAAATGTGTCCATTATATACAATGGCATATTATTCAGCCATAAAAGAAGGAAGTACTGATAGATACTACAACATGAATGAACCTTGAAAACATTATGCTAAGTGAAATAAGCTAGACACAACAGGCCACATATTGTATGATTTCTTTTATATGAAATGTCCAGAACAAGCAAATCTATAGGGATAAAAAATAGATTATTTGTTGCCAGGGCCTGGGGGAAGGGAGAATGGACAGTGTAGGGAAGGAAGAATCATTTTTTTTCAACTTTCATAAATTCCAGTTAAAGCAGATGCCTGTAATAAAAGGCAGAGGCAGATTAACAAGAGAAAAGCAAAAGGAAGTTTATTACTATATATATATAATATGTATTTATATTATGCATATTATACATACATATTATATAGACATGTATAATATATGTGTTTATATAAATATATAAATATAAATATATTTCTATGACTATATAAATATATTTCCATAAATATATAAATATAAATGCATATTATATTATATATGTATACATAATGTATTATATACTTATATAAATATGAATATATAATACATTCTATATACATGTTATATATTATATAACATAATTTTATATGTTATATATATTTATTTTTTATATGTTATATATAATATTTATTTTATATATGTTATATATAATTGTATGTACATATATATTATATATTATATAAGATTATATATGTTATATATTATACATAATATATAATTACTTATATGTTATATATAATATATAATATATAAAACATACATATGGAAGATACCCAGGGAATTAGTAATTCTCAAAAATGTGGCTTTTAAGTCCACCTTATGTAGCACCATCAACAAACAGTCAGTTTTTAGAGAAGTGACAAGACAAAGAAAGAGGACTGTGAGTCTCTAGGGGTGATAACTTGTGGGAAGGTAAATAATGGCAGATAAAAGCTTGTTAGTAAAGCTTGTTAATGTAGATTTCTGTGTTGCCATCTCAAGGCTTATGAGAATCTAAAGTTTTCTTCAGTGGTTAGCCTTTGTTCTCCCTGGTAGAAAGGAGAGGTGGTGTATCTTTGTCTTTGTAAATTTATATTCTGTTTTTAGACAAAAAGAGGGAGGGCAGAGAGCTTTCCTACATCTGCTTTTTCTCAGTTGCCTTCAGCTTAAGACAATCCTTATGCCAAAGAGGCATATTTGGGGGTAGTATATTCTGGTCTCCCACAGAAGAGATTGCTCAACATTTACACATCGTGAAAAAAAAGAAAAATAAATCACCATGAAAAAATAAAAAGAAAAATAATTTAAAATATCGTGAAAAAAATAAAAATAAAAAGAAATTAAAATCAGTTTCAAAACCAGAGGATTTCATGAAAAAATAAAAAATAAAATAAAAACTAAAAACATTTACAGAGTTTCTTTCAGGGCAATAAAAATACTCTAAAACTAGAAAATGGTGATGGTTGCACAACTCTGTGGTCATACTAAAAACCATTTTAATTAGGCGAATTGTACAGTTTGTGAAATATATCTCAATAAAGCTGTTATGCATTTTCAAAAACCAGGCTAATGTGATAGGAAAATAGTAAGCAAGAGGGAAAGTGACAGAAGGGGCAGAAATGGAAATTTCCTAAGGATATAATCCTCCTATGGCCCCATGAAGGTCTAAGTCTCATCACGCTAAGTATAGGCTTAGCAGCTTCCTTAACTTCCTTGAGCTAGGCAAAAGGCCTTTTCTTTCCTTCTAGAAATTAGCACTCCAAAAGAAAGGAACATAGAACCCTGTAACAACTCAGGGAGAAAAAGAGTATTTGTCCCTGTTTCTAGAGTAAAGGTAGTCCTAGTACCCTCCCTAGTCCTATAAATGCTGGGAATGTCCTCCCAACTCCCCACTCCAAACACTCTAGACACAAAAAGTGTGTCTAGAGTAATCAAAAGAAGCAATGGAGAGTAATCAAAAGAATCAAAAATGGAGAGTAATCAAAAGAATCAAAAGTAATCAAAGAAGCAATGGAGAGAGGCTACAATAGGGAGAGGATATCCTTCTTGCCACAAAGACATGGAGGTTTGTTTAATGGCTCCCTACATCACATCAGTTCTCTCCAGAACGGTGGCTCAAGGATCACTTTGGTTAACATTAACTACATTTTATTAAATGCTTACTGTGTGCCAGGCATTAGGCTAGGTGATTTTACATAGGTTATATCATTTGATTCATACAACAATCTAGTGATTATCTTACACATTTATATCCCCAATTTAATAGCTGAGGAAACTGTGGCAGAGGTGGTTCAAAAACCTGCTTAAGATTTCAGAGATAATCAGAACTGGCATAGAAGTTCTGTCCATCTTAACTTGTTCTTCAGCATCACATCATACTACTTTGTCTCTTCTGACCCCCAGGAGTACTCCTATTCTGTGAGGTTATGAGAGGAAGCTCAAAACCTTTATTCTGGAATCATAGCCTAAAGTTGTCTTAGCTAGCAATCATAGCTAAGAGATACTAATCATTTACTATCTAGTAAGTGCTGTAGTAAGCACTTTTACATACATTATCTTGTTTGATCCTGACAACAAGCCTGAGTAATAGGTAGTATTTTATCATCCCCTTTTTATGATTGGGAAAACCAAAACATATTTACAAGAACAAACTTATCCTAGATTGCTCAGCTTATAAAAATACTGACACTGAGGTCCATTTCATACCACGGGACCCTTACTTTTTTTCTTAACTTTTTAAAATTTTGGTAAAAATACACGACACACATTTTACCACCTTATGGTATTTGTCTTTTTGTGATTGGCTTATTTCACTTAGCATAATGTCCTCAAGGTTCATTGGTGTTGTAGGATATGATAGAATTTCTTTCTTTTTTAAAGCTGAATGATATTCCATTGTGTGGTGTGTGTATAGACACACACATATATAAAAAATGTATATATAAATATGTATACACAAATTTTATATGTAATACATTTATTTTTTTTTCCATGCATTTTGTTATCCACTCATCCATCTATGGGCATTTGGGTTGCTTCTGCCTCTTTGCTATTGTGAAAATAGTGTTGCTGTGAACAAGAGTGTGCGTATATCTATTTGAGACACTGCTTTCCATTTTTTTAGATACATACCCAGAAGTGGGATTGTTGATTCATATGGTAGATCTATTTTTAATTTGGGGGGGAGGCATCATACTGTTTCTCATAGTGGTTGCACCATTTACAGTCCCAACCACAATGCAGAAAGGTTGCAATTACTCCACATTCTTGCTGACACAGGTTATTTTCTGTTTTGTTTTGTTTTTTTTAATAGTAGCCATCCCATTAGGAGTGGGCTAATATCATTATGTTTTCATTTGCATTCCTCTGATGATTAGTGATGTCAAGCATCTTTTCATATGCTTTTTGGCCAGTTGTATATTATCTTTGGAGAAATGTCTATTTAAGTCTTTTGCCCATCTTTTAATCTGGTGATTTGGCTTTTTGTTGTTGAATTGTAGAAGTTCTTTATACTTTGGATAGTACCCTTTATCAGGTATGTGATTTGCAAATATATTCTTCCATTCCATAGATTGCCCTTTCAACCTTTGATGAAAAATGTTCATCAGTTTGATGCAGTCCCATTTGTCTATTTTTGTTTTTGTCACCTGTGCTTTTGTTGTCATATCCAAAAAAATTATTCTCAGGTCTAATGTATTCTAGGAGTTTTATAGTATTGGGTTTTATGTTTAGGAATTTAATACACTTTGAGTCAATTTTTGTATGCTGTATTGTATAAGACAGTGTTCCCACTCTACTCTTTCACATGTGAATACCCAGTTTTCCTAGCACCATTTTTTGGAGAGACTGTTTCTTCCCCCACTTGAGGGGGATGTCTTTGCAACCTTGAGGATTATTTCATCATATACATGAGAATTTATTTCTGGGCTGTCTATTCCATTCCATTGGTCTATATGTCTGTCTTTATGCCAGTACCATACTGTTTTGATTACTGTATTTTTGTAATATGTTTTGAAATCAGGAATTGTGAATCTTTCAATTTGTTCTTCTTTTTCAAAATTGTTTTGGCTCTTTAGGCTTGAGATTCAATGTAAATTTTAGGATGGATTTTTCTATTTCTGCAAAATATCCCATTGGGATTTTGATAGGGATTGTATTGAATCTGTAGATTGCATTGAGTATTATGGATATCTTAACAATATTAAGTCTTCTAATCCATGAACACAGGATATCTTTCCATTTATTTATGTCTTAATTTCTTTAAGCAACATTTTGTAGTTTTCAGTGTAAAAGTCTTTCATCTCCTTGGTTAGGTTTACTCCTAAGTATTTGGTGCTGTTGTAAATGAAATTGCTTCTTAATTTCATTTTCAGATTGTTCATTGTTAGTGTGTAGAAATACAATTTATTTCTGTGTGTTGATTTTGTATCCTGCAATTTTGCACAATTCCTTTATTAGTTTTACCAGTTCTTTGTGGAGTATTTAGGATTTTCTATATATAAGATCATGTTTTCTGTGAAGAAGAATAATTTTACTTCTTTCTTTTCAATTTGGATTTTTTAAATTTCTTTTTCTCACATAATTTCTCTGGCTAGGATTTCTAAAACTATGTTGAATAATAGTGGTGAGAGAGTGGTAAGAATAGGTTTCCTTGTCTTGTTCCTGATAGTAAAGGAAAAGTTTTAATCATATCAGTGAGGCTGACATTAGTGTGGGCTTTTCTTATATGGCCTTTTTTATGTTGAGACATTTTCTTTCATTTCTAGTTTGCTGAGTGTTTTTATCATGAAAGGTTATTTCATCTTGTCAAATGCTTTTTCTATAATCTCAGTTGAGATGATCATGTGGTTTTTATCCTTCATAATGTTAATGCCATGTATTACATTGATTAATTTTCACATATTGACTCATTCTTGCATTCCAGGAACAAATCCCACTTGGTCATAATGTATAATTCTTTTAATGTTCTGTTGAACTCAGTTCACTGGTATTTTGTTGAGAATTCTTGTATCAATATTCATCAGAGATATTTATCTGTAGTTTTCTTGTAGTGTCTGTCTGGCTTAGATATCAGTGTAATGCTGTACTTATAGAATGAATTTGGAAGTGTTTCCTTCTCTTCAATTTTTGGAAAAAGTTTCAGGAATATTGGCACTAATTCCTCTTTAAATGTTTGGTAGAATTCTCCAGTGAAGCCATCTGGTTCTGGATTTTTATTTGTTGGGAGGTTTTTAATTATTAATTTAATCGCCTTACTTGTTATTCGTCTATTTGGATTTTCTCTTTCTTCATGATTCAGTTATGCTAGGTTGTGTGTTTTTAGAACTTGATTCATTTCTTCTAGGTTATCCAATTTGTTGGTGTACAATCATTCACAGTATTCTCTTAAAACCTCTTTGTATTTCTGTGGCATCAGCTATAATGTTGCCTCTTTCATTTCTGATTTTAGTTATTTGAGTCTTCTTTCTCTTTTTCTTGGTTAATCTAGCTAACAGTTTGTCAATTTTATCTTTTTTTAAAAAAACTCTTGTTGATTTTTTTTCATGTTTTCTATTCTCCATTTTATTTATCTCTGCTCTAATTATTATTTCTTTTCTTCCACTAGCTTTGGGTTTTGTTCATTTTTTTTCTAATTTCTTGAGATATAAAGCTAAATTGTTGATTTAATATCTGCCTCTTTCTATAAACTTCTCTCTTAACACTATTTTTGCTGTATCCCATACTATTTTGTATTTGTGTTTTTGTTTTCAAAACAGAAAAAAAAAATCTCGTTTTGTCTCAAAATCTTTTCTAATTTCCCTTGTGACTTCTTTGACCCATTGGTTGTTTGAGTGGTTTGTTTAATTTTCACATATTTGTGGATTTTTTCTACTGCTATTGATTTCTACCTTCATTGCATTGTGATCAGAAGACATGCTTTATGCTTTCATAATTTCGATCTTTTTGAATTTGTTAAGACTTATTTTGCAGCCTAACATGTGGTCTATCCCAGAGAATGTTCCATATACACTTGAGAAGAATGTAAATTCTGCTGCTGTTGGAGAAACTGTTCTGTGTATGTCTGTTAGTTCCAATTGGCCTATAGTGTTATTAAGTCCTTGTTTCTTATTGATCTTCTGTCTGGTTGTTCCATTCATTGTTGAAACAGTGAGGTATTGACATTTTCTACTGTTATTTTGGTATTGTCTATTTCTCCCTTCAATTCTATCAAAGTTTGTTTTACATATTTAGAAGCTCTGGGGTTTGGTGCATGAATATTTATAATTGCTATATCTTCTTGGTGAATTGCCCTTTTGTCATTATGTAATGTTCTTCTTTGTGTTTTGTAACAATTTTTTATTAGAGTCTGTTTTGTCTGATAGTAGTATAGCAACCCATACTCCCTTTTGGTTACCATTTGCATAGGAGCCCTTACTTTTAGCCTCCTATGTTATACCGCCTTCCTTCTGGCCCTTCAGTACTTTTTTCTTGTGGAGGGAGAGAGGGAGCTTTGAGTTGCTTCTAGGGGTTAGGTATATGCTAAGATATTTTATTATTTCTCCTGTAAATCCAGTGGACAAATGAGTAAGGCCTGTGGTAATCCAGTGTAGATGGCCCCCTTAGGGAAGGAGACATGCAGAATATCAGAGAGTCTTGCATACACATTCATAAGACCACTTCTCTAAAACTTCCCACTGTTCCTAAGTAACCACCCGGAACCAACAGGATGGCACTTCAACCACTCAAAGCCTTTTCAAAGGGTCCCGCTCAAAGCCTTTTCAAAGGGTCTCTGATATTACCTATCACTGAAATGAAGCAAAGCTTAAAGGACTCCTGACTCTTTCAGCCTCCTTCTTCTCATCTTTTACCAAGAGTGTCTTGTGACCCTAAAATTCAGAGTTAGCAGTGGTCAAGGCTAGTGAAGGTCTTTGAAGTCTTTCTTATGAGGCCAGAAAAAGGAAAATATAAAATGAGGCTTCTAACTAGATCTGTAAACAACTTATCTGAAATTCAAGTCCTGTGAACTAACATAACATTTTGTCTTCAGAGGAAGGCTTGTTGCCCATATCTGAGTCCCTGGGTTTCAAGGCTGTTCTTGGGACTTCCACCAAGCGGGGCCCTTCAAAGTAATCTTTGGGAGAACTGCATACAGGAAAGACCATTCATAAGCTAGGGCAATGGCAATAGAACTAGTTGCTACAGCTAAGATTGTACCAGTTACCTGAATTTCCACTTTCATCCCCCCATACCTCAGCAAGTTTTAGTTCTCACTGACTTATATCCTTTACAAAATAGCCTCTTGCAATAATGCAGATATTTAGGTTGGCTACAGCTGGCTTTGTGCCTGTAGGTCTCTGATAGAAATAATCTAATAATAGGGTTTTGTATGAAAGTAGAGAGCTGAATGACATCAAATAATCATGAGGCATCCTGTTGATTAATGGGCCAATTGTCCTGAAGTTCATCTGGTCTGAACTTGGCTAGAAAACATCAAATGTGGGTTGTTACCCAGAGCAACACAACAGCAGCTCCTTATAGCTTCCATGTTTTGCCAGAATGAGAAATGACAATCGAATTTTTTAATCACAGATGAGCTATACCTTTACCTGGGACTCTCATCAACTTTTCTTCATGATTCCTAAAAGATCAGCTGATCCCTAATGCATATAACCTGATTTTCCCCTCTTTGTGGAATTACCAAATGTCTAGTCTCTAAGCACTCTCATTCCTTCTCCAAGAAATTTCTATAAAAATTGGCCTTTCACAACAACCAGTACCAGCCACTGCAAAAACTGCCAAATTGTAAAGACCACTGATGCTATGAAGAAACCGCATCAGAAAACAGGCAAAATAACCAGCAAACATCATAATGACAAGATCAAATTCACACATACCATTATTAACCTTAAATGTAAATGGGCTAAATGCCCCAATTAAAAGACACAGATTGGCAAACTGGATAAAGAGTCAAGACCCATCAGTGTGCTGTATTCAGGAGACTCATCTCATGTGCAGAGACACACATCAGCTAAAAATAAAGGGATGGAGGAAGATCCACCAAGCAAATGGAAAGCAAAAAGAAGCAGGGCTTGCAATCCTAGTCTCTGATAAAACAGACTTTAAACCAACAAAGATCAAAAGAGACAAGGAAGGCCATTACATAATGGTAAAGGGATCAATTCAACAAGAGGAGCTACCTATCTTAAATATATATGCACCCAATACAGGAACAAGCAGATTCATAAAACAAGTCCTTAGAGACCTACAAAGAGACTTAGACTCCCACACAATAATAATGGGAGACTTTAACACCCCACTGTCAATATTAGACAGATCAATGAGACAGAAAGTCAACAAGGATACCCAGGAATTGAACTCAGCTCTGCACCAAGCGGACCTAATAGACATCTACAGAACTCTCCACCCCAAATCAACAGAATATACATTCTTCTCAGCAACACATCACACTTATTCTAAAATTGACCACATAATTGGAAGTAAAGCACTCCTCAGCAAATGTAAAAGAACAGAAATCACAACAAACTGTCTCTCAGACCACAGTGGAATCAAATTAGAACTCAGGATTAAGGAACTCACTCAAAACTGCACAACTACATGGAAACTGAACAACCTGCTCCTGAATGACTACTGGGTACATAACGAAATGAAGGCAGAAATAAAGATGTTCTTTGAAACCAATGAGAACAAAGACACAACATACCAGAATCTCTGGGACACATTTAAAGCAGGTGTAGAGGGAAATTTATAGCACTAAATGCCCACAGGACAAAGCAGGAAAGCTCTAAAATCGACACCCTAACATCACAATTAAAAGAACTAGAGAAGCAAGAGCAAACACATTCAAAAGCTAGCAGAAGGCAAGAAATAACTAAGATCAGAGCAGAACTGAAGGAGATAGAGACACAAAAAATCCTTCAAAAAATCAATGAATCCAGGAGCTGGTTTTTTGAAAAGATCAACAAAAAGATCAACTAGCAAGACTAATATGGAAGAAAAGAGAGAAGAATCAAATAGATGCAATAAAAAATGATAAAGGAAATATCACCACCAATCCCACAGAAATACAAACTACCATCAGAGAATACTATAAACACCTCTACACAAATAAACTAGAAAATCTAGAAGAAATGGATAAATTCCTGAACACATATACCCTCCCAAGACTAAACTAGGAAGTTGAATCTCTGAATAGACCAATAACAGGCTCTGAAATTGAGGCAAATCTCTGAATAGACCAATAACAGGCTCTGAAATTGAAACCAATCAATAGAAAAAGAGAAAGTCTTTGTGTGCCTGCCTTATTTCACTTAATATAATGACCTCCAGTTCCTTTCATGTTGCCAAGCCTGGGACTCAGCAGGTATGCTGTATGACTTCTTTTGAGAAATGGCTGTTCAAATCTTTTGCCCATTTTTAAATCAGATTATTAGATGTTCTTCTATAGACTTGTTTGAGCTCTTTTCTACATTTGTTGTTAATCTTTTGTTAGATGGGTAGTTTGGAAAAATTCTCTCTCATTCTGTGGATTGTCTCTTCTCTTTGTTGATTGTATCCTTTGTTGTGCAGACACTTTTTAACTTGTGATTCCATTTGTTCATTTTTTATTTGATCACCTGTGCTTGTGGGGTATTACTCAAGAAATTTTTGCCCCGACCAATGTTCTGGAGAGTTTCTCCTAAGTTTTCTTGTAGCAGCTTCATTTTGGGACTTAGATTTAAGTCTTTATTCAATTTTGATTTGATTTTTGTGTATGGCAAGAGAGAGGAGTCAAGTTTCATTCTTCTGCATATGAATATCTAGTTTTCCCAGCACCATTTATTGAATGTCCTTTTCCCAATGTATGTTCTTGGCACCTTTGCAAAAAATGAGTTGACCATAGATACAGGGATTTGTGTCTGGGTTCTCTATTCTGTTCCATTGGTCTATGTGTCTGTTTTCATATCAATATCATGCTGTTTTGGTTGCTATAGCTCTATAGCATAATTTGAAGTCAGATAAAGTAATTCCTCCAGTTTTGTTTATTTTGCTCAGAATATCTTTGGCTATTCTGGGTATTTTGTGGTTCCATATAAATTTTACAATTGTTTTTCTGTTGCTATGAAGAATGTCATTGGTATTTTGATGGAGATTGCATAAAATCTGTAGATTGCTTTAGGTAGTATGAACATTTTAACAATATTAGCTCTTCCAATCCATAAATATGGAATATGTTTCCATTTGCTGGTGTCCTCCTCAATTCCTTTCATCAGTGTTTTATAATTTTCATTGTAGAAGATCTTTCACTTCTTTGGTTGAGTCTTAGGTTATGTATTTCATTTGTACCTGTTGTAAATGGGATTACCTTCTTGGTTTCTTTTTCAGATTGTTCACTGTTGGCATATAGAAATGCTACTGATTTTTGTATGTTGATTTTGTATCCTTCAACTTTACTGAATTCATTTATCAATTCTAATAGCTTTTTTTGGTAGAGTCTTTAGGTTTTTCCAAATATAAGATCATATTATCTGCAAACAAGGATAATTTTTCTCCCTTGCTATTTGGATGCCCTTTATTTACTGCTCTTGTCTTATTGCTCTAGCTAGGCCTTCCAATACTACACTGAATAACAGTCTTGAAAGTGGGCATCCTTGTCATGTTCCAAATCTTAGAGGAAAACTTCAGTATTTCCCCATTCCGTGTGATATTATCTGTGGGTCTGTCATATATGGTTTTTATTATGTTGAGGTATGTTACACCATGCCCAGTTTTTGAGAGTTTTTATCATACAGAAATGTTGAATTTTACTAAATAATTTGTCAACATCAGTTGAAATGTTCATATAGTTTTTGTGTTTTATTCTATTGATATAATGTATCACATTGATCGGTTTTCATATGTTGAATGATGTTTGCATCCCCAAGCTAAATCTCGCTTGGTCATGATGAATGATCTTTTCAATGTTTTGCTGAATTCGGTTTGCTAGTATTTTGTTGATTTTTGCATCAAAATTTATCAGAGATATTGGCCTGTTGTTTTCTTTGTTTGATGTGCTTTTATCTATTTTTGCTGTAAGGATAATACTGGCCTCATAGAATAGGTTTAGCAGTAGTCTCTCCTCTATTTTTTGAAATTGTTTGAGTAGGATTGGTATTAATTCTCCTTCATATCTGTTTCTCCAGGATTGGTCCCTGGTGCCTTATTTAATTAACTTGGTGAGGTCATATTTTTCAGGAAGATGTTGGTACTTTTATATGTTCTTCAGTATCTGAGTATTGAATAGCTAGGTATTTATTGCAGTCTTCGCAGTCTGGGCTTATTTGTGTCTATCTTTCCTGGGAAGGCTTTCCAGGAATTCGAAGAGACTTAGGCCCCAAACCAAACAGCACTGTTGTTCTTGCACACTTGTAGAGTTACTACCTTGGTGGTCTTGGATAAGATCCAGAAAAATTATCTGGATTACTGGGCAGAGACTCTTATTCTTTTCCCTTACTTTCTCCCAAACAGTCTCTTCTGCTGTGCTGAGCTACCTGGAACTGGGGATGGGTAGACACAGCCACCCCTGGGCCACCACCACTGGGACTGCATTGGGTCAGATCTAAAGCCAGCACTGCATTGGGTCTCACCCAGGACCCACTGTAACCAATACCTGGTTGCCACCTATGTTCACTCAAGGCCCTATGGCTCCACAATCAGCAGATGGTGACACCAGCCAAGTTTGTGTCCCTTCCTTCAGAGCAGCGAGTTCCCCCAGACCCTGAGTGTGTCCAGAGATGCTGTCTGAGAGTTGGGGATTGGAGTAAAAAACCTTAGAAATTTACCCAGTGTTCTATTTTACTGTGGCTGTGTTGGCACTCAAACCACAAGACAAATTTCTTCCTAGTGGAACTTCCCTGTCCACAGGCAGAAGAGCTTCTCCTCATGGCCACTAGCACCAGTTTCTTCCAGGCCAATACCAATGTTCACTTAAAGTCCAAGGGATCTTCAGTCACCTTGTGGTGAATGCTGTCAGGCCTGGGACTCACCCATCAGGGAAGTGGGCTCCCCTCTGCCCCAAGGCATGTCCAGTAATGTTGACCAAGAGCCTAGGCCTGGAATTGAGAACCCCACTACCCTGCTTGGTGCTCTACCTCACTGTGACCAAGCTGGTACCTAAGGCTCAAGACAGAGTCCCCTTTACATTTTCCCCTCCTTTTCTCAAACAAAAGGAATCTTTCACCATAGCCACCACGGCTGGGAATGTGCTGGCTGACAACTGAAGTCAGCACATCTCAGAGCCCAAGGCCTATAGCATATTACCTGAGTATTGCTATTCATTCTTTGGGGCCCAAGGTCTCTTTAGTCAGCAGGTAACAAATCCTGCCAGGACTGCATCTTTCTCTTCAAGGCAGTGAATTCCTTTTTGGCCCAGAGTATGTCTAGAAATGTTGTCTGGGAGCTAGGTCCGGGAATGGCGGCCTCATGACTCTGCCCGGTGCCCTATACTACTGTGACTGAGCTGGTATCCAAGATACAAGACAAAGTCCTCTTAGTTATTTGCTCTCCTCCCTTTTAGCAGAAGAAAGGAGACACTTTCATTGCTTCAAGCTGCACTGCCTGGGGTTGGAGGAGGAGAGGCACAAGCACTCCTTTAGCCACCCCAGAAGGTGTCTCTCTAGGTCACATGCTACCCTAGCTCTGTGGCTCTGAGCCCAGCTCAGCACTAATAGTTGCCTAGGAATTGCAGTCCTTGTGTCCTAGATTGCTTTTCAAGTTTATGTAGGACCCCAGAGCACTCCAGCCTGTGGTGGCAAGGCTTGCCAGAACTCAAGCTCTGATCACTGGGATGAGAGATCACTCCCTGGCTAGGGCCAGTTCAAATGCTCCCTCCATGGGGGGGTGCCAGCTGGGTACAGCCCGGTTTTGCTTTCTGCTGTGACAAGGCATCTTCACTGAGTTCAATGTAAAGTCCTTCAGTTCCTGTGCTCTCCCTCTTCCGAGGACAGGACGCAGATTCTCTGCTACTGGGGAATGGGGGAGGGGTAGCATTGGCAATTCAAGACTGTCTCTCCTACTCCCTTTCAGTGCCCCTTTCAGCAATATGAAGTTAAAATCAGGTACTGTGATTGCTCACCTGATATTTGGTTCTTCTGATGGTGGTTTTTGTGTGTAGCTAGCTGCTAAATTTTGATGTCCCTGTAGGAGGAACAAATGGTGTAGGCTTCCATTCAGACATCTTGTTCTGCTTCCCCATTTTAAAAATGTGTTTTTCCTTCTTAATTGAAAGGTTGATTCTTTTTTTCCCCCAGCTTGCCTCTTTAGAGATGCCCTCAAACAGAAAGATATGATAAACCTCTGCGTCAGGCAGAAGTGACCCTCCCTTAGGAGGTATAAATGACAGGGAAGGTGCCCTGTGATCACCTCCTTACGATTTTTCTTATTTTTTTCCTTTAATAGTAGAAGGAAAGAATTTCCATTTAATAAAAAAAATCACTCTTGTAGTTAACTAGAGAAAATATGAAGCATTCATCTTTAGGTAGGGAGATTTCCTCACCAATGACTTCAAATCTTACAGTCTTAAGGTTTTAATCTGAAAGCACCTCTTCTCTGAACAATGAGTTAAACCAATGCACCTTCTTAACTGGAAGCTTGCCTTTGCAGAAGATGGTTTGCATTTCAGCCCTCTATTCACAAAAAGTGATCTTTTTGCCTTACTCCTTTCCTTGCCATCTCCATCCACAACTGCAGTATTTGTACCCTTGACTAGACCCACCACCACAACCAGCACCAACAGCAGCAGTAGCTTACAGAAAGCCACTCAAGCCATAAATCTTCTGGTATATGTCCTAGAATCACACAGAAGAGTGATGGCCCTCCTGAGTTATTATTCATCAAAGAGATACATTTCCTTGACCTTTTTTTAGGCTTTTAGAATTTACATTTGTTCTCTTTTTATATTAAACAATAGCCTCAAAGTTATGTGGTCAACTACGGTGAACCCACGTGGGTCTTGAAAGCCAAAGATGACTTTACTATCTACCTGTTATGTAGTATTTAAATAACAGCTTTTAAAAATATATTTTTGAATATATTTTTGTTTCCTATGTCATCAATAACCCATTAAATCGTGTGGTCTGCCAAGGTGATGTACTGTGGGTTCTGAGAGCTCAGAGGTGCACTTGCCAGTGTCTGCCTGTTCTGTCCTCTTTAAATAAAACAGTGCACCCTACCCTTGGGTCAGGCCAATGGACTCTGACCTGGACAATCATCACAGTCCTAGGCTTCTTACTTAAGAGGCATCTACCATAGAGGAAATAATATTTCCTCAGCAAACTTTCTAAGAAGTCAATCACATGGAGGTATAAAATGCTGGAATGGCTCAATGTGGTAGCCCACCATTTCATTTATTCCCACCCTATTTCAGTGAGAGGAAAAACCAGTTTATTTTAACAAAATATAACATGTTTTAAAACACACGTATGGCATGTACACTTGAGTTTTAGAGATTTTCTCACTGATTGATACATATTGTTCAGCCATAAATGTTTTAGACATAGTAATCATGATTCTCCAAATATGATTCCACCTAATAAACCAATGAACAATAATCTTGCATTCCCAGACCCTTTAGATTGTTTTGATAATTAGAAACCAGCATTGTTTCCATTCTCTCCTTTTCTTGCACCCATACACCCCCACAGGAATCAATATTCCAGACTGATCCCACAGGCCTCCTTCCGTGAGCTAATAGAAACATGAAGTCCAATGTCAACTATCCAGATAGCAAAAAAAAAAAAAAAAAAAAAAATTATAGTGGGCTTGATATATTATCCTTCTAAGGAAATGCTGTCCTAAGAAAATAAAATGAGAATAAAAAATCCAAACCACATATGTTAGTTTAAAATTTTCAGCAGTCACATTTTTTGAACTTATTTGTTGTAATAATTTTATTTAATCCAATACATGCACAATGTTATCATTTCAACATGTAATCAATATTAAATTTGTTAATGAGATATTTTACCTTATTTGAAATGTGATATGTATTCTGCATTTACAGCATGTCATAATTCTGACCGGTGACATTTCAGGTGTTCATTAGCTACCTGTCACTAATGGCTGCCATATTGAATGGCCCAACTGTAAGTAATACTTTTTATTCTCCAGATTTTTTGAAATATAATTTGTATACCATAAAATTTATCCTTTAAAAGTGTACAACTCAGCAATATCTAGTATAGTCACAAAGTTGGACAACAATCACCATTATCCAATTCTGGAGCATTTTCATCTACTCAAAGAGAAATCTCATGCCAGTTAGCACTCATTCCCCATTTCTTACTCCCCTTGCCCAAACCCCTTCCTACCACTGACCTACTTTTTTCCTCTGTGGATTTGACATTCTAGATATCTCATGTAAGTGAAATTATAGAATATGTGACCTTTATTTGTCTGGCTTCTGTCATTTAGAATAATCTTTTCAAGACTTATTCATGTTGTAGCGTCTCTCAGAAATTCATTTCTTTTTATGACTGAATAATATTCCATTGCATGAACATACCACATTTTGTTTACCCATTTATCAGTTGATGAACATTTAGGCCATTTCTACTCTTTGGCTATTATGAATAATGCTGCTATAAACATTCTTTGTACAACTATTTTTGTGGAAATATGTTTTTATTTCTTCTAGGTATATACCTAGGACTGAAATTCTTGAGTCATACAGTACCTCTATGTTTAACATTATGAAGAACTGCCAAAGTCTTTCCAACAACAATATAGAAATTTTCCAGTTTCTCCACATCCTCACCAACATTTTATTTTCCATATTTTTTTCTTATAGCCATCCTAGTGGATATAAAGTGGTATGTCATGGTGATTTTGTTTGCTTTTCCCTAATAGCTAAATAATTTTCACATCTTTTAATGCATGTATTGGCCAGTCTTATCTTTTATGGAGAAATGTTTTAAGTTTTTTGCCAATTTTTAAATTAAGCCATTTGTCTTTTTGCTATTGGGTTGCAAGAGTTCCTCATATATTCTGGATACTGCACCCTTAAAAATGTTATTATTTACAAATATTTTTCTCCCACTCTGTGCATTGTCTTTTCAGTTTCCTGATTGTCATTTGAAGCAAAATTTTAAAAATTTTGATGAAGTCCTATTCACCATTTTTTTTTTTTTGCCATTGTGTTTTTGGTTTCTTATCTAAGAAAACATTGCCTTATGCAAGGTCACAAATATTTAAACCTAAATTTTCTTCTAAGGATTAGAGTTATAGTTTACACTTACATTCAGGTCTTTGACTCATTTTGAGTTAATTTTTCTATATGTATGAGGTGAGGTGAGGTAGGGGTCCAAATTCTTTCTTTTACATGTAGATATCTAGCTGTGCCAGTACCATATGTTGTAAAGACTAGTCTTCCCCCATTGGATAGCTTTTGTACCCTTGCTGAAAATCAATTGACCATAGTTACATTGGTTTCTTTCTGAACTTTCAATTCCATTCCATTGATCTACATGTCTTTCCTTATGGAAATGCCACGCAGAATTGGCTACTGTGGCTTTGTAATAATTTTTGAAATCAGGAAGTGTTACTCCTCTAGCTGTTCTTTTTCAGGATTATTTGGCTATTTGAAATCCCTGTGATTTCCACATGAATTTTAAAATCAGCGCCTCAATTTTTGTAAAAAAGGCAGTGAGGATTTTGATAGGGATTACATTGAAGCTGTAGATCAATTTAGGGCATATTGCCATCTTGAAAATATTAAGTCTTTTGACTCATGAGCATGGAGTATCTATTCATTTAGGTCTTAATTTCCTTCAGTGATGTTTTCTAGTTTTCCGTGTACAAGTTTTACAATTTAAAAAATGTATTCCTAAGTATTTTATTATTTTTGGTGATATTGAAAATGAAAATGTTTCTTCAATATTATTTTGCAATTTTCCTTGTGAGCATATAGAAATAAAATTTATTTTTGTATACATATCTTGTGTTTCCTAACATTGCTGAACTCTAATGATATTTTTTGGATTTCATAAGGTTTTCTATACACATGGTCATGTAATCTGTGAACAGATATTGTTTTACTTTTTTCGATTCTGGATGTCTTCTATTTTGTTGTTGTTGTCATTGTTGTTACATAATGGTCATGACTAGAACTTGCAGTACAATGAGGAACAGAAGTGGCAAGAATAGAAATCTTTGTCTTCTTGGTCTTAGGGGAAAGCTTTAGTCCTTCACCATTAAGTATATTAGCTGTAGATTTTTTATATATGCCCATTATCAAGTTGATGATGTTCCTTTCTATTCCTACCTTGTTGAATGTTTTTTTTATCAAGAAAGAATGTTGCATTTTGTTAAATACTTTTTCTTCATCTATTGAGATGAACATATATTTTCCCTTGACTGTATTCATATGGTGTATTATAATGATTAGTTTTCAAAATGCTGAATCAACCTTGCATTCCTGGGATAAATCCTACCTGGTCACAGTATATAAGAATTTTTATATGTTGCTGAATTTACTTAGTTTATATTTTGTTTGGGATTTTTATTTCTATATTCATAAGGGATATTAGTCTTTTGATTTCTGTTCTTGTGGTGTTTTTGTCTTGCTTTTGTGTCAGTGTAATACTGGTGTCACAGAATGAATTGAGAGGTGTTCTCTCCTATTTTTTTTAAAGTGGTATTGAGAAAATGTTATTAATTCTTCTTTAAAAATTTGGTACAATTCGCCAGGATAAATATATGGTCCTGGGCTTTCTTTTTTATTGCTAATTCAATTTCTTTACCTTTTATAGTTATATTCTGATTTTCTATTCCGTCTTGAGTCAGTCTTGATGGTTTGTGTCTTACTAGGAATTCATTCTTTTCATCTAGGCTATCTAATTTGTGGGCATATAATTGTTCATAGTATAACATTATAATCCTTTTCATTTTTATAAAGGTTCTTGTAATGTCACTCTTTCATTCCTGATTTAGAAATTCGAGTCCTCTTTCTTTTTCAGTCAGTATAGCTAAAGATTTTTTTCCATTTTGTTAATATTTCCAAAAAAAATAATTTTTTGTTTTGTTAATTTTCTCTCGTTTTACTGTTCTCTATTTCACTTACTCCCAGTATAATATTTATTATCTCTTTACATCCACTTGCTTTGAATCTAGTTTGCTCTTTTTTTCCTAGTTTCTTAAGATGAAAGTTTAGGTTGTTGATTTAACATTTTTCATATATATATTTATACATAATATATATTATAAATTATATATATTTATTATACATAATATATATTATATATTATATATATTTATTATACATAATATATATTATATATAATATATATTTATTATACATAATATATATTATATATTACATATATTTATTATACATAATATATATTATATATTACATATATTTATTATACATAATATATATTATATATTATATATATTTATTATACGTAATATATATTATATATTATATATGTTTATTATACGTAATATATATTATATATTATATATGTTTCTTATACGTAATATATATTATATATTATATATGTTTCTTATACGTAATATATATTATATATTATATATGTTTCTTATATGTAATATATATTATATATTATATATGTTTCTTATATAATATATATTATATATGTTTATTATATATATTATATATATATTTATTATATAATATATATTATATATTATATTTGTATATATTATATATATAATATATTTTATATATATATATATATATATATATGGCTATAAATTTTCCCCTAAGCACTGCTTTTGTGGTATCTCATAAATTTTGGAACGCTGCATTTTTATTTTCATTCATCTCAAAGTATTTTCCAATTTTTCTCATGATTTTCTTTTTGACTCTGGTTATTTAGGAATTTGTTGCTTAATTTTCACCTATTTGTGAATTGGCCATTTCCTTCTGTTATTGATTTCTAATCTTATTCCACTATGGTCAGAGAATATACTCTGCATGCTTCCAATCTTTTAAAAATCTGTAAGACTTGTCTGGTAGCCTAACATATGGTTTATCCTGAAGAATGTTCCATGTGCATTTGGAAAGAATTTGTGTTCAGCTATTGTCAGGTGGAGTGTTCAATAGATGTTTGTTAGATACAGTCATTTCATAGTGTTGTTCAAGTCTTCTCATTTATTTTTCATCACATATCCAGTTATTGTATCTATTTCTCAAAATGGGGTATTGAAGTCTACTACTACTACTACTGTTCATTGCCTATTCTTCCCTTAAATTCTGACAGTTTTTGCTCCATATATTTTGGGACTCTGTTGTGGGGGTATATATATATATATATATATATATATATATATATTTATAACCAGTATATCTTTTTGATGGATAGACTCTTTTATCAGTATGAAATGTCCTCTTTGTCTCAGATAAAAATTTTGATCTTAAAGTCTATTTTGTCTGATGATTAGTATGGTCAGTTTAACTTTCCTTTGGTTACTATTTGTATGACATAGTTTTAGAAATCTTTTATGTTAAACCTATTTGTGTCTTTGAATCTAAAGTATCTTTTGTAGACAGCATATAATTAGTTGATGTTTTTAATCTGTTTCAACAAGTTCTTCATTTTAATTGAAGTGCTAAATCTACTTACTTTAATTGCAATTACTGATATGGTAAGATTTACTTTGGTCATTTTGCTATTTGTTTTCTATATATCTTATGTCTTTTTTCCCTCCATTGCTCCATTTATGCCTTCTTCATTCTAACCAGATATTTTCTAGTGAGGAATTTAAATTCTATTTCTTTTTCTTTTACCATTTCATTATAGTCATTTTCTTAGTCATTGTTCTGGGGATCAAAATTAATAATTTATAATAATCTAATTCTGATTAATATAAACTTGTTTCAATAATATGTAAAAATTTGGCCCTTATATACCTCCATTCACTCTTTCTTTGTTATGCTATTATTGTCACATAAATTACATAGTTATATATTGTATGCACATCAAGAGAAATTTATGATTATTGCTTTATACAGTTGTCCTTTAAATCACACAGAGAACAAACATTACAAACAAAAAATACATTTAACTGTCTTATATTTACCTGTATAGTTACCTTTTCCAGTGCCCTTTATTTCTTCATGTACATTCAAGTTACTGTCAAATATCCTTAAGGTGGCTGGGCGTGGTGGCTCGCACCAGTAATCCCAGCACTTTGGGAGGCGGAGGCAGGTGGATCACTTGAGGTCAGGAGTTTGATACCAGCCTGGCCAACATGGGGAAGCCCCATCTCTACTAAAAATACAAAAGTTAGCCTGGCATGATGGCACATGGCTTGTAATCCCAGCTACTTGGGAGGCTGAGTCAGGAGAATCTCTTGAACCCATGAGGAGGAGGTTGTGGTGAGCCGAGATCATGCCACTGCACTCCATCCTGGGCGACAAAACAAGACTCCATCTCAAAAAAAAAATCCTTAAGGATATCAGCCTTAGGACTTCCTTTATTATTTCTTATAGGGTAGATTTACTTGCAATGAATTATCTGTTTTTTTTTTAATCTAAGAATGTCTTAATTTCTCCTTCAGTTTTGAAGGATACCTTTGCCAGTTACAGAACTGTTCGTCAACTGTATTTTTCTTTCAGCACTTTGAATTTCTCATCCTTTCCTTTTGGCCTCCATGACTTCTGATTAGAAATCAACTATTGTATTTAGGATCTACTGTGTATGATAAGTCACTTCTCTTTTATTGCTTTCAAGATTGTCTCTTCTGCATTGGCTTTTGACAGTTTGATTATGGTGTATCTAGTTTGGAACCCTTTGAGTTTATCCTGCTTGAAGTTTGTTGAACTTCATGGATGTGTATATTATTTTTCATCCATTTCAAGATGTTTTTGGCCATTATTTCTTTGGCTATTTTTTCTATTTTTTCTCTCTCTCCTTTGCTTTTGGTACTCCCATTGTATGTTGGACAAATTATGTATCGCACAGGTCTGAAGTTCTCTTCTATATTCTTTATTATTTTTATTTGTGTTAATCAGAATGGAATATCTCAATTGATCTCTCTTCAAGTTTGTTGATTCTTCTTCTGCATGCTCAAATATGCCATTGAGCTTCACTATTGAATTTTTTATTTCTGTTATTGTACTTTTCAACTTGAGAATTTCTATTTTATTCTTTTTCATAACTTCTCTTTACTAATTTCTCAATTTGATAAGACATTTTCATGCATTAATTATTTGGGCATGATTTCTTTCATTTCTTTTAAAGTATTTATAATAGCTGATTTAAAATTATTGTCTAATAAATGCAAAATCTAGGCTTCATCAAAGAACATTTCTATTGACTGCCTTCTTTTCCTATGCATAGCTCATACTTTCTCGTTTATTTGCTTGTCTTGTATTTTATATTGTTGAAAACTGGACATTATAAATAATATAATGTGATAATTTTGAAAATCATATTCTCTCTCGGCCAGGATTTTTTGTTGTTGCTGTTTGTTGCTGTTACTGTTGTTTGCTTGTTTAGCAACTTTTGTAAACATTTCCACAATACCACTTCCAAAAAATACAGAAGAGGAGAGAATGCCTCCCAACTCATCCTATGAGACCACTATTAAATTGACACTAAAATCAGACAAAATTATCAAAAGAACAGAAATCTAAAGACTAATATCTCTTATGAACGTAGACATAAAAATCCTAAACAAAATACAATTTGAATGTAGCAAAATATTTAGAAATTACATACCATGACCAGATAGGATTTATCCCAAGAATGGAATGTGTATGTGTATATCAGAACATCACATTGTATACCATATATATATATATATATATATATATAATTTTTTAAGAATAAATAAAGATAACCCTCCCAACTTAGCTATTCTACAGCAGAAAACATTAATGTCAGCACTCCTTACACCATCCAGGAATAGAATGCATAGATTTGCCTTTGAGGTGCCAATGCTTTAATAGGGGCTGGTCATTCAACCTGCTATGGTGGGTTTATGGCAAACATCAGAATGCATATGTTTTCTTAAATTTCAGTGGAAAATACTTCTGTGTATATGTTACCTACTAAAATGTCTCCAAATCATAGAAAGTCTAAGTTGGCCACTACAGAAAGTGTTATAGGTGCCTTGGATACAAAAATCTACAGTAACTCATCACACTTATGAATAATCAATCCAACTAGAGTTTGGGGAATATACTATGAAATCACAGAGGAAAAGGACAGTTGACCCAGCTAGTATCTCTGTCAGACCTCTGTAATGGAATGATTCCAACTCAAGATATCTCAGTGTCTTTTTTACCAAGTTTGGACTTCCACAGTAATACACCCAATCAATTCCCCTTTTTCAGAGTCCAGTGCCTGTCAATAAAACACAATTGAAAGCAATTTAGCATCAAGGTCTATTGGTAGTCTTGCCCTGACTGCAATGACCATTAGCACATGTATGAGACTTGAAGAGAGCTCTGATGTAGGTCTTCCCAGTCAAATGGCACCCAAAGGGTTCCCTTGAGACCCTGGAATTTTGCTCCCTCAGGCTTTGCTCCAAAATCTGTGGGGGCTATCCAAAAGAATGTCAGTCAGCTTAGCCCAAGGGCTTTATTAAAAGATTAAAAGATTACAACACAAGTAGATGTTGGTTAGGGAGTCTCAACCCTCAGTGACCACATGACTTCAGGTGGTGCTAGAGAAAAGAAAAGTCTACCAAGGGGGAGAAAAAAAAAGAATAATTGTGATGGCCATCATATATTGGTGAAAATATAACTCTTCAAACTGTCTGCTCTCAGAGTGGTATTTAAGACACCTCTGTTTCCTTGCAAATCTTCAGAAACTTGCAGTATTGCCACATATACGCATACCACAGTCATTACCTCTTACTCAAAATTCTCTTCTTACTCATAAGGTCTGTTTTACATATTTCAAACCTTTTAATTCCCATGTTTCCTGTGAAATTTGTGCTTCACGGTATCCCGAAGTTGAATTGAAACTGGTCTGTTTATAGTAATACTGTCCTCTAATATGCAGTGTAGCCTACAGTAGAAACTGGCTACTCTCAAGGCAGTCTATTGCCTTGCATTCTCCATCGTATTGATCTCATGCCCTTCTTTACATATCCCTAGCAAGAGCTCAAAATATTTTTATCTCTGAGCCATAGGAGTGTTTATTGCTTTTTTCCCTTGAATTGTGTGCCAAAAACTGATTTATTTATACTAACTAGTGACTGCATCAGTGACAGAAACTTAAGCACATAACCTTGGTTAGTCCTATTATATTGTAACTCAAGTACCCTCTTATTTTACTGTCCTCATTACCTCCTCTGGAGATAGTATGAGTGCTATCTATCCCAGATTACATTAACCCTGCTTGTATTTCAGGATACTAGAGAGGATCCTCTCCAGCCTTGGAAGAAGAATGTTCCAAAGAGAACAGGTAAGAGTTAGGGAAGGATGTGCACTTTTGCTATGCTTAGTGAGAAGACTGAAATGTAATGGTGAAGATTTAGACTTATAAATGAGACTTTTTTTTGTCACTATTTCAGTTAAAATCCCAAAGCTGAAGATAGTAAGATTGGACTACCTCTCCACACACATATTCTTTAAAAAGCATCAAGCAGCTGCTAGACACCCACTCCAAGGCTTTCTAACAGATATTTTAACTGCTCTTGTAAACCTAACCCCACTCCCACTCCAGCTGAGCTACATGGAAGAAATATGTTAAATTAAATTAATTCATATGGGTAGTGAGTGGTGGGGAAGATTAGGGGCTTTTTCTACAGTCTGGATATTGCCCTAGGCTAAGAGACCAGAGAAATGGAAAGAAAGAATTATGTAGGTAACGAAAGCATAGGCCCTGCATCTGATTCTCAAAGGTGGGAATAGTGAGGTCTCATGACCCCAGAAAGGAAATGGCTATGGGGTATGTGTCCTAGTGATGAACACAAGAATCCTTATAAAATACTAGTATTCCAAATGTGGAATAGAAACAATAGAAAGACTACCATGCAGGCACTGGGCAACAGCTCTCTGCTGGACCCTATAAATCACCAAGTACAGATAGTAGCAAAAAGACAATGGCAATTTGTGTGAACTAACAGTCAATAATCAGGTGGCTCCACCTTTCTCTCTCCCCAATGCTTTGGTATTGTGTAAGACCTCACTTGAAGGAATGCCAATTACTCAAACTGATTCTTGGGTGGGTGTAGACTTTAATGAAGACAACAACATTTTTACTTGGAGTAATAGGGAAGAGAATGTTATAGGAGGGGCTCCAGGCACATTTTGAGCACCATCAGGAGAACCACTGGGGCTGGGAAAGACACTATACTAGAGTCTAAGGATTCTTCTGAGAAAGAATTATGTAAGCAGAATCAAGATAAACAAGTTTGATTCAATAGAAATAGACCAGTGTTTGAACACAGAAGGAATGTAAATTTTAAGTATAGCATGGTATATATCAGATTGAATTTTATTCCCAGCCTCAGAGACCTAAGTCTGAATCTTTAGCAAAGAAGTTGCAGTAAACAGAGCAAATCACCATAAGATATTGCAAGCCAAAGAATCAGCAGCATTGGTACCAAGAGCTTTGGCAGTAATATGATGTATTACCTTATATGCAGGTTAAGTACTCTAAGTACAAGCATCTGCAGCAGTCTGAAAGAGGGATTCATCATCAGTAATACTGCCTTGGTCCAACAAAGAGTTTAGGCATTGGTGTTCTCAGTGAAAGCATCAGCATCCTGAAGCCATCTGTGGAGAGCAGTAGCAAAAGACATCTTTAAGTAGATAGTGACAGAGATTGACTGAAATCCTTTAGAAGGATATTGTTGCAAAAGCTACAAACTGGGTAAATTAGTCAAAAAGTTCACATTAAGATCCTATTTTGCTACTCCCAGTACATTTCAAATACATTTCACCATCCTAGTCAAGGCAAACAAGAAGTGGGGGCAAGGATGACAAAATGGCTGCTGAATGGACAATTGCAATGAAGCAGATCAAGAAAGAGAAATAGACTTTGTAGTAACAGGAAGAACAGGAAGTGGTAGCTAGATGTAGTAACACTCTATGTAAGATTCCAAAGTTAACTGCAGAATTCCATCAGATTTATATATGGGATTTGTTGTGTATCTAGTTCCCCAACCCCCACCTACATATATCCCAGCCCCATTGTTTATGGCAAGACCATGTGGAGATAAAGACTTTTTTGTCTGGAATAACCATCATTATCTTATCTCCCTACATTGCCCCTATTTAATAGGAACATTGAGTTAGGAGGTAAAGAAAGTCAATTAATCAATAAGCATCAATGGCGTCAGGTATGACAACATCAGAGCAAAGGAATACTGGGAAACCTAAAGAAGAGTAAAAAGAGATTTAACTAAGGAGAACTTTTACCATTCCTATGAGGAAAGGAGAGACCAATAAAACAACCTGCTTGTTTTAACATTGCAATTGTGTCTATCTTGACCTTAAGCTAAATGTAAAGGTAGAAAATACTCAAGGATTCCCACTTCGGAGAGTCTGTGGACAAAGATCGACTTTGCTCATTGTTTAAGCAGGAAGTACTTTCAGCCCCACAGGCCAAAAATTTAGTATAAATAATGTTATTGAAACATTTGAAATCTGCCAACACTGCCAACATGACTGATAAAAAAAGTCTCCAATTAAAGGGCTTTCGCTCTCAGGCACTGTTTTCATTGACATTATTACTGCACTGGCTGATGACACATATATGAGGAATAAATTTTTTTCAAATTAAAAATTGGGACAGATGGTCTATCAAGATTTTCTTTTCTGATTTGTTAATGAACATTCTTACCAATGAATAAGAAATAAATCACATTTAGTCAAACATTCACATTTCCTTTATTTAAAATAAAATAGAAAAACTTGGAACTATTCCAGAAATAGCTGCATGTATTTTGTACTTATTTGTACAATTAATATACTGGTAACTATTTCAGCTGTACTTCAACTAGCATCCTAGGATTTCCCAAGCCTTCGCCTTTCTATGCTATGTGACCTGCCACAAAACCCAACCATTTATTTTGTTTGTAGCTGCTGAGTTCTGCTATAGAAAGTTGGCTCCACTAGAAATGTATGTCATTTAATCTCAATTCAGCCTTCAATACGGCTTGGCAATTCCTTATTCATCCCTATGTTGATGCCCCTCAGCAGCTGATAAAAAGTGTTTTATTTTTCATAAGCTCTCAATCCTCAAATGAGAAAACCAAAGGAAGAAAACAGAACAATTGTTTTTACAAAGTATGATTCAAGAACACTTCTCTGAAATAGAATTTAAAACTTCAGGTTAAAAGGGGAAATTAACCTAGGCAAATTAACCAACACAGAGACACATTCTAGTAAAATTACTGGACTTTAAAGGAAAAAAATCAATAAAAGGACCAAAATAACTAATAAAAGAGAGAAAACAAGATTATCAGACTTTGACAACAAATCTTTTTATGTCAGCAGAAAATGGGATAGCATATTTAACAAGCCCAAGGAAAGAAAATGTGAGCCAAAGATTTTATGACCAACCTGAGTTCAAGTAAAAATGCCAAGACAAGTTTATCAACATGTGAGAACTCAGGAAATACTGTTCCTGCAAGTTTTTCCTGATTTTACAGAATGAGCTTCTAATAACCAAAACACCTGGTGAAATATCATCAACCTAAAGACTGATGGTATTAATCATTACTGGCAGCTAACATAAGAGAAAAGAGAGGTAACCCAAAATTTTGTACCTCCAAATAGATCACACCACTATGAAGTCAAGAGGAAAAAAAATCAACTCAAATTTGGTTCAGCCTATAGAACTAACTACCAAGTTACAAGAAGTACAGGACAGAGTAACTTATTAAACTACAACAAGAGACTCCACCAAGCAAAGTCAAGACTCTAAGAAACTCTTGGGACAGGAGCCAAGATGGCCGAATAGGAACAGCTCCGGTCTACAGCTCCCAGCGTAAGCGACGCAGAAGACGGTGATTTCTGCATTTCCATCTGAGGTACCGGGTTCATCTCACTACGGAGTGCCAGACAATGGGCGCAGGTCAGTGGCTGCGCGCACCGTGTGCGAGCCGAAGCAGGGCGAAGCATTGCCTCACTTGGGAAGCGCAAGGGGTCAGGGAGTTCCCTTTCCGAGTCAAAGAAAGGGGTGACGGACGGCACCTGGAAAATCGGGTCACTCCCACCTGAATACTGTGCTTTTCAGACCGGCTTCAAAAACGGCGCACCACGAGATTATTTCCCGCACCTGGCTCGGAGAGTCCTACGCCCACGGAGTCTCGCTGATTGCTAGCACAGCAGTCTGAGATCAAACCACAAGGCGGCAGCGAGGCTGGAGGAGGGGCGCCCGCCATTGCCCAGGCTTGCTTAGGTAAACAAAGCAGCCAGGAAGCTCCAACTGGGTGAAGCCCACCACAGCTCAAGGAGGCCTGCCTGCCTCTGTAGGCTCCACCTCTGGGGGCAGGGCACAGACAAACAAAAAGACAGCAGTAACCTCTGCAGACTTAAATGTCGCTGTCTGACAGCATTGAAAAGAGCAGTGGTTCTCCCAGCACGCAGCTGGAGATCTGAGAATGGGCAGACTGCTTCCTCAAGTGGGTCCCTGACCCCTGACCCCTGAGCAGCCTAACTGGGAGGCACCCCCCAGCAGGGGCACACTGACACCTCACATGGCAGGGTATTCCAACAGACCTGCAGCTGAGGGTCCTGTCTGTTAGAAGGAAAACTAACAAACAGAAAGGACATCCACACCAAAAACCCATCTGTACATCACCATCATCAAAGACCAAAAGTAGATAAAACCACAAAGATGGGGAAAAAACAGAACAGAAAAACTGGAAACTCTAAAAAGCAGAGCGCCTCTCCTCCTCCAAAGGAACGCAGTTCCTCACCAGCAATGGAACAAAGCTGGATGCACAATGACTTTGACGAGCTGAGAGAAGAAGGCTTCAGACGATCAAATTACTCTGAGCTACGGGAGGACATTCAAACCAAAGGCAAAGAAGTTGAAAACTTTGAAAAAAATTTAGAAGAATGTATAACTAGAATAACCAATACAGAGAAGTGCTTAAAGGAGCTGATGGAGCTGAAAACCAAGGCTCGAGAACTACGTGAAGAATGCAGAAGCCTCAGGAGCCGATGTGATCAACTGGAAGAAAGGGTATCAGCAATGGAAGATGAAATGAATGAAATGAAGTGAGAAGGGAAGTTTAGAGAAAAAAGAATAAAAAGAAATGAGCAAAGCCTCCAAGAAATATGGGACTATGTGAAAAGACCAAATCTACGTCTGATTGGTGTACCTGAAAGTGATGGGGAGAATGGAACCAAGTTGGAAAACACTCTGCAGAATATTATCCAGGAGGACTTCCCCAATCTAGCAAGGCAGGCCAATGTTCAGATTCAGGAAATACAGAGAACGCCACAAAGATACTCCTCAAGAAGAGCAACTCCAAGACACATAATTGTCAGATTCACCAAAGTTGAAATGAAGGAAAAAATGTTAAGGGCAGCCAGAGAGAAAGGTTGGGTTACCCACAAAGGGAAGCCCATCAGACTAACAGCGGATCTCTCGGCAGAAACTCTACAAGCCAGAAGAGAGTGGGGGCCAATATTCAACATTCTTAAAGAAAAGAATTTTCAAACCAGAATTTCATATCCAGCCAAACTAAGCTTCATAAGTGAAGGAGAAATAAAATACTTTACCGACAAGCAAATGCTGAGAGATTTTGTCACCACCAGGCCTGCCCTAAAAGAGCTCCTGAAGGAAGCGCTAAACATGGAAAGGAACAACCAGTACCAGCCGCTGCAAAATCATGCCAAAATGTAAAGACCATCAAGACTAGGAAGAAACTGCATCAACTAACGAGCAAAATAACCAGCTAACATCATAATGACAGGATCAAATTCACACATAACAATATTAACTTTAATTGTAAATGGACTAAATGCTCCAATTAAAAGACACAGACTGGCAAATTGGATAAAGAGTCAAGACCCATCAGTGTGCTGTATTCAGGAAACCCATCTCATGTGCAGAGACACACATAGGCTCAAAATAAAAGGATGGAGGAAGACCTACCAAGCAAATGGAAAACAAAAAAGGCAGGGGTGGCAATCCTAGTCTCTAATAAAACAGACTTTAAACTAACAATGATCAAAAGAGACAAAGAAGGCCATTACATAACGGTAAAGGGATCAATTCAACAAGAAGAGCTAACTATCCTAAATATATATGCACCCAATACAGGAGCACCCAGATTCATAAAGCAAGTCCTGAGTGACCTACAAAGAGACTTAGACTCCCACACATTAATAATGGGAGACTTTAACACCCCACTGTCAACATTAGACAGATCAACGAGACAGAAAGTCAACAAGGATACCCAGGAATTGAACTCAGCTCTGCACCAAGCAGACCTAATAGACATCTCCAGAACTCTCCACCCCAAATCAACAGAATATACATTTTTTTCAGCACCACACCACACCTATTCCAAAATTGACCACATACTTGGAAGTAAAGCTCTCCTCAACAAATGTAAAAGAACAGAAATTGTAACAAACTATCTCTCAGACCACAGTGCAATCAAACTAGAACTCAGGATTAAGAATCTCACTCAAAACCGCTCAACTACATGGAAACTGAACAACCTGCTCCTGAATGACTACTGGGTACATAACGAAATGAAGGCAGAAATAAAGATGTTCTTTGAAACCAATGAGAACAAAGACACAACATACCAGAATCTCTGGGACACATTCAAAGCAGTGTGTAGAGGGAAATTTATAGCACTAAATGCCCACAAGAGAAAGCAGGAAAGATCCAAAATTGACACCCTAACATCACAATTAAAAGAGCTGGAAAAGCAAGAGCAAACACATTCAAAAGCTAGCAGAAGGCAAGAAATAACTAAAATCAGAACAGAACTGAAGGAAATAGAGACACAAAAAACCCTTCAAAAAATTAATGAATCCAGGAGCTGGTTTTTTGAAAGGATCAACAAAATTGATAGACTGCTAGCAAGACTAATAAAGAAAAAAAGAGAGAAGAATCAAATAGACACAATAAAAAATGATAAAGGGGATATCACCACCAATCCCACAGAAATACAAACTACCATCAGAGAATACTACAAACATCTCTAGGCAAATAAACTAGAAAATCTAGAAGAAATGGATAAATTCCTCGACACATACACCCTCCCAAGACTAAACCAGGAAGAAGTTGAATCTCTGAATAGACCAATAACAGGAGCTGAAATTGTGGCAATAATCAATAGCTTACCAACCAAAAAGAGTCCAGGACCAGATGGATTCACAGCCGAATTCTACCAGAGGTACAAGGAGGAACTGGTACCATTCCTTCTGAAACTATTCCAATCAATAGAAAAAGAGGGAATCCTCCCTAACTCTTTTTATAAGGCCAGCATCATTCTGATACCAAAGCCAGGCAGAGACACAACAAAAAAAGATAATTTTAGACCAATATCCTTGATGAATATTGATGCAAAAATCCTCAATAAAATACTGGCAAAACAAATCTAGCAGCACATCAAAAAGCTTATCCACCATGATCAAGTGGGCTTCATCCCTGGGATGCAAGGCTGGTTCAATATACACAAATCAATAAATGTAATCCAGCATATAAACAGAGCCAAAGACAAAAACCACATGATTATCTCAATAGATGCAGAAAAAGCCTTTGACAAAATTCAACAACCCTTCATGCTAAAAACTCTCAATAAATTCGGTATTGATGGGACGTATTTCAAAATAATAAGAGCTATCTATGACAAACCCACAGCCAATATCATACTGAATGGGCAAAAACTGGAAGCATTCCCTTTGAAAACTGGCACAAGACAGGGATGCCCTCTCTCACCACTCCTATTCAAAATGGTGTTGGAAGTTCTGGCCAGGGCAATTAGGCAGGAGAAGGAAATAAAAGGTATTCAATTAGGAAAAGAGAAAGTCAAATTCTCCCTGTTTGTAGACGACATGATTGTATATCTAGAAAACCCCATCATCTCAGCCCAAAATCTCCTTAAGCTGATAAGCAACTTCAGCAAAGTCTCAGGATACAAAATCAATGTACAAAAATCACAAGCATTCTTATACACCAACAACAGACAAACAGAGAGCCAAATCATGAGTGAACTCCCATTCACAATTGCTTCAAACAGAATAAAATACCTAGGAATCCAACTCACAGGTGATGTGAAGGACCTCTTTAAGGAGAACTACAAACCACTGCTCAAGGAAATAAAAGAGGATACAAACAAATGGAAGAACATTCCATGCTCATGGGTAGGAAGAATCAATATCGTGAAAATGGCCATACTGCCCAAGATAATTTACAGATTCAATGCCATCCCCATCAAGCTACCAATGCCTTTCTTCACAGAATTGGAAAAAACTACTTTAAAGTTCATATGGAACCAAAAAAGAGCCCGCATCACCAAGTCAATCCTAAGCCAAAAGAACAAAGCTGGAGGCATCACACTACCTGACTTCAAACTATACTACAAGGCTACAGTAACCAAAACAGCATGGTACTGGTACCAAAACAGAGATATAGATCAATGGAACAGAACAGAGCCCTCAGAAATAATGCAGCGTATCTACAACTATCTGATCTTTGACAAACCTGAGAAAAACAAGCAATGGAGAAAGGATTCCCTATTTAATAAATGGTGCTGGGAAAACTGGCTAGCCATATGTAGAAAGCTGAAACTGGATCCCTTCCTTACACCTTATACAAAAATCAATTCAAGATGGATTAAAGACTTAAATGTTAGACCTAAAACCATAAAAACCCCAGAAGAAAACCTAGGCATTACCAATCAGGACATAGGCATGGGCAAGGACTTCATGTCTAAAACACCAAAAGCAATGGCAACAAAAGACAAAATTGACAAATGGGATCTAATTAAACTAAAGAGCTTCTGCACAGCAAAAGAAACTACCATCAGAGTGAACAGGCAACCTACAAAATGGGAGAAAATTTTCACAACCTACTCATCTGACAAAGAGCTAATATCCAGAATCTACAATGAACTCAAACAAATTTACAAGAAAAAAACAAACAACCCCATCAAAAAGTGGGCAAAGGACATGAACAGACACTTCTCAAAAGAAGACATTTATGCAGCCAAAAAACACATGAAAAAATGCTCACCATCACTGGCCATCAGAGAAATGCAAATCAAAACCACTATGAGATACCATCTCACACCAGTTAGAATGGCAATCATTAAAAAGTCAGGAAACAACAGGTGCTGGAGAGGATGTGGAGAAATAGGAACACTTTTACACTGTTGGTGGGACTGTAAACTAGTTCGACCATTGTGGAAGTCAGTGTGGTGATTCCTCAGGGATCTAGAACTGGAAATACCATTTGACCCAGCCATCCCATTACTAGGTATATACCCAAAGGACTATAAATCATGCTGCTATAAAGACACATGCACACGTATGTTTATTGCGGCATTATTCACAATAGCAAAGACTTGGAACCAACCCAAATGTCCAACAATGATAGACTGGATTAAGAAAGTGTGGCACATATACACCATGGAATACTATGCAGCCATACAAAATGATGAGTTCATGTCCTTTGTAGGGACAGGGATGAAATTGGAAATCATCATTCTCAGTAAACTATCGCAAGAACAAAAAACCAAACACTGCATATTCTCACTCATAGGTGGGAATTGATCAATGAGATCACATGGACACAGGAAGGGGAATATCACACTCTGGGGACTATTGTGGGGTGGGGGGAGGGGGGAGGGATAGCATTGGGAGATATACCTAATGCTAGATGATGAGTTAGTGGGTGCAGCGCACCAGCATGGCACGTGTATACATATGTAACTAACCTGCACAATGTGCACATGTACCCTAAAACTTAAAGTATAATAATAAATAAATAAATAAATAAATAAATAAATAAATATTAAAAAAAAAGACTTCTACCACTTCTGTCTAGTAGAGCTTGCCTCCACCCTGCCCCAGCATTCTCCTCATGCTAGAAGTCTCTCTCATTCTCCCATTTTCTTTTTCCACCAAAGTTGCACAATGAGACAAAATTAATGCCTGTCACAGCCACATAGTCATTTCAATAAACCTGTAGTATACAGTGCAGCTTATCTGGCCATGTGTTTGGTGATGACTTTTGCCTGCCTATTTCTTCAGATAAGCATTTTCTTATATGGACCAGACAACACAAACAACTAGTCTAGAAACAAACATCACTATGATTACTTTGGGATGAGACTTTTTGTCCTCTTCTTTCAAATCAGCATTTACCATATATGATCAGACCCATGACTAACTTGTCCAGGAACTTATCTCACTGGAATCAATTTTTGTGTTAGCATTTTCCTCCTCCCTCTTCAGAGAAGCATTTACTCATAAGGATTAGACAATATAAATAACTAGTCTAGGAACAAATATCACTTCATGTAATTTTGGGAGTAGCTTTTTCGCCTCTCTTTCTTCAGAGAAGGGATTGTTTATGTGGATTAGACACCTGACTAACTCATCCAGAATTCAATATCACTATGATTAATTTTGGTGATTTCACCCTCTTCCTTCAAATAAGCACTCATGATTATGTATGATAATCGGTCTCTCCCTGTGCTGCTATAACAAAATACCTGAGACTGGGTAATTTATAAACAGGAAAAACTTATTTTCTCACAATTCTGGAGGCTGGTAAGTCAAAGATCAAGGAAATGGCCATTGGTTGTCAGCTGAGGGCTGCTTTTTCCTTCCAAGATGGTACCTTATTACTATATCTTTCAAAGGAGAGGAATATTGTGTCCTCATGTGGCAAAAGGTGAAAGGGAAAAAGATCTAAACACTGCATGAAGCCTTTTTTTAAGGGCTTAATCTCATTCATGAGGGGAGGAGACCTCATCACCCAATCACCTCTTAAAAGTCCTACCTCTTAATACCATCACATTGGCCATTAAGTTTTAACACCTGAATTTTGAAGGGAACATACTCAAACCATGACACTCCCCATCCAGAAAGAGCCTCTGATAGGCTCTGCATTTTTTCAATAGCTCTTTTCCAGAAAGTTCTGTCCTCATCCCTCTACTCTCATAGAAACACTCAAGGACAGGGACTTAATTTGGTTATCCTTCAACCAAATACATCTGACTTTGTCTACCATCATTTGATTCTTCCAGGATGTTCTCTTTTCATGCCCTTGACACTGCAGAAATTCCCAGAGAAGGGGAGTTATACTCAATTCTTCAATCAATCGCTTTCTTAGCCTACTCCTGAAATTTTCCTTAGACCATCCCTTGCAGCCAATCCTACTTAAGATTTTCCTTGTCCCATAGGCCAAGTGGTCTGGCCTCCCCTTCAGAATCCTGAGCCAAAACAATGCCCTGATGGGATCCCACTCAGGAGTTGTAGCAATGGCAACAGATGGCTGCATCTAGGGTGAGGAATCAAATGGGCACTGTCCAGTAGTTGGCTCTCCCTTAGGACACGCATGTGGCTGGACATATAGGTTCTGGGGAGTATGCCATGGTCACAGTTCTCCAGAGGAGCTACTGAAAAGAGGTAGGTCTGAGGCCTGACCTCTAGTGACTCTTTCTTCTGGTTTCCTTCATGTCTCTGTCAGTTCAGCTCAAAAGCTCTCTCCACTCATCCAGATTATACAATAGCTCCCCAAAGTAGTACCCTAATGAAATGTGTAAGTAATGATGACTTATTTTATTCTCCTTCCGCAAAATAGTCTCATTCTCAGCATAAGCAGGAATAATATTTTCATTAACCAAAATGTGGGGCATATGTTTTATAATTAAGAACTTATAGCCAGAGAATTTGGGATTGTGGCTGCTTTTGGGAAATCCAGAGCTTTTGGTTTCCAGGAAGTAGATCTAGGCTAGATTTTTGGAGGAAACTAAAATCTACTTCACCAAAATAAAAATAACTCAGTCAGCTGAACTTTATTAGATGTCCAAGTGATCAATGATACACACTATCAGATCAGACCTTCCATTTTCCCTTTCCTCAAGAGGATGACAGGGATTGTTCCACCTCCAAAATGTTATATAAGAGTCCCAGAATTTTCCTTAAATGTGAGTACTATACTAGCTGGAAGCAGGGATTCTGATGACTAAACAATGTGAACACCAAGTAAAAATGTTCCAGATGATTATTTATTAGATATACAAGTTTATTCATACACAGCAAGTGACCATAAATACACACTGCAAATATTTCCAAATAATGTCTTGTACAGGCACCATGATGGGTGACAAGAGCTATGAACTGGTAATCAAGAAATCCAGGACAGGGTGCAGTGGCTTCTGTCTGTAATCCCAATGCTTTGAAGACTGAGGTGGGAGGATCACTTGAGGCCAGGAGATTGAGACCAGCCTGAGTAACATGGCATGACCCCACCTCTACAAAAATTTTTTTTAATTAAATGGATGTGGTGGGCCGGGTGCAGTGGCTCACACCTGTAATCCCAGCACTTTGGGAGGCCAAGGCGGGCAGATCACCTGGTCAGGAGATCGAGACCATCCTGGCTAACACGGTGAAACTCCGTCTCTACTAAAAATACAAAAAATTAGCTGGATGTGGTGGCGGACGCCTGTAGTCCCAGCTACTCGAGAGGCTGAGGCAGGAGAATGGCGTGAACCCGGGAGGCGGAGCTTGCAGTGAGCTGAGATCGCACCATTGCACCCCAGCCTGGGTGGCAGAGCGAGACTCCATCTCAAAAAAATAAAATTAATAAAATTTAAAAAAATTAAATGGACATGGTGACAAGTGCCTGTAGTCCCAGTTACTTGGGAGGCTGAGGCAGGAGGATCGCTTGAACCCAGGAGCTCAAGGCTACAGTGAGCTATGATTGCACCACTGCACTCCAGCCTGGGTGAAAGAGCAAGAACTTGTATGAAAGAAAGGAAGAAAGAAAGAAAGGAAAGAAAGAAAGAAAGAAAGAAAGAAAGAAAGAAAGAAAGAAAGAAAGAAAGAAAGAAAGAAAGAAAGAAAGAAAGAAAGGAAGGGAAAGAAAGAGAGAAAGAAAGAAAGAATCTAGGCTTTACCACTCACTAGCTGTCATCTTAAATCAGTGTACCATGCTTGAAGAAGGTTACGTAAAAATCTTTGCCAATTCTACAAAGGATTAAAGCCTGAACCTTTGCAGTTTTCAGGATATTACAGAAAAGAGAATAGCAATAATTTGGTGAAAAAAAATATTTCTTAGCTCTATTAGTTCTCTTCATGTCTAGGAATATCTGGAATATTCCAAAGGCATCTCAAAGGAAGAGTAATGTTTCTTTCTCCAGAATAAGAAAGATGTCATGGTCTATACTGTTACCTTTACTAAAATACAAATGTCCACTTTACTCAATGGAACCCAGAATGAGGTTCTGGCATTTTTCTCTTTTATCCTGAACCAAACATGTGCTGGTAAGTATTTAACAACTGGCTTTCCAGGGGGAAAGTAGATCTTTGTCTGTAGCATTAACATATTTATATGGTGTAAAAATCTGCCACCATGGCTGATTTTATGCCACTTATCTTAGTCTCTTTTGCTGCTGCTATAACAGAATACCGTAGACTGTGTAATTTATATAAGCTTATTTGACTCGCAGTTCTGGAGGCTGGGAAGTCTAACAGTGAGGAGCTGCATCTGATGAGGACCTTCTTGCTGCATCATCCCATGGTGGGAAGGCAGAAAGACACAAGAGCACACACAAGTGAGAAGAAGGCTGAACTCATCCTTTTATCAGGAACCCACTCCTGTGATAATGACATTAATCCATTCATGAGGACAGAGCCCTCATGACCTAATCACTTCTTAAAGGTCTCACCTCTCAGCACTGTTGCACTGGGGATTAAGTTTCCAACATGTGAACTTTGGAGGATATATTCAAGCCATAGCACCACCAAAGTGATGTCACTGAATGCAGAGTTAAGAAGAGATACACAGGATTAGCTCTAACAAAATGATGTGAGCCAGCCAGATCTCTGATAAGAAATGTAATCTATGCAAAAAAGAAGACAAAATTAAAAGGATAATGAACAATATCTTCCAATTGTGAAGGGCTGTCATAAAAGGTGATGTTTACTCATTCTCTAATTCAATGATATACAAAACAGTTGTAGGGGATGAGTGATTGGCATAGAACTCAGAAATTAGAGATAGTCAAGTTGGATTCAAGTCCTGAATCTGTCATTACTAACTTGGGCAAATCGCTTGACATTTTGGGGCTTTAGAATCCTCATCTAGAATAACTTAATATGATAGCACTTGCAGAGTTCTAAGAACACTGTCTGGCATACTCAATAAAATGTTAGCTCTTATTATCATAACGATCATCATCATCGTCTGCAGAATTGATATAAAAAAGCTAACTGGTCAACTTTCCTCAGAGGTTTTGAAAATTGAAATACTGCATGTAAAGTAATTTGTAATCTATAAACACTATCCAATCTGATATAGTTTTCCATTATTACTTACTTAGCTCAGAGATATAAAACTGAAGGGATTCTTAAGGGAAATGTATATTAACTTTTTCTAGAGAGCTTTAAAAATAAGAGAGAATCTCATTGTACATGAAGAATCCTGTCACAGTCACAATCAGAAGGGAGTTTGTTATACTTTAGAGATCATCTGATCCAAGCACTCATCATATAGATGTGAAAATAGTTGACAAAATTTAAGTAACTTATCTAAGAAGTTAGCAACAAAGTAAGGACTAGTATCTAGGTCATTTGACTCATTGTATTCTTTCCGTCAAGCACATAACAATATTGGACTCTACAGTTGCTTGCAGGTCCTGCTGTCTAGCCAGCCACAGAGGGATGTTAAATAGCAAAATGTTATTATCCTTATCCTGACACCAGAAATTAGTGGAAGTTTGGACATATATTATACGCTTAATTCAGTATCAAGGTTTGGGGTTCACACCCATCATTATTTTCTCACAAGTAGTGAAAGTGAGGCATCTCTGTTAATTTAAGTCTTTATTTTAATTATTCTGGGGCTACACTTTGCCTGTTTTCTTCAGAGGCAAAAGAAAAGGCCCCCTGGTCCACTAGGGTCCAAAGCGTAAGCTTGTCCAAAAAGTCCATCACTTCCCAGGGCTTCAGTTTCCTCATATGTAAAGATAGATTGTTTAATTAGATTAATCAATTTTCAGTTTGAAAAGCAGTTATTTAGTACCTACTCGGTGGCAAATGTTGTGCTAGACACTCGTGCTATATACCAACAGGAGACCAACAAGCCCCTATCTCTGTTGAGATTAAAAGTCCAGTAAGGAAGCAGACACACCCATTATATTACAAGTGTAGCTGTGTTACCATTTGTGCAATAATAGCAATATCTACACGGTGCCACAGAGGAGACAATAACCACCGGTAATGTGGCAGATTTCAAAAAGCGGGTAATGTTTTAGCTAGATCTTGAAGTATGTGTAGTAGTTTCATAGGTGAAGAATTTGCAATAGAGCATTCCAGGCAGGAGAAACAGCATTCACAAAGGTAAAGAAGCATCAAAGTGCCTGGTAGGTTTGGGTAATATCAAGAAATTTGAAGTGACCAGAATTGAGAGTGTCTAGTAATGGTAGCAGTTAACATTTATTGAGCATTTCGTATGAACCAGGAACTGTTCTGTAATCAGTAAAAAAAAAAAAAAAAAAAAAAAAGAGAGAGAGATATTTTGCTTTCTTTTAAAACTGATAGTATTTTACATTTACTCTACATCTCAATTAAAACCAAACACATTTCAGATGCTCAAAAGCCGTTTGCAGTTTGTGACTGTTATATTGGACAATCCAGCCTAAGTGAAACTTTTTGTTGTGCTCTAGTGTTTTTGTTATTGTGGTTTTTGTTGCTCTTTTTTCGTTTCGTTTTGTTTTGTTTTCTGTTTCTACAATCACAGTTCACATGGTCATCCAAGGTGATTCCCTGTGGACTCGGAAAACTCAGAGATTCCCTAACCAACCTATTATGTAGTCTTAAAATGTACTACCCTTTGGGTCAGGTTAATTGACCTTTTTCTGGGCTGCTTTGGAATTTTTGAGCTTATCCAGTAGGCAAGTGAATGCATTATCTGTGCCTCAGTATAAGCTTAATAGCAAGAGATATGCAGGTGATTACTTCATCAGCACATAGTGGTAGTTGAAACCATGGGAATGGATGAGGTCAGCCACAGAACATGTGTATACACTGCAGAATGAGAAGACAAGTGGACTGAGGGTCTCAGAGAAGCAACCAACACTCAAGGGGAGAGCAAAGGAAGAGAAATGGTCAAAAAATTAGGAGCAGAGCCAGGAACAGAGTGGTATCTCAGGAGACAAGGAAGGAGAATCTTTAAAGACAGGAATAGGCAACCATATTGAAACTTCCTTTGCAAAAATTATAACAGTGAGAAAATTATGGTAGTAAAGGAGATCTGATCTAACCAACCCCTCATCTTGCTTTGAGCCTTCAAGCTGCCCTTAATTATTCCTGGCCTTGGGCCAAGCTAACTTCGGGATACATTTAGTTTATAGTTTAAATAATAATAGCACTTCCTCAAAATGCAACTGCCTTTGAAAAGTTAAGGAGAGACCACCAGGCTAAGAGGATAAGAGGAGCCTGAATTCTGCCAAGGTATTGACATAAATGATTACTCACCATTATTCCAGAAGCTACAAGATATGCAACTTCCCCAATTACTCCTGCAGATAACATAATTATTGTAGAACCTAAGATTGGCCTTTTGAGATGTCTTTTCAGGTTTGTTGCATGTCTGATAACCAATGGCTCCACCTGGACCTGCCAACTGCTCCTGTGGTCCCACCCAAAAGTGACTCAGTGGGCATGAGAACCATTTCTTATGCCCCTATGATTGCATCCCCAACCAACTGGCAACAAGCACCCATTGCCTGGCCACCCCACCTCTCTTCCCCCCAACTATCCTTGAAAAACCCTAGCCTCCAAATTTTCAGGGAGGCTGATTTGATTTAGCCAGCTCTACATGTGTGAAACTCTTTCTCTATTGCAATTCCCCTGTCTTGATAAATCGGCTCTATGTGGGCAGCAGGCAAAATGAACCCATTGGGTAGTTACAATATCAACTGCTGTAGAGAGGTCATGATGATTAAGAAGTTTATCAGCTCTATCATTATACAATTCCATAATCATTAGCGAATGTGTTTTTAAAGAGAAAAAAGTCAAATGTGTTAAAGAAAGTAAAGATGATGTATCCCCCATGAAACTGCCTGCATTAAAATTTTCATTTTAGCTAAAAGCTCCCTCTTGTGTCCAGAATGGAGATTTTCTTGAGAGTTGATGAAAAGGCTTTAAAAACATCTGCTGATGTATATCTTTCGTAATATTCTTTTGTAATATTAATTTTTGCCAATAAATATGTATTAATTTTATAATCAAACAGAAACAATATAACGAAATTTTTAAAACAAGATGGTGTTTTTGCTCTAGACTTAGGGCTTCTGTAGAAAGTCATCATGTGAACACAAAAAATTCCAGTAAGTATCTGATACCTTTTTCAAAGGAGTAGCGAAAGTTCTTTGAGAGTCAGTAACTTCTGGGAAAGACTAACATGTTTAACAATCAGCTCAGGTGATTCAGATTCATACTACAGTTTGAAAACTATGTCTTTATGCCCTCAAGCTATCATGTCTCCACTAAAAGTAGAAAAGAAAAAAGTCCTCCCTTAGAAGAATCCAGCAGATCTGTAAGGCTGACAGTCCAGACACAGAGAGTAGAGTACCAGTGGAAGTTGCCGGAAGCAGAGGCGCTAGCTTTGTTTGTTTCACTGTTGGAGGCTCTGGGAAATTAGGGAAAGAACAGAGTCCTAGGAAGCTAGAGGACTAGGGGCTAATATCAGCTCTGCCTCTAAATGGCTGCATGTGTAACCTTGCACAAGGCACTTCCTTTTCCAGGTCTCAGATTTTCCTTTGATGGGACCCTTCTAATTCATGATCTAAGAGTCACACCACGAAAGAGGCAAGACTGTAAAGCAGGCAATGTCTCCCATCCTCTCATCTTACCTGTTTTCACGGCTACTATCCCCATGGAAGCCCAAGGTCCTGATGCCACCCACCCTAAACTGTTGAGTACTCTCTACTTCAACACCTTGTGCAAATGAAAAGCAACTTGGACCAGCCTCCTCCCCATGTTGAAGTGTATCTGGCAAACAAGAAACAGTTAACAGTGGTCCAGTGGTTACATTTTCAAAAGGATCTAAGGGTTGTTGCGGAGGAGGGAGTAGAGACCTTTTGTTGTATACTTGTTGTTAGGTATGGGTTGAGTTTTTGTTTGTTTGTTTTTACCATGTATACATTGTATGTGTACAAGTATGCATGTTCATATATGGGTGTTAAGCAACAACATACTTTGCCTGCCAATTGAAATTCCTTGCTCTCATAGCCAAACACAGTTGAGAAAAGTGAATTCCCAGTGAGTTTTTACTGATACCATACAATGGTAGAATAATATATACAGTCCAGGAGCATTGCCATTGCTACATGGGACTCAAACAAATTTCTTACGAAAAGGAGTTTATTTGACATTATGGGCTAGTTACCGTGCTAGGTCCTAGAATGAGAACCTAGGGTGAGCTGATTCCAAAGCCTGTCTTATCTTCATTATATCATGTATTTTTCTTGACTCCACAGTAAGGAATGGAAAGGCTGTGGCTAAAAGAAAGATCACATATTTAATGCATTGCTGAGTGGAGAAACAGGGAAAAGCAAATTAGGTAGGTGTGGAGCCTGGGGACACTAGTATTCAAGTTTTCTTCAGTGGTTCCTCTTCCTTATTTCTCCCTCTTCTTCTTTTTTCCAGGTCTTTCATTTCTTCACCTTTTCTTCCCTTTTCTTCTCCTTTTCTTCCCTTTTCTTCTTTTCTCTTTTTGTCAAAGACTGTAAAAGAAAAATTTCTCTTACCCTCATCTCCTACAAGCAGAGATCAATAGAGTGGCAATAGCAATAGGGACTTAGCGCTGATTAAGGTTGATGTATTGGGTGTGGTAGCCTATAGCCTCGCAAGGGTATAACAAGATCACCTCAACTGATCAATTGAGGTCTTGCCTTGGATGTGAGCAAAGCTGTGGTGCATTAAAGAGTAGCAGTTTCATAGGGAGAGGCAGTTAGGGGTAGGTTACTGGAACATTGACTTGAGTTTTTATTATTATTATTGTTATTCTACTCAATTTAATGATGTACTAAAAAAAGGTACGTGAGAACAAAGGATTCTATGCTCTACTTATGAAAAAGATCAAGGGTTACATTTGGATTGGACTGTTACTACTCACTAGTGATTGGGAAGGAAACAGCTTCATGGGGTTTAGGACACATCTGGGCATTAACCATTACAAGTACAAAGCACACACAGAAACAAAAACAGTGCATGTCAGCAACAATGCACATTGTCTCTTCTCTTTCTCTCTACCCTCCCTTTCTCTCTAGTCCTCCTCCTCTTTCTTTCTCCTCTCCTCCTCCTCCTCGTTTTTTTTCCCCCTTTCTGTCTCTCTCTGTCCCAATCTCTCTCTCTCTCTCCCTCTCTGAGGTGAACCAACCAGAGATCTCTTCAGAGATTTATTACAATGAAACAGAGAAAATAGAGTAGTTTTGTTCTTCCCTGTAAAACTGTATGCACAGATCGCAACTCAGCACTCACCAGGGAGTTCTGTCACTTCCCTTCTCCCTTAAGAGGAGAGAGGAAGTAAGCAGCTAGTCAAGCCTGCCTGCTGAAAAGAGGCCAAGCGTGGGGGAATGACTGACTAGTTTGGGAGAATGACTGAGTAGCTACTCCTGTGCTGTCAAATGGAGTTTGCTTTGGGAGCCAAACCTACTAAAATGGGGTCTGGAAGCTATCAGAGAAGAAATCTGATGCATGCATGTTTTTACCCACAGTCGTCCATCACCAGGGATTTTTGTGTTTGAGGCATGTTGCAGAGACTCCAGCAAGCTGCTGTATATCAACTGTGATCAGTTTTTAACATCCTGTCATAATCTAAAGGGAAATAACCCCCAAATCTACATACCAGTACTTTTTCTTTTTCTAATTTGCCCTTCGATGCCAAAAATTGAAACAAAACCTGAAAGGCAAGACTTAACACTGAGCAATCACTAGTTTAGAAAGACCTAGCTTACTTGCTTGCATGTGTGTCTGTGACTACAGAATAGGGTGTGCATATTTAGGTAATGGCAATGAATTTGAGTAATGCCACTTGAATTGTGTGGGCCACCTATTATGTTCTAGGCACTATTTAAACATATATATCTTAACCTTCATAAGGCTTAGTGCTTTATATATGTTAAAACTAACAGGAAGAAAAAAATTCTTCCTGAATGTTATGAACTGAATGTTCGTTCCCTCAAAATGTATATGTTGAAGCCCTAGTGCTCAGTGTGATGTCATTTGGAGGTGGGGCCTTTGGGGAGTAATTGGGTCATAAGGGTGGATCCCTAATGATAGGATTAATGCCCTTACAAGAAGAGACATAAGAGAGATAATCTTCTCTCTGCTGTATGAAAACATAACGAGAAGATGTCAGTCTACAACCAGAAAGAGGGAAATTGGTCAACACCTCAATCTTTAACTTCCCAGTCCCCACAACTATGAGAACTAAATGTTTGCGGTTTAAGCCACCCAGTCTATAGTATTTGTTATAGGAGGCCAAGCTGACTAAGATACTAGGTCAAAAGGGATGTGATACTACAAAAGCATTTTAGGTTAATGAGATGAAGAAAATAAATACAATTTTCTGCTTAAAGAAAATTCAATCATGGAACTCAGAAATTTGTATTATGAATATTGTTGCAAAGCAATTTGCAACAATCTTCAGAAAAAAAGGTACTATATTAGAAGTTGGAAGATATGCAGTCCTAAAATGTGTTAATATTCTCAATCATGTACACCACAGAATAGTTTCAGAAAGTTCCAAGAAGAAAGATTGGGGCCACTATGCTGGGGTTTTTCATTCAATCCCACAGTTCCTAAAAGATATAGTCCAGGGCTAGTGCCAACAATTCCTGGACCTTCGCCTGTGTCTGCCCCTTGAATGCTGATAGTCCTCTGAGTTTCTGTGTTTGGCCCATGTTCTCTCTAGGTGGTCTCAACCCTTCTGATGACTTTTACCGGCATCTGTATGCTGATGCTTTCCAACTCTAAATCTCTAACTCAACATCTCCCCGGGGCTCAAGATTCACATATCAAAAACAAAAAATTGTCCAGTGAACATTTCCACCTGGATTTCCCATAACCATCAGAAACTCAAGATGCTCAAAATGAAACTCATCACTGTTCTCCCAGAATCAGTTCTCCATTATTTTTCTTGATTGGTGAACCAAAGTTCACTTGTCATTAAAGCCAAAAACCTGAGCGTCCTTCTCAACTCCTTTTTCTTTAACCACCATATTGAATCAGTTACCAAGTCCTGCCACTTTTAATTCTCCAATCACTTATCCCTTCTCTGTCGCCCCTGCCTTGCCTTAAACCAAGCACTCCTCATCTCTAGTATGATCTGTTACAATCATTTCCTACCAGCTTTCTCTGCTTCTGGTCTTGGCTTTTCTAATCTAACCCACTCCAATCCTATCCTCCACTCTGCTACCAGTCTAATAGGTACATCTGTGCATCTGGTAGCCTCCTAATTAAATCATTTTAATGGCTCCCTTTCACCTACTACAGTAAGTTCAAACTCCTTGGCATAGCGTACAAAGGTCCTCTAAACTTGGTCTCTGCCTTACTTTCTAGCCCTGTTTTTTCTGCTATTTACCTTTGATGCACTTCCTTCTCCAGCAATCCTGAAATACTTGTAGCACTTACCACATTCCATGCTGTTGCATACCTCTATACTTTTACTTCTGTTATTCCTGCCACTGGAATGACAACCATTCCTATCCTTTCTTTGCCTGGATACCTCTTCTTCACCCCTCAAAACTTAGTTCCAGGCTGGGCGCAGTGGCTCATGCCTTTAATCCCAGCACTTTGGGAGGCCGAGGTGGGCAGATCACCTGAGGTCGGAAGTTTGAGACCAGCCTAGCCAACATGGAGAAACCCCGTCTCTACTAAAAATACAAAAATTAGCTGGGCATGGTGGTGCATGCCTGTAATCCCAGCTACTACTCAGGAGGTTGAGGCAGGAGAATCACTTGAACCCAGGAGGTGGAAGTTGCAGTGAGCCGAGATCATGCCACTGCACTCCAGCCTGGGTGACAGAGAGAGACTCTCGTCTCAAAAACAAACAAACGAAAAGTAACAGAAGTGGTCCCTCCTATGGGTAGTCTTTACTGACCTCTCCACCCCTAGAACAATATACTTTCTATGTGCTCCTCCAGCATCCTGTATGTGTCTCTTTCTCACAGAGCATACCATATTGTATTGTAACTGTTGGGTTGCCTTTGACTTGAGGTTTGTCTTCTGCACTTTATTGTGAGCTCCTTGAGGGGGAGTAGAGACTACATTGCAACTCCCAAGCAAGCATGCACTATATATTCAGTTGATTTTTTTTTTTTTTTTTGAGACAGAGTCTCTCTGTTGCCCAGGCTGGAGTGCAGTGGTGCTATCTCGGCTCACTGCAACCTCCGCCTCACAGGTTCAAGCAATTCTCTGCCTCAGCCTCCTGAGTAGCTGGGACTACAGGCATGCGCCACCACGCCTGGCTAATTTTTTTGAATTTTTAGTAGAGATGGGGTTTCGCCATGTTGCCCAGGCTGGTCTCGAAGTCCTGGCCTCAAGTAATCCACCTGCCTCCGCCTTCAGGAGTGAGCCACGGCGCCCAGCCTGTTCAGTTGATTTCTAATGAAGCAATAGACGTGCTTTATTTTATTTTATTTTTTTGAGACAGAGTCTTGCTGTGTCACCCCAGGCTGGAGTGCACTGGTGTGATCTCAGCTTACTGCAACTTTCGCCTCCCAGGTTCAAGCAATTCTCCTGCCTCAGCCTCCCGAGTAGCAGGGACTACAGGCGCAAATGCCACCACAGTCGGGTAATTTTTGTAGTTTTAGTAGAGATGGGGTTTCTCCATGTTGGCCAGGCTGGCCTCGAACTCCTGACCTCAGGTGATCTCCCTGCCTCTGCCTCCCAAAGTCCTGGGATTACAGGCATGAGCCACTGCGCCCCACCCGGAAGTGCTTTACCTTTGACCTCTCCGTTTGGATTCATCTCTCTATGCCTATTGCTACTATGCTAGTACAAACCCTAGTTATCAGTCATCGAAATTCCCTCCCTTTACACAACCTAAACACAGAGAGTTTTTGATGATTCTCTAAAGAGTAGAGTCCAAACTCCTTAGGGTGGCATACACAAACTGGTCAAAACCAACCTTCAGGCCCATTTCCTGCTAATACCTAACCTGCCAACATCTATACTCCAGCTATGCTTAACTACCATCTGTTTGCCTTTGCATGTTCTGTGCCCCTCTTGATGAAACCTTATTTACCCTTCAGAGCCCACCTTAAATGTGTCCTTCTCCGTGATGCCCTCTGCAAATTTCTCCAGGCAGTTAGACATGTTTATCTTTGCATTCCTATTACACCTGTCTATTATAGCACTTTCTACACTCAATTATTATCATCCACTTAACTTATCTTAGCCTCAGTTTCCTCATCTGGAAATAGGGGATAATAACAATTTCTCCTTTATAGGTAGTGGTGAGAAGTAAAAAAGACAACACATGCAAAGGATGTAGCACAGAGGTAGCCCCGAATAAATAGGAGCTGACATCAGTTGAGCTCTCAATATGTGCCAGGCACTTTACGTGTATGAATTCATTTCATTGTCCTCGTATGGTAAGTACAACTATTGCCTCCATATTCTAAGTGAGGACACGATGACTCAGGGGCTGAAATGACTTGCCTAAGGTCACACAGTTGGTTAGTGGAAGATCTGGTTAAACCCATGTGGCCTGGTGTCAGACCACGCTCTTAACCACTATTCATCTGTGTACACTTTCTCATCCCTACTAAATGTGAACTCCTCTAGGACAGGAACTACTCTTTTCCTCATCCAAAAGTTAGACTCACAGTCTCTAACTCTCCCAAGTCTGCTCCCAACAGGAGATAGGGGTGCAGATTTCCAGCCCTCCACTCTGCTTAGATAATCAGCACTTTACCTTTCCTCCCTCAATTGCCCCCTGCTATTCAGCTACCTTGCCCTAAAACAATGTACTTTACATTTCTAAGCCTGTCTCCAGCTACTGCTTTGCTCCTTTCCATTGCCTCAATTACTTTAATGCTTTCCAGATCCATATGAGGAGGCCTGAGAGCACTTCAGGTGAAAAGAATATGGTTGTACACTGCATAAGAGTTTCAATCACTGTTCATTAATTGTTTTGGGTATAGTTTTAAAATGATTATAAGCAGAACTACAAATGTACCACACAGGCCAATATTCTGATTGGTTCTGTCCAGACTACAGTCTGGGACCTACATATACCAGGTAAACTCTGCAAGCATCTCAGTCTATCCCAAAGATATTAAATGTTGATGTTGTTTTACAGTCTTAAAAAAGAGATTAACATAGAAAGTGAAGAACCAACAGTAGCTCCAGAATTTCTATATAGAAAAGCTGCATCTACTCACCTCCTACCCTTTTACTGTTTGCATTTACATTCTTTATGTGAAGAGGTTTGGTGGGACAGGTAAAAATTAAGGGATTTGTCTTGAAAAACGTGTTTGTAGAGCAAGCACACTTTTTGTAAGCTTCTTTGGCATAACTTGATTAATATGGGCTAATACCTCTTTCTCCAAGTCAAATGGCACTACCACTGTGAATGGCTTACAGTCACACAGTGAGTCTTAGGTAAAAGATAGATTAGAAGTTCTCATTTCTTGGCTCCAATTGCTGGGTTACAGAAAACTTAGTTCCACCATCCTTTCAAGACACCTACTAATTTCAGAGATGAAAACCCTTTGCTGGTGAGGAATCCCAATTAGAAAGATAAGAGAGTCATGCTAGAGAAGGAAGGAGCCGGGGAAGAGTGGGATGGGAGCCAGGAAGAAGGAAATCACACCCACACTGGAGTCAAGGCAAGGTTTGTAGTTTCCACTAAGAAACCAAAAGGCTCAAAACAGGAAGAAAGAGGTGAGGTGTAATCCAAAAAGCAATCAGCTCACTGACATTTTATTTATTTTTACCTGGGGAAAAGGGGTATGGGGGAGGGGGCTTGGGCTCCCAGGCTGACCCAACAGCTGCAGCTGCTATAAAGGAAGTGGGTGTTTGGGGGAGGGGGAGTGGGGGACCAGGATAGGAGAGCTTACCTGTTTCTTGCCCCCATCAGAGGCCCTGGGATTCTGAAGGAGGGAACCTGAGACTGTGTCAACCCGAGAGACGGAGATATTTCCAAGCCCAGCAGAAAAGGAAGCCTCTCTCCAAGGATACAAAATCTATGGCAGTCCTGACCTGGAAATCTCGAGGAGGCCTCCCTGCCCCTACTGCCTTTTAGCCTGCCTTGCTTGCCTTGGCCATTTTAAGTGCAGATGAAGGCAATGGAATTGCAAAGCAATGGAGGAAGAGGAAAGGAAAGACAGAGACTGTGCCAATAAAATATTACTATAAAAATTTAACCGAAAACAAGACTGTCCTGAGATTTTGCCCTGGTCTTATAGCATCTGGTTTCATTTCTCTTCCTTAAAGAAGAAAGAACATAAGAGAGAGGGAGGGAGGGAGAGAGAGAGAGAGAAAGAAAGAAAGAAAGAAAGAAAGAAAGAAAGAAAGAAAGAAAGAAAAGAAAGAGAGAGAGAGAGAGAGAGAGAGAGAGAGAAAGAAAGAAAGAAAAAAAGAAAGGAAGGAAGGAAGGAGTTGGTGAACTTAGTACATATGTTTACAATGGAATCCTTTAAAACATGCTCAGGCAGCTGGGAGCTCCAGCCCTGAGGTGGAGCTCTTGTCACTGGTGGAGACAGCACCATTCTGTCAGGACTCTGTGTGGTCCTGAGCAAGTTATTCCACTCTGCCCCAGCTTCTACCTCACAGAATGGGTAGTGAGACTTTTAAAAGAAGTGAGAGGAGAAAGTATGCCGAAAAGTGTAATAATAGCATGAACAGTTTCTGGAAGCTTCCTGTGCTTTACGTGCATGTTCTCATTTAAGTCCCACAAAACCTGATGTGATAAGCTATTATTGCCCTGTTTTAGGGATGAGAAAAGTGGGTTAAAGAGAGGCTGGCTTGTCATGATCAATATCTAGTAATTGCACCCAGCTCTGTCTGACTCCAGGGCTTTTAACTTCTAGATCATATAAAGTAAGATTATTGGCATTTTGATTAAATTGTACACTTCATGGTTTCCATATTTTATCTGGAGGAAATGTTTGCTTGAATAGAGTTTGAGAGATGGAGACTAAGGTACTTCTTTCTGTTAAGTGGGAGCTGAGAGAGGGGAACATTTGAAGCTGCAGCCGAAATTCCAAACTTCTAACTGAAGCAAGTATCCCCATCAGGCATTCTGGACTCAGTAATGTCAGGTGTGAAGAAAGCCAACCTCCTCATATTCCCTTGAAGGGCCTTGATGTTTCAACATATCGCTTGTTTCAAATTGAGAGTCACATTCATTCTGACTGGTTCAGTTAGTGCCCTAACCCAGCTCTCCCATCACCAAGTCTCCCTTTCATGGATATCTACTAAATAGGTTCCAATATTGCATTCAGAAGAATCCTCCAAAGAAAGAAAACTTAAATGTGCACAGTGATCATTCGGCTGTAAAACATGTTGAAATATTGGAATGTGCAACTAAAAAGGCGAGTTGAATCTGGTGGGCCTAAGGAACAGAAGGATCTGAGAAGCTTGAGCTGGTCAAGGGGTGATTCTGCTAAGAGGCCAAGGAATGGACAAGCTTTCCTTATAAATTTCCTTCCAGCACATTTACTCAGACAAAGCTGGCTCAGAAGAGAGGCCTCAGAGGATTAGATTTCCTAGACTGGTAGCCCTAAAAGGAATTTGTGAATTCATCTAGCCCAAATGTGTCCTCTTAAAAATAAAGAGACGTGTGTATGGTATTCTTTTTAGTGCCATAATCTTTCTTTATGCCCCTGAGTCATATCTTTCGTCACTCAAGAGTGCCATCTACCAGCTGCTTCCAACTGCAGCCTCCTAAAATCCAGAACACATGGAGGAAGAAGCATATCCACTAGGTATGGCTCAGTGGAAAGATCTCTGGAGCAAAGGATGGGATACCTAGGTTGTACTTCTAGTTTTGTCTCTCTCTAGAAGTATGACCATGAGCAAGTCACTTGCTTGTGAGCAAATGGAGTTAATTATACTTGCATAGTGTACCTCAGAGCTGTAGCCTGAAACACACACACACACACACACACACACACACACACACACACACAGAGAGAGAGAGAAAAAAACAGAAAAAGAGAGAGAGAGTTATTAATATAAAGTTCTGTAGTCACTTACACAGGCCAAACCTTGACTATGCCTTGTAATATTGAAGAATGGAAAAGAAAAAAAATCCTGAGAAATTGAAAGTAACATTTTAACAAAATGACACTATCATTTTTAATTGGCATTTCACTTTGTTTTTCAATGGAGGAACTAGATTCCAGCTTTGTCCATACCGAGTACAAGTGGGCCCCCTTCTCTTCCTAAATTCTTTTTAAATAAAATACAGATGGGTCACACTATGTTGCCTAGGCTAGTCTTGAACTCCTGGGCTCAAGTGATCCTCCTGCCTTGACCTCCCTAAGTGCTGAGATTATAGGCATGAGCCACTGCGCCTGGCCTCTTTCTAAACCTTAAATATATATGTGAGTGGCTGCTGAGAGAATGTAATAATCAGAGGCAGTCACTAAAGGAGAATGTGACCAGCCAGGAAATTACCCTGAAAAGTAAAAATACAACTCTCTTTTCTGGCTATGGCTTAGCACGTAAATATGAAGAGGGAGTGAGAGAAGTGGGAGACAAAAACAGATGAAGTAACAGAAGGCAGGAGACAGAGCTGAGGCAAAGGGGAGGAATGCAGGGTGACGGACAGGGTTGAAGACATCCAGTTTTGAGTCTTGTGCTTTGACATATCCAGCAGGTGCTTGATCCTGGAGCAGACATGAAAGTGGTATATAGATTTTTAATTACCTTTGTGAAAGGGAGAAAATACGCATTTGGCTCACATGAAGATAGCTTGTGATTCTTTAGTCATCAATGCTTGCCTTGGTATGGACACCAAAGGGTGTTTTTCTGCTGTGAACTGGCTGTACTCCTACTCCAAGTCTTTCCCATTCCCTAAGCTTTGAGACTCTCAAAAACAAACAAACAAACAAAACAACAACAACAAAAACCAGACGTGAGTTGGATGAGAAAGGACTTCCTGGCCTCTACAATGGTTCACTGACTGGCCAATGATGCCAGCAGAACAGAACATAGTAGTTAAGAGCATGGGCACTGAACTTACCCAGACCTGGCCTTGCATCCTGATTCTGTCACTTACCAGATATGTGACCTTGAACTAGTTGCTTCCTATCTCCATGCCTCATTTTTCTCGCCCATAATGGAAATATAATAATAACCTCCGTTGATTAATGTCATTGTGAGGATTAAATGAGTTAGGGCAAATAAAAAGCCTGGCACAGGGCTCAACACACAGTAGTGGGCACCCAAAAAAATGCTTAACATTACTATAATAATTTGGTACAAGAAAGAGCTGCCCCCAAGACATATTTTGCAGAAATTCTCTGTTTCCTTCAGAGTAATTGCTGGAACCAGACTAGCCTGTACCCTCTACACTTTTTCAAATGCATTCTCCAAACACTGAAAAGACTTCCCTTTTATCAATCTCTCTCCCGCCTTAGCGCCCTCTCCAGCTCTCTCACACTCTCTCACGCTCTCTGTTTCTCGTCTCACATCTCTCCTCCCCCACCATCACCAAAGAAGCCCCCAATGTTCCAAACAGATAAAAAGATGTGGCGGGACGCAGGCCCCACTCCATTTGAATCTGGGTAGACTTGTCCGAAGGGGATGACAATATTACTTTTGTTTCTCAGATACTAGAATCTCCCACAAATCCTTAAGTGGACATTCCAGCGCCTCTTCAGCCCACTCTTAGCTATTTCAGCCCAGGCTCTCAGGAATCCAACAGTGCCACCTTTAAGGCCTCTCTCACAATTCTGACACCTGCATCCTGGCTCCTATAGAAACTCCTTCCCTCTTCTCAATGTATGTGATGTTGAGAAAACTGGAGGATGAATAGGGAAGGCATAATCATAATGTTAATGGGACTTTAGACATGCAAATGTGTGTCCTGAGCATGGATGAGCTGAACAAAGTCGATGTGAGCAACAGAAATGGACAAGTGCCATCAAAGCCCCAGATGTGTGACACTGGGAAGAGGGGACGTAGAAATGATGAAAGGAAACACAAGGGTTATTTAGAAAAATGGTACGTTTGAAGGACTTGGTGAGAGGTGTGTAAATGAACAGACAGCATGAGAAAGCAGGAGAAAGAAATCTAAGTGCCTGCTAGGAGCATAGATCACAGAATTCTTCAAAGCCAGAGGGTAGAAGAGGAGGAGGCTGGGTGGGAAACTGCCAGTGACTGGGGGCTTTGTGCTCAAAGAGCTTTAGAAGAGGAGACTATGGGAGCCTTGTTTGGTTGGGCTACCAGGTAGAATCAGAGCAGTTTCAATCTGGGACCAAAGGGCCCACCTCGCAATGAAGCTGAAAAGATCTCACCTCCCATTGATGAATTAGGCTACTCTGTGAACTTGGCCTTCTTCCATCTGCATAGCCATTGGACCTTGAATTTTTTTCCCACTGTAATAACACATTTCAAACAGCTAGTTCAAAATCCTGACAGGGAGGTCCAAAAGAGACTGAAAGGATACGGGAGGGACCTTTGTCTTGTGTCTAACCTACATTAGTGCCTATGCCCTAAGACATTGCTCTCCTCTTAACAATGTTTTTTAAACTCAGAAACTTCTGTGTTTTGTGAACTAAATAAGAGTATTCTGCCACTAAAAATGAAATGAAATGGAATGATGGTCTTTCACCAAGTTTTTCAAGGAAAAGCAGTAAGTTTGTAGTTAGAATGTGCTCCTGTAAATTTTGCTGAAACCCTTGGCCCCTGCTCCCGCGTGCCTATACTAGAATGAAAAAGTTAGCATCTGATTTAACATAGAATTATATTTGTAAACATTTTATGATTTAAATATGAATATTTTATAATTTTCCACGAAGAACTCTATGATTCTCAGTGCTGTGTTACTGGAACAAAGTGAGAAGCTCTAGAATTAAAGATTGGAATCATTACCTTTATTCTTCATGATTACTTTCTCGCTTTCATTTTTGCTCCCTTCCATCGCATTGTCCACACTGTAGCAAGAATGAACTTTCAAATATGTCAACCAGGTCATGTCATTTCCCAGATTTAGACTCATTAATGGCTCCCCATTGCCTTTAGACTGAAACCCAGACTCCTGTGCATGGCCCATAAGCTCTGCATGAGCTGACCCCTGCTCACCTCTCCAACCTCATTTTGTCCCACTGTCCTGCTTGCTCACAACATTCCAGCTACACTGACTTCTCATTTCCTCAAATATGCCAAGCTGGAGTCCATCGCAGTGCACTTGGTCATTATGCTGTTCCCTCTGCCTGCAGTATCCTTTTTATCTGTGGGAGGCAGAATTGTGGCCCCCATAACCTTCACTGCCTGATGTCAAACCTATTGTCATGTGCAGATGTAATTACGGTTACTAATAAACTGACTTCAAGATTGAAAGATTGTCTTGAATTAGCCAGGTAGGTCCAGTGTAATTACATGAGCCCTTAAAAAGCAGGAAAAAATGCAGCAGAAAAGGAAGTCAGAGATATTTGAAGCATGAGAAAGTCTCCAGACACCCTTGCTGGCTTGAAGATGGAAAGGGCCATGTGGAAAACACAAAAAGGAAATGAGCTTGGAAGTGGATTCTTCCCCAGAGACTCCAGCAAGAAATGCAGCTGGCTTACACCTTGATTTTGATCTTGGAGCTCTTAAGCAGGGAACCTACCTCAGCCATGCAGTGCCTGGACTGCTGCTCCATGGAAACTGTGAGATAATAGATCAGTATTGTTTTAATTCACTAAGCTTGTGGTGATTGGTTATGGCAGCAATAGAAAACTAATACACAATCCTTCCCTTTTCATAATTATCTCCTTTCAATCTTAGCTTAAATGTCACCATATGTCAGGGTCATACCTTGACCATCCTGCTCAAAATGATTCTCCTCTCTCCCATCCCCCTTATTCTCCTTCTTTGTGTCCATTCTTTGCTTCCTTCATGGTCTTTATCATAATTTTGGCTATTTTATGTATAGAATTTCTAACTATTTTTTGGAGGTCTCTCCCACCAAATTGCTATGAGACAAAGGGCCACATTTGTCTTGTTTTCCATCTTAGCCTCATTGTCAGCGCAGTAGATCACATATAATAGGTAATTAATAGAAATGTGCTGAAGGAATAAATGAGTGAGTAAACAGTGCTTGACAGAGTAATATTCACAGTATGAGCCACTGGAATGTAGACTCCACAAGAGCAGGAATCTTTGTTCACTGCTGTATCTATGGAACATAGAAAAATGAAAGGCATAGAGTGGGCAGTCAATAAATATTTGTTGAATGAATTAATATTTATTGAGCCTCTACTTTGTGCCAGGAACTATGTTCTGCACTTTACCTACCTTATTTAATTGGATCCTCACAATACCAACTCAAGTTGGGCACTATTACTTTCTCCATTTTATAAATTGCTTTCAGAATGGTTATGCATTTTGTTCAAGGCCACACAGCTAGTAAGTGGAAGAGCCAGAATTCAAAGCCAGGCCTTTCTACAAGCCTATGCTTTCCACTGTGTCATACTGCCTCCCGAGTATTAACACAACCCAGTACCCTCTGGCTTGATCAGAGCTTTACAATGTGTAAAAAGTGCACATCTGGACATTCACATGAAACTTGGCATACAGTGTTAGGGAATTCATAGAACCTGCTTATAAACCTCAGGTTAACTTAATGAATGCTAATAATGCATCAAATAATGCTCATGCTTTAATAGAGATTAACTGGATTGGACCAGATGAACTTCGTGTGTTTTTCTAGCTCTTAAATGGACATTCTTGAAGATAGAAAAATAAAATCTTCAAGACTCAGACATCCAGTACCAATAATAAGATGACAGGTGTTGGTTAGGCCAGCATTTCAGGGATGAGGCTCTGTCTAGTATTCCTGATGACTAAACACCATGTAAGTCTCCAGCCCTGGCTTCAGCAGTTCTTCTGGTGGTACCTAATCTCCCAAGAAATTGTGAAGTCATCAGAGAGTTGACAATAGCATGAAACCAAAAGCAAAAACTCCCCACAGAACTGTGTACTTTAAGGTAGGGCATGCTGCCTACCCTTTGACTAAAAGCCCCCACCCAGCCTTCACTCAGAGGAGCTTACCAATCCCTCTCTGAGCACTATTTCGTCAAAACCAAGTGTCGATGTTCTGTCTCAGCTTTGTGTAACACTTGGAATTCCTTCCAGATAAATGACAGGATTGTGGCCAAGAAGGAGCCAAGAAATAAGTTAGAGATAAGACCTAAAGGTTTGATTTATGAAGGCAAATTTCTGAAAATGCTCATATCCCTCAGTGGCTGGGCAGCAGTCCACTGGCTTCTTTCTTCAAGACTTCCTGCCACCACCCCAGGGATTGCGGGGACTCTTCTAGTGCCCACAGCCTGAGATTGCTACTCTTCCTTTCCCTTATCTCCAGTCGCCCTCCTCACAGTGAGTCATTATGACAGCCACAGACTCTCAGGACAGGCTCCCTGAGTGCAGCTGAAACTACCCTGGGACAGACAGCAAGGATAGCATGAGCACAACCAGTTCACATGCAAGACTGGCTTGTTCTCCACAGATATGGGCCACCCACCCCAAAGCTTATGTGCTTTAAAGCATCTGGACACTTTCCAGCTAAATCCTCTTCCCTTTTCTAAATAGGCTCCTTGCTCCCCAAGGCCTTGACTGGGGTTTCATCTTCTAATTTGCAAGGGGGCTAGCGTAATGGTTGAGTCCAGGCTCTGGAGCCACACTATCTAGATTTAGATCCCGCTCTACCATACTTGCTAGCTGAGTGTGTGACCCGTGGCCAGTTATCCAACCTCTCTGGATCTCTTTACTCATCTGTAGAATGGGAATAATGATGACAGCCCTGAACCCTTAGCGGTGTAACGATTCAACATGTTCATAAAAGTAAAGCACTTAGGCCGGGTGCGGTGGCTCACGCCTGTAATCCCAGCACTTTGGGAGGCCAAGACGGGCGGATCACGAGGTCAGGAGATCGAGACCATCCTGGCTAACACGGTGAAACCTCGTCTGAACTAAAAATACAAAAAATTAGCCGGACATGGTGGCGGGCGCCTGTAGTCCCAGCTACTCGGGAGGCTGAGGCGGGAGAATGGCGTGAACCCGGGAGGCGGAGTTTGCAGTGAGCCGAGATCCCGCCACCACACTCCAGCCTGGGCGATGGAGGGAGACTCCGTCTCAAAATAAATAAATAAATAAATAAAGCACTTAGAATATCACCCTGACTCATAATTAGGACTCAGAATGTTACCTATTATTCTTTATCTATTCTGGAAGGCAAGGTATCCTTTTGCATATTAAAAGGACAAAAGGCCTTGCCTGCTGCTTTTGATGTTATTACTACGTACTATACCACAGCAATGTGTGATGGCCCTAACTTGGGGCTATATAATGCCTTGCCGTGAAAATAAAAACAGATATGACTTATTGAGCACTGACTGTGTTTTAGGCACTCCCCTAAATGCTTTACATGAATTATTTTATTTAATCCTCACTAAAAATCTAGGAGGTGGGTGCTGTTATTTTCCTCATCAAAGCACAGAGAGATTAAATAACTATGTAATATAAAACTTAAATAAGCTTTGTGCAAGGGCTAATTATGAGTTGGGGGCAATAATGGAATGGCCCATGGAGGTTACAGAACTCTAATTTGATTTTGAAACATAGATTAGAAGTTGGGTAAGCAGAGAGGATGAGGAGGGGAGTCCAAGTAGAAGAAACCACAGAAACAGAAGGTGGAAATTAGCCTGGTGTGTGTGTGGAATAAAGAGAATAGACTAACTTGAATGCTCCAGAGGCTACAGAACGGAGAAAGGTAGGAAGTCGGGCTGATAGCATCATCCTTCCCACCTCACAGACTGAACAATTGAGCCTTGGTACTGGAGCAGCCCCATTCAGAGACTGAGACCCAGAAACAGCAATCTTTTGCCATCCCAGCCTACTCTGTCCACTTTAGATGATTATGTTTTTAAATCATACCTCAGGGCTCCCCACATGATAACTTCATGGTATACCATCAGTTTCCAAGGTCGTGATCTCCCCATCTCAACTTGGCTATCCCTTTGTGTCTCCCTTTGTGCACCCCACTGAGATGCAGTAAGATGTATAGGTTGGGTCAGGAGAGTGGGCCTTGTGAGGTCTAAGCTAAACTTGGTCCCTTTCCTGCCTTAGGACTCCAAAGCAAATTCGATCTACTCCAGAATCTTACCATAGCTCCATACCTGTCCTGATCTAGATCTCTTGCTTCACTACTGACTCTTGGGTTTTGTCCCAGATAAAAAAGAGTCCTTTAAGAATAATAACATTTAATTTTGCTATAAAAGCTTGTGAATCACTCAGCCATGTCAGACTGTTAGTGAAATCCTGTGGCATTATATGGAATCAGAAGAGAGAAGTAAGGCAAGTTGGGTTTCTTTTTCTTTTTTTTAATACTTAAAAGTTCTAGGGTACATGTGCACAATGTGCAGGTTTGTTACATATGTATACATGTGCCATGTTGCTGTGCTGCACCCATTAACTCGTCATTTACATTAGGTATTTCTCCTAATGCTATCCCTCCCCCCTCCCTCCACCCCACGACAGGCCCTGGTATGTGATGTTCCCCTTCCTGTGTCCAAGTGTTCTCATTGTTCAATTCCCACCTATGAGTGAGAACATGCGGTGTTTGGTTTTTTGTCCTTGCGATAGTTTGCTCAGAATCATGGTTTCCAGCTTCATCCATGTCCCTACAAAGGACATGAACTCATCCTTTTTATGGCTGCATAGTATTCCATGGTGTATATGTGCCACATTTTCTTAATCCAGTCTATCGTTGTTGGACATTTGGGTTGGTTCCAAGTTTTTGTTATTGTGAATAGTGCCAAAATAAACACACGTGTGCATGTGTCTTTATAGCAGTATGATTTATAATCCTTTGGGTATATACCCAGTAATGGGATGGCTGGGTCAAATGGTATTTCTAGTTCTAGATCCTTGAGGAATTGCCACACTGTCTTCCACAATGGTTGAACTAGTTTACAGTCCCACGAACAGTGTAAAAGTGTTCCTATTTCTCCACATCCTCTCCAGCACCTGTTGTTTCCTGACTTTTTAATGATTGCCATTCTAACTGGTGTGAGATGGTATCTCATTGTGGTTTTGATTTGCATTTCTCTGATGGCCAGTGATGATGAGCATTTTTTCATGTGTCTATTGGCTGCATAAAAGTCTTCTTTTGAGAAGTGTCTGTTCATATCCTTTGCCCACTTTTTGATGGGGTTGTTTGTTTTTTTCTTGTAAATTTGTTTGAGTTCTTTGTAGATTCTGGATATTAGTCCTTTGTCAGATGAGTAGATTGCAAAATTTTTCTCCCATTCTGTAGGTTGCCTGTTCACTCTGATGGTAGTTTCTTTTGCTGTGCAGGAGCCTAAGCCAAAAGAACAAAGCTGGAGGCATCACGCTACCTGACTTCAAACTACACTATAAGGCTACAGTAACCAAAACAGCATGGTACTGGTACCAAAACAGAGATATAGATCAATGGAACAGAACAGAGCCCTCAGACATAATACCACACATCTACAACCATCTGACCTTTGACCAGCTTGATAAAAACAAGCAATGGGGAAAGGATTCCCTATTTAATAAATGGTGCTGGGAACACTGGCTAGCCATATGTAGAAAGCTGAAACTGGATCTCTTCCTTACACCTTATACAAAAATTAATTCAAGATGGATTAAAGACTTAAATGTTAGACCTAAAACCATAAAAACCCTAGAAGAAAACCTAGGCAGTACCATTCAGGATATAGGCATGGGCAAGGACTTCATGTCTAAAACACCAAAAGCAATGGCAACAAAAGCCAAAATTGACAAATGGGATCTAATTAAACTAAAGGGCAAATTGGGTTTCAAAGGAAGGAGATATAGCTAGAACAATTTTTTTCCATGCCAGGAAAGGTTAATGGCAGCATAGTGTCTTATATTGCAAGCAAAATATCAATGAAAAGAAAAGCATCTCTCCTTCCTTCCTTCCTTCCCTCCCTCCCTTCCTTCCCTCTCTCCCTTCCTTCCCTCCCTCCCTTCCTTCCCTCCCTCCCTTCCTTCCTTCTTTCCTTCTTTCCTTCCCTCCACTTCAAAAATGACAACACTGCAAACAGGAAGAAGAGAGTGTCTACTTCCCCATCACCACTGTCCTCTCCCCAACTTGACAGTTGGAGGCCCATTCTCTTGGAGTGATGAATCATACCTTGACAGGAATGAGTGGCCAGGCAGGATATTAGTATTATATATTATCCCTCGAGCCTAAAATGCATGCCCAGATGTTGCCATGGTAACTCATTAGAACACGGCTCCAATCTACACAAGCTAGCACAGCTTTTCTAGTGACCACCTGGTTCCACATGCTTTTATGTTTTGTTTCACCTTTCCCAGACATCAATAACATGCTGCAGGCTAGTCTGGAAAATGAATATATCATCAGTAAACACAGAAAGAAGAGTAGTCTAAAACTGGCCTGTAAGGTGGAAGACTGGGTTTTATTTGGACCTCTGCACCAGTGGACTATGTGACATGGCAAGATGTTTCACCTCTCAAGACCTTGTATTCCTTTTCTAGTGTATGAGTGAGGTGGACTGGTTGATTTCCTCAAGCTTCTGTCTCCCCAAAATGATTCTGTGCATGTCTTTAACATGCACAGAAATGTCAGTGGTAACTATTTCTAGAGATAGAGTCCTGAGAATTTTTCAAAGTGGCTGTTTAATGAAAGGCCTGTGAAGGGAATAGAAGAAAGAAAATAAATGGGTTGGGGGTGGGTGGAAGACAAATGGTAATTTCATACATTCCAGTTTGGTGGTACCTGTATTCCATGAGAGCACATTCAGGGTCAAATGTAAGTGGGAATGCAGCCACCTTTCACTCTTCTGTCCCTTGCACCTTCAAGATAGCTGGTATCCTTCTGCCTACTTAGTCTCCCAAATTTTCAGATGACAGTAGTTCATTCTTACTTTATTGTCTTTTTATGGACAGCCTTCCCCATTTGAACTCCCTATCATGTCTACCAATAGCATCCTAAATATGTGTTATGTCTAACTCAAGTCCCATCAGCCCCATGAAGGCTGTCTGGATCTCTCTCAGGTTACAGGGACCCCTCAGACTTCTGTGGCTCTTGGGATATGCACCTCCTAATTCTTACCATAGACTGCTCTCTCATCATAGGTACTTTTTGTTTTTATTGTTTTAAATGCACTTCTAAAAAATTTTAATTACTTTCATATTGATATTAAATATGGAGAGCGATAAAAGAAAAACTTCAGCCGAATTAAATTTAAAGGAGTTTAATTGAGCAATGAACGATTTGCGAATGGGGCAGCCCCAAGAATCACAGCAGATTCAGAGACTCCAAGGGTGCCTCATGGTCAGAACAAATTTATAGACAAAAAAAGGTAAAGTGATGTACAGGAATTGGAAGTGAGATACAGAAACGGTGAGATTGGCTACAGCTCGGTGTTTGCCTTATTTGAATACAGTTCGAACATTCAGCAGTCTTTGAGTGGTTGAAGTATGGCCCCTGGGATTGGCCAACACTCAGCTATTGTTACAGGTGTATACTATTAAGTTAGTTTTTCAATTTTGTCTATTAAGCTAGGTTACAGTTCATCCACAAGGACTCAGAAAGTACGGAGTCCTTTTCAGGCCATAGTTTGCTTTAATAAGAGATACAAAGAAGAAAACAAAATGGGCCATAATCTTCATCCTTAAGACTCTGCTGAGTTTTTAAAATATATATCAAGGTAACACGTGGCAGGGCCTAGGGACTGGGGAGATGTTAATCAATGGATATAAACTTCAGTTAGACAGAAGGAATTAGTTCAAGATATCTATTGTATAAAATGATGACTATAGTTATCACAATGTATTTTATACTTGAAAATTTTTAGGAGAGTAGATTTAAGTGTTCTCACCATGAAAAAAAAAAATTATGTGAGGTAACACGTTAATTAGCTTGATGTAACCATTCCACAATATACATATATTTTGAAGCATCATGTTCTACACTGTAAATATAGATGCTTTTTTGCAATTTAAAATTTTAAAATAAGTAAATACATAATACGCATGTAAGGTCAGAAAATTCAAACTACAGAAAGGTACAAAATGAAAAGTAAAAGCCACTCCCCAAAATTCCTAGTTCCTTTCCCAGAGATCGCTATACAATATTTCATGCAGTATCATCCAGAAAAAATGAAAACAACATAAACTCACATACAGACATACACACACACACATACACACACACACACACACAGATGTATCTGTACTAGACATAATTCCTTATTCCAAACTCTTGAGGTCAGAAAAATGTTGGAATGCAACATTTTTAGGATTTTAACATGATGATATAGTGCCTATGACATTTAGTATGTCACCCCCTCAGCAGGGTTTGGGACAGCAAAGACATAAATTAGACATGTTTAATATTAATTGAACATAAAAAGTTATGGGACAAGGTGTTTGAATAATCACACTAGGTGGGATAAATGAAGACTACAAATAACCACATGTCAGTTCATATGAGGTTTCCCCCAAATGAGTTTGTGCCAGATTTTGAAGAAAAAAATTCCATGTTCAGATTTTTTAGAATTAAGGAACTGCAGATAAGGGATTGTCTTTATATTCATGTTCTCTCTGTCTCTGTTTATCGCTTTCTCAAATACACACATTCACACAGACGCACACGTGCAAAGAGGGCACTATACACACTGTTCTGCCCTTTTGGTGGACATGTTGGTAATTACCAGGCTTTTTTTTTGCCGGGGGGGATGGAGTCTCGCTCTGTCGCCCAGGCTGGAGTGCAGTGGCATGATCTCAGCTCACTGCAAGCTCTGCCTCCCAGGTTCACGCCATTCTCCTGCCTCAGCCTCCCGAGTAGCTGGGACTACAGGCACCCACCACCACGCCTGGCTAATTTTTTGTATTTTTAGTAGAGACTTTCACCGTGTTAGTCAGGATGGTCTCGATCTCCTGACCTCGCGATCCACCCGTCTCGGCCTTCCAAAGTGCCAGGCTTTTTTTATTTTTTGCTATTTTTGTTTCTTAGTTTTTGTTGTTGTTGTTGTTGTTATTGTTGTTGCAGTGAATATCCTTCTTCATATGTCTTAGTGAAATTGTGCAAGTATATGTATAATTGAAATTCCAGTAGAATTTGGTATTTGGGTCTTGTCTTTTTGGATAGGCTGCATGCTCCAAAGAACACAGTTTATACCTTTAAATTCTTTGTGTCCACGTCTGAGCTTTGACATATAGTGGGTGATGGTAAATGTTTACTAAATGAGTAAAAATAATGAAGATGCTGAAACAAAATAATGAAGACAAAAAATGAAGATCATTAAAACCTTCATGAAAACTCCCATACAGATCTTCAAAATCAGACAAAAATATTTAGCAACAGTTAAAAAATATTGTACCATTTAACCCTGTAGTTCCACTTCTAACTATATTTTTCCTAATGAAATCATTTAAAATAAAAGCACCACTTGGAACATTATTTATAATAGCAAACATTTCAAGCATGCTTAAATATTTAACACTGCTGGTGCTGAAGTGCAGAGTGGGAGAATGGGGGAATATATATGTATGCACACACACATAATTTGCAAAAAGCATGTTTGCAAAACAATTCCAATGATATGGAAAAATTTTAAGATCAAGTAAAAAGAGCAAGCTAAAAATCAAATACATAATTCTCAACCATGTGAAGGTATTTTAAAGGCACTGGAATAAAACTGGACCAGAATATGAACAGGAGCTTCATCTAGGTGAAAAAATAATTAGGGATGTTTTTAACTTGTTTTGTAACACTTTTCTATACTATCCATATTACACTTCTACAGTCAATGTGTGTTGTTTTGATCATCGGGACCAAATTTTTTTTTTTTTAAGTTAGGTAGAAAGAAAGGATCTCCGGCTGGGCACGGTGGCTCACACCTGTAATCCCAGCACTTTGAGAGGTGGAGGCAGGTGGATCACGAGGTCAGGAGATTGAGACCTTCCTGGCTAACACAGTGAAACCCCATCTCTACTAAAAATACAAAAAATTAGCTGGGCGTGGTGGCGGGTGCCTGTAGTCCCAGCTACTCGGGAGGCTGAGGCAGGAGAATGGGGTGAACCCAGGAGGCGGAACTTGCAGTGAGCTGAGATTGCACCACTGCACTCCAGCCTGGGCGACAGAGCGAGACTCCTTCTCAAAAAAAAAAAAAAAAAAAAAAAAAAAAGAATCTCCATTTCCATCTCACACAGAGATGAAGAGACATCTTTTGGTACCTGCTCATACCTTACCCAAACTGGTACCCTTATGGATTCTCTGACAAGGTCCCAGGATGTGTTGTTAGCCATAAGGTGAGTTCTGTCGTGTACCCATTTTACAAACTCTAGCCCAAGTCAAATAGTAACTTTCCAACCTTTCTCAGAAAGCCTCTTTCTCCCCTGCCACACACGCCCACCCTCCAGACTCATTTTAATTCTTATCAGTCAGGTTGACCTTGATCATTTTAACAGCTTTTTCATTATTGTTACTGTCCCCACAAGGATTGGCTAGTCTCTCTCTCAGGTGCTTGCCCACCCAAAGTCCCCTAAGACTTGGAGAATAGTCATGCTATTTATCAAAATGAGGAAACCTGAATAGGTTAACTAGAGGGGTTGCCTGATTTGGGTTGCTGTTTGGCACCAGCCTCCTTTTGCCTGATTGGTTTCAGATGGTTGTCTTTTTCTGGGTTCTTTATTCTTGCATTGCCGTTGGCGCTTCCATAGTGAGCGGAGGCTCTTTATAAAGCCAGGTCCCACACCTAGCCATTCAAAATGATATACTCAAGCCAGTCTTGCCTTCCTCATAGTAATAACCATATCTCCTCAGTTCTTATGCATGATCACATGTCCTAACTGGGGAAATGAGGCCTTTGGTTACCTAGGCTCGGGTCAGCAAACTATGGCCCATGGGGCCAAATATGTTCGGCAGCCTGTTTTTATGTGACCTATGAGCTAAGAATGTTTTTTACATTTTTAATGTTTAAAAAAATCAAAAGAAGAAAAATATCTGATGACATGAAAATTATATAAAATTCAAATTTTACAGTCTTTAAATAAAGTTATATTGGAACAAGCCATACCTATTGGATTACAACTTTGTCTATGGATGCTTTCACACTACAATGGTAGAGTTGAGAAGCTGTGACAAAACTGTATGGTCTGCAAAGCCTAAAATATTTATAATCTGTCCCTTTACAGAATAAGTTTGCCATCCTCTGCTCTAGTGCATGCCCATCTATTCATTGCTAGTATGCTGTGAAGTTCTGTACTTGGCAAATGCCAGGCTATTGACATCAGTGATTGACACAGCCTGGACATAAAGTGATACAGGAGGGTGCAGAAAATTAAAGAACACATGTGTATCTAAAGGTGGCAACAAGGATTTATAATCATTCACAGTGCAGGCCCAGCTTTGCCAAATCTAAATTTGTAAAAGAATACAGAAATCCAGATTGTTATGTGAATTCTCCTGATTTTTATATGTTGGCAAACACTGACAAGGTCAAATAAATCACATCTGCCAGCTACCAATTTACTACTGTTCTAGGGCTCTGAACACACAAGGAGCCAGTTCGGATTTTAAGTCAGGGCCATGCATTCTACCATCCTTGTGACCCAAGGGCAAGCAAAGAACAATTTGAGCTCATTAAAATAACTTGTTCCACTGCAGATGTCACAGTGCTTGGGGGTGAAGATCAGAAATGAAAATAAGGAGAAAACTCCAGCACTTGCCTCTGCTGCCTTATCTTATATGACTTATCTTGCGGCTTTTAACACTGATGACCAATCTCTTCTTGAACACACTCTGGGTTGTCCTATTAGCCTGTCTTACTATTTATTTCTTTGGCTCACCTTCTGTTCTCTTGTGTTTTCTCTCTTCCATTAAACTGAGGTTTCTTTTTCTCCTATTGCCAATTTCAGGTACTGGTGGATAAATGAGTCACAGAATTTGCTTTTGGCTTGGTTGTTCTTGCAGCTTCCTCCAAATTCTACCTACAGAGTGATAGGTTTTAGCAAGAGGTAGAAGCCCTACTTAACGCCTCTAACCTAAACACTGTACTCCAACTTTCCTAGAGAGCCACGCATTGAGTTTTCAGCCGCTTTTTTTTTCTTTTTATTTTCCTTTTCTTTTTTGTTTTTTTGTTGTTGTTGTTGTTTTTTATTTTGAAGCAAAGTCTCATTCTCTCATTCAGGCTGGAATGTAGTGGCACGACCTTGGCTCACTGCACCTCTGCCTCTCAGGTTCAAGTGATTCTCATGCCTCAGCCTCCCGAGTAGCTGGGATTACAGGCATGTGCCACCACACCCAGCTTTTTTTTTTTTTTTGTATTTTTAATAAGATGGGGTTTCACTATGTTGACCAGGCTGGTCTCAAACTCCTGGCCTCAAGTAATCTGCCTGCCACTGCCTCCCAAAGTGCTGGGATTACAGGCATTAGCCACCACTCCCAGAGTTTTCAGCTTTTCTATTAAAGTGATATTTTGTTCCCCCTTTGGCTACTGATCCTTGCAAATCTTTCCATACAGGATCTCATAAGGGGAAGGGCTGGTTGGCAAGGCAGGATTTTAGCAGTCTATATATTGCTATATATACTAGCAAAATTTTACCCCAATTCCTAACAGAAAGCTTCTCTCCTGGGTCTCTTTTTTATCTCAGGCTGTTCCATCCCAGGCTCCATTACTAACCTCTTTTTCTTTTGCTCGCTTCTTAAGTGCTGCTGTTCTTTCTTTGTCCTTTTTCTCTTTGCACTCTGTATACACTCTATGCAATTTCAACTGGGCCTGTGGCTTTAAATACAACATACAGATGGATGAATCAAAAATCTTTATCTCTAGTCTAGAGCTCCCTCCTGAGCTTCAGACCCATATATCCATCTACCTACATGGCATCTCAGCTTGAATGTGCCAAAGAGAGATCAAACGTAATGTTTCCCGCACAGATTATCTCTACTCCCCACTCTACCAGCCTTCTCCTCCTGTGTACTCGTAGTCCATTGTACCACTGACCCTACAAAGTGACTCAAGCCAGAAACACCGGGATTCATATTAGATTTCTCTCTCTACTTTCCCCCACTACAGTCAATCATTCACCATGTCCTGTGAATGCCACCTCCTAATTGTCTCTGAAATTCATTCCCATTGCTAATACTTGCCCTAGTTCAGGCACTCATTACTACTCATTGAAAGAGAGAGAGGGAGAGAGAGAGAAAAAAAAACTATTGTCAAAACTTGCTTTAAGTCTGACCCCTTTCAATCAATTCTCCAGGCTGCTGAGAGAATGATTTTCTAAAATGCAAAGCTGGCCATGTCCCTCTCCTGCTTAAAACCTTCTATAACTCTCCAGAGGGTCAAGTCCAAATCCCTGTGTGTGCAGGTGAGACTCCTTATGATGCGGTTTCTGCCTACCTGCCCTGCTTCAGCTTTAAACATTTTTCAAATACATTCTGTCCCAGTCATTCTGAGAATCTTGCAGTCCCAACTCCAAACATACCATGCTACTTCTGAATTTCATGCCTTTGCCTGGAATGCCCTTCGTCATAATCCCCCTCCCACACAAATCCTATACTACGTCTTCTCGGAGCTTTGCTAGGTGACAAGCTAGCCAACACCTGATAGACACTCATATTGAGATGTGTGATAATGGCTTCTTTTGGACATATGAAGGAATAATAATAGTAATAGCCAATATTTATATAGTGATTACCGTGTGGCAGGCATTCTTTATTTACTTTCTTATATTAATCCATTTAATCCTCATGACAGCTCTGTGAGATAGATACTGTTATCATCCTCATTTTCTCGATGAGGACACTGTATCATGGTCACACAGCTTGTAAGTGGTAGAGCAGGTACAATTCTAGGCATTCTGGCTCTGGAGTGTGCGTGTTTTTAATCACTGCCCTCTTGCCATCACATTGCCTTAATTGTGTCACTAGTTTCTGGAAGGCAATATGATATAGCAGTTGAGTGTGGGCTCTTCAGACAGAACTTGTTTCAAATCAAATCTTTGCCACTTACCAGCTGTGTGACCTTGAGCAACTGAATTAACCTCTCTGATTCTCAGCTTCCTCCTTCTAAAATGGGGATATTTGTTGTAAAAATTAAATGAGATAAGCAATATATTTAAGTGCTTAAAACAGTACCTGGCACATATTAAGTATTTCACAAATGCTACCATTGTTGGTTGTTACAGTGATTAAGAGCAATGATTCTCTAATGGTGGGGATTTCAGACATCAAGGAGAAGGGACTGTAGCAAAGCGATTAAGAACAGGATTTTGAATCTTAGCTCTGCCTCTTAATAAATGAGTTAATCTCTCTGCATCAAAATTTCTTCATCTGTAAAATGAGGAAAGCAGTATTTCTTTCTTAGCATTATTTTGAGGATGAAATGAGTTAATAGATGTAAGACACATAGAGCAAACCAGGTATTTAGTAAATACAGTAATCTCCCCTTATTAAGCACTTTTGTTTTCCGTGATTTCAGTTATCCATGGTCAACTGCTGCCCAAAAATATTGAATGGAAAATTCCAGAAATAAACAATTCACAAGTTTTAAATTGCCTGCCATTCTGAGTGGCATGATTAAATACCTCACCATCCTGCTTTATCCTGCCCAGGACATGAATCATCCCTTTGTCCATGTAGATGTCAGCCACCTGTTAATCATTTAGTGGCTGTCTCGGTGATCATATCAACTGCCATGGTATTGCAATGTTTAAGTCACCCTTGTTTTTCTTCATAATAATCCCAAACGGCAAGAGTGATGATGCTGGCATATCATTTTAATTGTTCTATGTTATTATTAGTTATTGTTGTTAATCTCTTACTTTGCCTAATTTATAACTTTACCATAGGGATGTATGTATGGGAAGAAAACATAGTATATGTAGGCTACAATACTATCTGTGGTTTCAGGCGTTCACTGGGGTCCTTGGAATGTGTCCCCCTCATATAAGGGGGGACTACTGTACTACATAACTGTTGGTTTATAATAACAAATAGATTTCTTTGAAGCCTTTGCCTCTTTTGCCCATATATGGTTCACCCTAAATGCAACTTTGTTTTGGTAACATCTGTGCCAGACTGCTGCTGCTGCTTTTTTTTTGTTTGTTTAATCATTAGCACCCTTAAAGGCAGAGACTTGACTTTCTCATTATAATCCCATAGCCAGCACAGTCTCTGGTACATGGTTTGATGAATGAATGAATGGGTCTGTATGGAAATATGAATACATAAACAAAAGAATGAAAAATTGGGCTGAAGTTCTGTGGCTGGTATAACATCTACGGATGGGACCAATTTTTTTAAAACAAACAGTAGAATGGAAAGCTCCCTTCTGCCCACTGTGGGGACTTATTAAATATTTAATAAATGTCCCTTAAATAGCAACATTCAGATGGCATATTCCATTTCATTTAACTCGAAATGCTACTTCGTTTTTCTTCATCTGAAAGCAAGCATGACAGATCATTTATTTTGCCTTACATATCAAGCATCTGCCTGAAACAGCTGCTTCTCTTCAAAACCTGGCAGCCTGAGGGTCTGAAACTGATCTAACTAAAGAAAGGTGATGTGGATTTTTGCACTACTCTGTCCACCTCTTCTTTATGGAGACTCTTGAAAACAGAGAAGGCTTTTCAATCCTGACTGTGTATCAGAGTAATGTGGGAAGTTTATTAAATATGCAGATACTCAGATCCCATGCCAGACCAACTTAATCATATCCTCTGGGAATGGAGGCCCAGGAATTTGTATTTTTAGATACTGCCCAAATGAATTTTAAGCAGTGCTTTAAAGAAAGTCAAGGTTGGCCAGCAGATGTCACTGAATCTTTCCTAGCCTATACCACCCACCTGTCCTGTTGTCCTAAACTTTACTCATTTACTTGAAAACGATGACTATAGAAAGTAGTTCTGACTGTATTCTTAGAGGCATCCGTAGCTCAGGTCACATGGACCATAAGAAAGAACAAGTGCTCTGTCATACATAGCATCTGGAAACTAAATGTTTTCCTAGGCAGGTTGGTGAAGCAAGGACAGCAGGCAGTTTTGCCTGTGCAGGAAGCAGCCCCCAAGCCTGTGGTTTTTCGTTCTGTCCCCATGCATTGACCTGTAAGGTGATGTAGTCTGAAGAAGCCCCTGTTCCTCTGCATCCCTGGAAATAAATCTGCTCAATGGAGCACAGAATCAAAAACAGCAATAGCAATAATTTACAAATAAAGAAAAGTATATTTTAATTTTTAAATTGACTTCAATTTCTATTTATACTTCCAGTTCTAGAGAAGCAGGGGGAGAAACGTACCAGAGGAAGGTGCAGAAATAATCCCATCTGCTACAGAAGGCCTCCACAGAACTTGACCACTAAAAAAAGAAACAGACTGTTCCTTGCTTCAGCGACTCAGCTTCTCATGGTTCAACCTAGCCAGCTTTACCACAGAAGGATTCGGCAATTTGCTCAGAAATATGGCTTTAGTTTAAAACACAAATGACCCCCTGCTAAAAAAACAGTTGTGGATTCCACCAGCCCAACACTGAATTTCATCTATCCTTGTCTGGGGATACAGGCGCCAATTGTTCACATACCACACACTACTCCTCCCTGTGTTTAGGGGCTGCAGATCAGGCTGGGGTTTCTGTTCCTCTTGATTTGTAGCCACTTCCTCCATGGCTCCTGTGTGCAAGTCTGCATGTACCTTAAGTGTGATGGGATGTTTCTTAGCTCAGGACTCCGTAACAAATACCATAGACCAGCATACTTGTATCGACTGGATGGCTTAAATAACAAAGATTTATTTTCTCACACTTCTGGAGGCTGGAAAGTCCAAGATCAAAGTCTGTCAGGCAAGGTCAGTCTTCTCACTGTGTCCTCACATGGTCTTTCCTCAGTGCATGCTCATGGGAGGAGAAAGAAACAGAAAAGCAGTGGGAAGAGAAAGAGATAGAGAGTGCTCTCTTCCTCTTCTTAAAAGGCTGCCAACCTTATTGGATTAGGGCCCTACCTTTATGACCTCACTTAACGTTATTACCTCTTAAAAGCCCTATCTACAAATGCAGTCACATTGGGAGTTAGGGCTTCAATATATGGATTTGGGTGGGAGTGGACACAATTCAGTTCATAGCAGGAAGTATCAAGTAGGTTCACTGTGTACCAGTTACCAACTTGTCTGAGTCTGCTGAAATAGAATACCCACACATGCAACGAGTTACATGAAGCAGATTTATTACTTACAGGTAGGCAGCAAGAGACAACAGATGCCTAGAATTCATTATGAACTGGTCCCCCAAGGCTCAGAAAGCTGCCTGGGGTGGATGGAGTCTTGACTGAGTATGCCCCCACTTTCACTGTAGATGAGAGACCCCAGAAAGCAACCCACCCTGGGTTTTACACCTAGAGTCACAGGACTCACTGGGCTAAAGCATCCCTGTTTTTTGGGGTAGGGAGGTGCTGAAACAGTCTGGGCTGCTTCAGCCAGCTCCCCACTTATCTCAGGATGTTGCATTCCCAGCACATTCTAGTCTTTCTGGAGAACTATGAGCAAGAAAAGGGGAAGAAATGATTAGATCTAAAACTATTCAGAAAATAGTCCTGCAGGAAGTCAGTGTAAAAACAATGAAAACGGACACTTAGGCCAGCCTGCAAGCAATTTCTGGAGAGGTCCAACCAAGAAAGAGAAGCACATATCAGACAAGGGAAAGAGTTACCAGCCAACACGCCAGTCAGTCTGCACTCTGCAACCCTCACCTCCCACTTCTACACTCAACCAGTTGCCATCCCCAGTGGATGGATGTGTACCTCTGCCAAGGGGTGTCGCTTTAGCCCACATTTCAACAGGTACCCCAGGAAGTAGATTGATGCTCTCTAGGGCTCAATTATCTTCCTTCCAAAAAGAAGGAGAAGGAGAAGTTGGATGATTTGGGTACCAATTATCAGCATGATAAGTAAGAAAAAATGAGTATTAGCTAGGTATCACAAGAGCAGATAAATGATCATAATTTCATTTGTAGAGTATGGTTTACTTTGACTAAGTATATTCTGGCACATTACATCACTTGGTCCTCAAAGTAAACCAGGAGTTATTATTCTCATTTATCAGATGAGGAAACAGATGCCAAGGAGCTATGACAGTGTCCAAAGTCACAAATCCTGTTACTGTTGAAGTCAATGCTGAAGTCTTAAAGAATGTCAGCAATCATCAACAAAGTAACAGGGCCACACTGGCCCCTTGAGCATCAGAAGTGCTGTATGTACACAGCACCACACAATTTAGCACTGGTTTCCTCCAATTACTTTGTTTGCATTTATTTGGTTTCTATGAACTGGAAGTTTCTCAAAATCAGGGGCCCAGGCTTATGTATTATCGTATTGCCCGTAAGGCTTACTATAGGACTGCACTAAGGTGATGAACTTTTGGCTGGGCACAGTGGCTCACGCCTGTAATCCCAGCACTTTGGGAGGCCGAAGCGGGCGGATCACGAGGTCAGGAGATCGAGACCATCCTGGCTAACACGGTGAAACCCCGTCTCTACTAAAAATACAAAATATTAGCTGGGTGTGGTGGCGGGCGCCTGTAGTCCCAGCTACTCGGGAGGCTGAGGCAGGAGAATGGCGTGAACCTGGAAGGCAGAGCTTGCAGTGAGCCGAGATCGTGCCACTGCACTCCAGCCTGGGCAACAGAGCGAGACTCCGTCTCAAAAAAAAAAAAAAAAAAAGATGATGAACTTTCTGAAAATACTTCTTTCTTTCTTTATTCCTTTTTAGAGACAGGGTCTGGCTATGTTGCCTAGGCTGATCTCGAACTCCCAGACTCAAGTGATCCTTCTGCCTTGGTATCTCAAAGTGTTGGGTTTACAGGGGTGAGCCACCATCGTTGGCCCAATACCTAATGTTGATAATAACACTCTACAATTTGCAAAGGGCCTTCACATATTCGATCTTTGTGGAAACGACAAGAATAGCATGTTTAAAAATGTCACTTCGTTTACCAATCCTCATGATGCTTATTTTAATCCTATTTTAGTGTAGTCATTTTATAAAACATTTACTGAGAACTTACCATTATTTTTATTATTAATAACTAACACTCATTGAGCACCTACTATGTAGCAGGCATTAAATCAGGCACTGTGACAAATGCTGAGGACACCTAAAGAAATCACGTGTACTTTTCTAAAGGAGTGTGACTAAATAAGTACTGCAGCATGATAAATGTCTGGTAAGTGATTATTTGGCCTCTGGACTGTACTTCTCTAATGATGAGGATCTAATCCTTCTCTAAACAGCTCATTCCATTTTTGGAGAGTTTAGATAGAAAGCTCTCACTGCAGAAATTTCACTCCCCTTTGGTTCTACCTGTTGCTCATAGGCCTAGCCTTGGGGCTATATAGTGTAAATCTTCCTTTTCACTTGACAGCCCTTCAAATATTTGAAGACGACTGTCATTATCAGCCACCCCCTCTTCAGCTTCTCTGTCTCTGCCTCTGTCTGCCTGGACTACCCCACAGCTGGACCTACTGATCTACCCCAAGGACTCTATCCCACCTCAGGAAGCACTCAAGCAGCCTGCCTCAGGTTCCTTCATACTAAATTCCAACTGCTGGGGCTTTGCACTGGGGCACTTTCCTTGTTCTGTTAATTTCTGAATTGCAGCTTCTTCCCCACCTGTGCCCTAGTTTGGAAAAGAAGGCTTCTCGCTGGATCCCTCATCTGAGTTTCTGGCCTGAGAAACATGGCTGTGAAGAGAAGGAGATGAGGCTGCAGCTTGAGCACCTTGATTAGATTGGGGGAGGACCCAGGGAGGAGGGAAGAGGTTGCAGACAAGGGAAACTGGGAGCTTGTGGGTGGATCAAGGTGCCTGAGGATGAGAAGGGGTGAGGTCCAGAGCGAAGATTGAGGTGTGAAAGTTAATCTTGGTCTGGAAGGATGCTTTATCCTCAGAGACCAGAGAAAAATGTGAGTTGAGTGAAGCTGTTGGTAAGTCTGCCATTGGAGAAGTCTGGACATTGAGGTTATTCCTGAGGCAGATTTTGAGCTGGTTAACACCATCACAGCAATAGTAGCTGTTGACAGCTGAACTGCTTTCCGATTGGCTCAACGACTGCGCTCTACCTATTGCTATATGTTTTTAATATGAACCTCGTGTTCCCAACTGCAGACTCTGCTTCCACATTGAAATGGGCATTGACTGCTATCTGTGAGTAAGGGAGGTGAATATTTGCAGGTTGTGTGAAAAGAATACTATGTGTGGAATACTTGCTTAGGGGAACAGGACCAAGGACAAGTACAGAAGGTCCCAGCTGAAATTGGAGCCTATGAATGTGTGATGGCACCAATCTGCACATCTTTCTCCAGCAACCACAATAGCTCAATACAGGAGGGGGGAATGCAGTTTGCTAGATTAATCATTCATTCATTCATTCATTCATTCATTTATTAAAAGTATTTACTGAGCACTTACTTTGCATCAGGCACTCTTCTGGGCTCTGGAGGTACAGTAATGAGCAGATATAGACAAGGTCATTTGCAATATCAAAATGGCTGTAGAAGTCAGCATATTCCCTTTCATTTCCTGGAAATCATGCAAGAGCAACAAGGGGAATGCAATAAAAAATCCCTACAAGCTCCACGCATCTACTAAGACAGATATGTACAGATTCAAAAATGTATGTAGTAGCTGCCAAAAGTAACAAAAATACGAGAAAAAAGGGAGAAACTGGAAGACAGGGAGGAAGGGATGGGAGGCAGTGAAGAGACGTGCTGAGAATATAGAAAGGACGGCGTAGATCTCAGAAAGCTTTAACAAAAATATACTTCCTGAAGATGAGGGATCCACCTGAGTTGTAAAAACTATACCCTAGTTTTCAACAAGTTCAGAAACCTTGGTTTCAACAAGTTCAGAAACCAAGCTTTAACAAAAGTATACTTCCTGAAGATGAGGGATCCATCTGAGTTGTAAAAACTATACCCTTGTTTTCAACAAGTTAGAGCAGGGGCAAATGCCCTCCCAGACGAAGTTTGGCTTAGAGTGGCTGAAGAGGTGGGACTAGACAAAGAACCACACAAAGGAGCCATATTTGCAGTAAGCAGTCTGTTTCTCTGCCTGTAGCGGAAGAGGTTTTTGACTGTGTTAAATAAAATTTATAGGAGGCTATTGATTTGGACTGAGCTCCTGCACTAGGCCCCAACAGACCAAACCAAAATGGAATCATCCATGCTAAAGATACACCAACAAGCTGAAACTAAGTTGTTTATCTGATCTTCCGAGAAATCAGGAGAGAAAGAAAGAAAATGGCCAAATCCCCAAATAGGCCAGTTTTAGTCAGCATGATAAGGAAGTCCCCTCTGCTTTAACCTTTACAAGGAAGGTACGTTGCAAATGACAGATCTGCTTTTTGTTTCTTGTTCCTGCTTTCTTCGGCCTTTTTCTGTCTATAAATACTCACTGCCCAAGTTGCAGACTGGAGTCCTCTGAACCTCTTTGGGTTCTGAGTACTGCTCGATTTATGAATCATACTTTGCTCAAATAAACACTATTAATTTTGTCTAAATTTTTTCTTTTTTTCAGATTGTGAAACATGGAGGACTACCTTGGTCCATTTTTCCATCAGTGGAGCCACCTGTAAGTAGCTGAGCTAGGATAATCCAAATCATGCAAAGGTGGATAATTAAAAACGGACTGGCACAATATTGATAAAACCACACTATTTTTTTAAAAGGTGGAAAAGTACAACAAAAACAAAACACCACAAAAATTTTGCTGATGAGTAGATTAAAACATTCCTCCATAAAATTTAAAAAATAATTAAGTAATTAACCATCTAAATGAAGAATAGAAAGCGGAGATTAATGAACTGTGGAAGAGATGGTGATACAACAGAAGAAAGTGAAACTTGAGCTGGCAGAACTCAGTGGAAGTGGTCAGATTCTGGGTAAATTGTGAAGGTAGAACTGATGAGATTTGCTGATGGATTGGATGTGTAGTATGAATTACATAGGACAATTTTAATATATATATACATATATACGCATGCATATATATGTATATATGATGTACAGATTCAAAAATATATGTAGTAGCTGCCAAAAGTAACAAAAATATGAGAAAAAAAGGGAGAAACCAGAGGAAAGGGAGGAAGGGATGGGAGGCAGTGAAGAGAAACACTGAGAATATAGAAAGGACGGCATAGATCTCAGAAAGCTTTAACAAAAATATACTTCCTGAAGATGAGGGATCCACCTGAGTTGTAAAAACTATACCCTAGTTTTCAACAAGTTCAGAAACCAGGATGAGTAGAGCAGGGGCAAATGCTCTACTTATGTACTTTGTACATAACCAAAGAAATTAACATATATATGTTATATTCCTGTGTGTGTGTATGCTATATTTCTTTGGTTATGTTTCTTTGTTATGTTTCTTTGAAGATTCTTGACTAATACAAGTATCATCTCTTTCTACTCTGATTTCCCTGTATTATACTTTCTCTCATGTTGGAGATCCCACAAAGGCAAAGTTGAGTTGGAAATACATTCAGTTTGTGTTTAGCGAGATACGTTTATATGGTTTTCAGTCAGTCCTGTGTGTAGACAAATCATTGCTTACTTATCCTGGTAAAGGAATGGCTTCCAGAAATACCCCTACAGTTTATTCTGCTAACTTATCCAGCATAGTAATTACAAAGGTGCAAAGCCAGAGGTCTTATCACTATACGAAAGTGTCTTATGGTACTTGGCACTGAAAGTGTGTGATATTGGAAGAGAAACAAGATTTGAAATGTATGGATTCAGATGCTAGTCCATGACTAATTCCTTCAATCACCTGATGTGCAAAATGGTATGCAGAATATTCAGATCTCATTAATGCCTAAACACAGAGGAAATTCTCTTCTGTTAGGAATATACTCAATAATACAATGTACACAACTATGAATTGTGCTTTTATTTAATCTGTGATGGGAATTGCATAAAGCATAATTTATCAGAATTATTATGTTCGTAGAGCACAAACATGAATTAGTTCTACAGCACTGAGAACATCTGTGTGTAAAGTTGTGTGCTTTAGCTTCCCAAATATCAGTAATAATAATAAATTTTTATCAACCATGCTAGTGGAAAGACTGAATTATCTCAATATTGCAAAACCATTACCATATAAAGAAGGAAACGAAGAATATGAAGCCAAACATGCAAGAAAAAAAGTACTATGGAGGTGTGTTTGCTGTTAATTAATTAAAAAATACTGTTCAGGGTTTTATATTGTGATGTTTGTGGTATTTCTCAGCTTTTAAAAATTTGTACTTAGCTGTGATTTCTAGTTTTACATAATTAGTATGTGGTTGTGTATTCATAATTTTTAAAATTCTTTTTCTTAAAGAGGACTTTCCAAATTGTGTAAGCTTCAGGACTCACAAAGTGTGGATCTGCTGTTGGGTGTGAGAGAAAGAAAAGAGTATTGAAAGATATGCACCACCCCAAACCCCACCCCAGCCTTTTTCTGTTAGATCTTACAACTTTGGCTGTTGCAAAGAATACCTAAGTTATGTATCTGTCACACAACTAGTTTTCAACACCTGGCAGTTCACAAAAAAGTAATTTTATTTTCCCCTTTTCCTATCCCTAGTTATTCCCATGGGTATTATGGTGGCTCAGCAACCGCCACACTTTTCTTGACCATCTACTGAGACATGACAAATGCCTTGAATATTTCCCTCTTACCCTCCCTTGTTTGTGCCACTTAGCCCTTACAAAACTGGATAAATGCAAATTACCACAGACTCATGGCTAAAAATATATACAAACTCTCCTGCCTTTCCTCTGTTTTGGTCTCCTCAGATTTTGGGGGCAAATTCATTCTTGTGGACCTGTCTTCTTTGGAAAACGATATACAAAGTAGGAGAATGGAGTAGGTATAGCCAAAATGGGAGACTAAATTATCAAATACAGATACAACTATTGAGGAAAAAAATTGAGGCTTCATGGGTAAATTTGCAGGCCTGTAGAATATTTTCAGTATATTCAGATTTAATTTTTTTTTATCTGTGCTGCATAGCCAATTTGGGATCCGTGTGAAAGAATTTATGACCTCAGAGGCAGTATTTAGTCTCATGGAATCACGGAATGTAAGAGCCAGATGGGACATTAGAGATCATAATCCAGTGACCTCATATTACAGAACGGTCATTGGAGGTAAATGAGCTGGCCAAGATTACAAATGTGGTTGTGGTTGCCTCAAGAACTATAAACCATGTAAACCAACAACAAAAGTAGCCAACAACATGACCTGTTTGATCAGAGCAGTAAATCCAACTACTTAGAGTCATATCTGGGGAGCTGAATAGGCAGCCATTTCACCATAGGTACTATGGGTGAATTAAGAAAATAAAGTGACTGTCCACTGAAGTACCAGGGTGTGTGATAGCTAATATCCACACCAGACTTGCCCATTTGACAACATGCAGTTGGGAGTCTGTTATGTAGCAAGGGGACTGAAGAGATGAAGAGAAGTATATAAATGCCAGGAAATCCTTGGCCAGTGCTTCTCAAAGTATGTGCTTTCAGAAGGAGCTACAAAGATCTAGCAATTCCGCTACTGGGTACATATCCAAAGGAAATGAAATCAGCATGCTGAAGAGATAGCAACATTCTCATGTTCACTGTAGCACTGTTCACAGTAGCAAAGATATGGAATCAATCTAAGTGTTCATCAATGGATGAATGGATAAAGAAAATGTGGGGTGTGTGTGTGTGTGTGTGTGTGTATATATATATATATATATATATATATATGCAGAATGGAATACTATTCAGCTGTAAAAAAGAAGGAAATTCTGTCATTTGCAGCAACATGGATGAGCCTTGAGGATGTCATATCAAAGTGAAACAAGCCAGGCACAGAAAGAGAAATACCGCATGATCTCGCGCATATGTGAAATCTAAAAAGTTGTCCTCATAGAAGTAGAGAATAGAATGGTGGTTACCAGAGGATGGGGAAGGTAAGAGGAAGGAGAGATATAAAGCTATATAGTTAAATAGAGGGAATAGGTTCTGGTGGTCTATTGCATAGTAGGATGACTAGAGTTAACAATATATTGTATATTTCAAAATAGCTAGGAAGAGAGGTTTCTGGATCTTCTCATTACAAGGAAATTATAAATCGTTAAGATGATGGATATGCTAATATTCCTGATTTGATTATTATACAATTTGTACATGCATTGAAATATCACACTGTACCCCATAAATATGTACAATTATTGTGTGTCTATCATAATTTTTTTTTAATCCCCTGGGAAGCTTGTTAAAATGCAAATTCCTTGGTCTTACTCTAGAAGTACAGGATAAGCGTCTCTGGGAGCAAGGCCAGGGAAAAGGTGATTTCAAGACAGATGGTTTGGAGCACACTTCAAAAATAGTTGCTCTAGGTTAATATCAGAGAAAATAATGATGTCATCTCAGTAGCATCCTTTGAGCATAAAGAAAAAAAGATATTCATTACATTTTGTGACAATGATTCTGATGGAATAATAGTTCAAGATATCTGCATCCTGGTTCCAAATTCACTAATTGTAAAACTTTGGGTTAGTTGTTTTACCTCTTGTGACACCATTTTACTCACACTACAATTGGAAGCTTTTGAAAGATTGTAAGCAGGGAAATGACATGATATTAATTATATTTGTTGCTGACTAGTGACTGGAATAAAAACAGTGGGACAAGATTGAGCATGGCAGGCTGGGCACAGTGGCTCACACCTGTAATCCCAACACTTCGGGAGGCTGAGGTGAGTGGATCACTTGAGGTCAGGAGTTCAAGACCAGCCTGGCCATCATAGCGAAACCCCCATCTCCACTAAAAACACAAAAATTAGCTGGGCGTGGTGGTGGGTGCCTGTAACCCGCTACTTGGGAGGCTGAGGCAGGAGAATCACTTGAACCGGGGAGGCCAAGGTTGCAGTGAGCCAAGGTTGCGCCATTGCACTCCAGCCTGGGCAACAAGAGTGAGACTCCGTCTCAAAAACAACAACAACAACAACAAAAGATTTGGCATGACATATCAGTGAATAGGCTACTAAAATAGTCTAGGTGAAGGATAATGGTGGCTTAGAATAGGCTGTTGGCAGTAGAGTTGGAATGAAGTGAATGAGTTTTGAGATTTATTTTGATAGGATCAGTAATAGATTGGATGTTAGCTATCAGAGAGAGAGAGGTATCAAGGATGACTCATGAGTTTCTGATTTTGTAATGAATGGTTGAGGTTCTTGGAGGGTATGAATTGATTGCAGGTTCAAGTGATTGAGTTTGAGGCCAAGAATAGATGGGTAAGAGCTAAAAGTTTGGGAGGAAATGGAGGCATTGAGGGATTTGAGGTCTCTTTGATGTGAAAAGGTAGATAGAGTCAGAGCAGGCAAACTGAGAGGGTGGGAGACTGTGGTCAGAGAGTGGGGTACTGGTGGACATGTCCACAGTGGAGCAGTGCTGATTGATGACCAGTTCTGGGTTGGCCATGGGCACAGTGAGCTGAGGTGGAATGGACGTGGAGGTCAGTGAAGGCAGAGAGGCCAAGGAGCTGATGGGCCAAGATGCTGTCTGGGTTGTTTGGGGTAGAGAGACAACTGTGACCAGGGCCCAAAACCATCAGTGCACTTGGGATAGTGACCAACTTAGTAAACGAGGGTAAACAAGGAAAAGCTGGATGACAGGGACATTAAGGGAGACAGAGCTTTTTATATGAGTGAAGGATAAATAATAAGTTGGAACCTACACTGGAGAGCCTTAAAAAAAAAAAAATCCTGCCCTTTGATATGTGGGTTGTGAGAGAAGGAACCCCTCTTATGTTTCAATTTAAAGCATGAGTTGTGGTATGAAACCAAGAAGCTTTGTAAGTGGCAAAGCACAAACATGCTGTCGTTTTGTTTGTTTGATGTGTTACATATTTTGGTTCCAGATATAACACTTGACTTTTTCATTATTAAAAATTTTATCATTATGCATATTGAAATATTTATGGATGAAATGCTATGATGTCTGGGATATGCTCCAAAATAATATAGGGTGGGTGGGGGTGATAAAGGAAGCACGATCAGCCATGTACTGATAATTGTTGAAGCCTAGAAATGGGTAAATGGAGGTGCCCTAGGTATTCAGTTTTTGCATATGCTTGAATTTTTCCTTAATAAAAAGTTAAAGAAACCATCTCATCTTTATAGATTCAGCCCTTTGCTTTGACTGGCATCTTTTTTGTTTTGTTTCGTTTTCGTTTTTGTTTTTGAGACGGGGTTTTCGCTCTTATTGCCCAGGCTGGAGTGCAATGGCGCGACCTTGGCTCACGGCAACCTCCGGCTCCCGGGTTCAGGTGATTCTTCTGCCTCAGCCTCCCAAGTAGCTGGGACTACAGGCATGCGCCACCACGCCCAGCTAATTTTGTGTTTTTAGTAGAGATGGGATTTCTCCATGTTGGTCAGGCTGGTCTCAAACTTCCTACCTCAGGTGATCTGCCCGCCTGGGCCTCCCAAAGTGCTGGGATTATAGGCATGAGCCACTGTGCCCAGCCTTGAGTGGCATTTTTATATTCTTACTTTGTTAGCCTCTCCTATCCCTTTCCACAAGGTTCACAGGGACAGGTATTTATCCCCATTTTACTGATAAACTTCTCTGATCCTGTTAAGGAACTTGCCCACAAGTAAGTATCTGTTTAGTGGCAGCTGTAGGACTGAAACTTTATGTTCTCTTGACTTCTAGACTAGTATATTCTACCACCTGACTGAGTGAGTTTGTGTTTCCATTTAGTAGGTTGTTAAAATTCAGAGCAGTTCTCTAGGGACTTTGATCTTGGAAACGGAGTCTTCATTTGATTGCGGGTCTGACAAAGTGAGATTGTCCTTGCACATGCTATGCCTTCTGCATGGAATGTTGATCCCCATCCTCTGGTTCACTTAGTTAACATCTACATATCCTTCAAAGCTCAGTTTAGTTCCTCTCCACTCCCCTCTCCCTATGCCATCCCAACAATCATTCCTTCCTTTGCATTAGTTCTGTATTCTTGTTCAAACCTTTGCTATTTCATATATCACAATGAATTATAAATGTGTGTGTCTGTGTGTGGTTTTCTGTAATAAACTAGAATCATGGACTATTTTTAAATTTTGTATTCTAGGGCCATCTACATAATGGCACCATCTAGTAAGTAGTTATTCAACAACTCACATGTGCCTGAATCCATTGGTAGAGGCTACTAGCAAATAAAAAAACACGGATACCAAAATACATACCATGGGCTTGGTTAGTTTGTGCATCTAAAGGGTGGGTATTTGTAATGTGTTATAAAATTTTGGTGCTGTGGGGAACATTTTTCTTCTTGAAAACTAAGTCTTGTAACACAGGGCTCTTCACTGAAATACAAGGGCAATTGCCAGTCAATGTAGAAAGTGATCTAAGACCAAACCATGTACATTTTTTTTCTCCAATAAAAACCTTACTGCAGAATAAGATGGAGGTGGGAAGCAGAACATTTTTTTTCTGCCACTGTGTAACTCATATAGGGTGTGCAGATCACTTATCTCAATAAGAAGTGCACACAGAAAGGGAGAGATGAAGTACCATGCAGATGCCAGATCAGTTATATAACTGGATAATAATATCTAGAAATGCTCCTACAATGCAATCTAACACTTTTTTTTTTGTTTGAGACGGAGTCTCACTCTGTCGTCCAGGCTGGAATGCGGTGGCAAGATCTTGGCCCACTGCAACCTCTGCCGTCTGGGTTCAAGTGATTCTCCTGCCTCAGACTCCCAAGTAGCTGGGATTACAGGCACCTGCTACCGCGCCTGGCTAATTTTTGTAGTTTAGTAGAGATGGGGTTTCACCATCTTGGCCAGGCTGGTCTTGAACTCCTGAACTCGTGATCCACCCTCCTCAGCCTCCCAAAGTGCTGGGATTACAGGCGTGAGCCACCATGCCCGGCCAATCTAACACATTTTTGAAGGAACATTTGCTTTTTCTTTCAACAAGTGACTGCTCCTTAAGAAATGGGCGCAATACATTTCTGAAAAGAATGCTTTGCAAAGCTTTGTAAGAAGGTCTGGTTAACTTAATACCTTATCTTCTTTGTCCTGAAAAAGAGGGAGGCCTTTCATCCATACGGTTTTCAAAGCACTTATCATAAATATGGAGGGAATCAAGTCCAACTTTAAGAAAAATCAAATTTACAGTTGAATGAATTCTAGACCCCTGCCCTATCCCTTTCGCAACACCCATCAAGTCTATTTCACTGTGAAAACGTGTCATTTCAAAGTCCTTGGGGATCCTTGCCTCACCAGTCAGGTTTGGAACTCATTGGTAAACAGGAGGCACAGAAAGGGCAGTGTAAAGGCAGCCTTAACATTTTCAGTGAAGAGCCAACTCGTTTGTGGTTTTGATTTGTTTTTAATAACAAGCTCCCTCAACCAAAACTGATGAATTGGCATCAGAACAAGGGTACAAAAGGAATATCAAGGGGCCTTCCAAAATGCTAACCAAAGGATAAATTCTCTGCTTTGGGTGGCCATCATTTTATCCCTAGAAACCAGAAGATAAAAAGATGCAAAGCTTTTAATATATGCTGCCTGAGTATATAAAGAGACCGATTAGAGCATGCGGCCTGTGGTGTTGTCTTAATACTTTATAATCTATAATCACATTCCATACTTCAAGCAAATGCAAATTCTGCTGCACGCTGCCCTTGAAAGGCAATTTCACTGCATACTGAATTGAAAGTAATCACTGATACAGCACAAATAAAGCCTCTGTCGGGTAAACACCAAAGCATTTTCCACACGGTACTGCATTTTAAAATAGCTAACTTTATTGTCAGTGAAAAGATAGGCACAAAGTGGATTTAAACCTGCTTAACTTTATTGGAACTAGCTCAGTTGATTACAGAATGGGGTCACAATCATTAGGGGACCACATACATTTTAAACCAAAGGCGATTCTTCTCTAGCCATCTGCCAACCCCAGCTATCCATTTTACAAACACATGCCATTAATCACAAGGGAGGCCAGAAGGAGGTTTCATGGCTCCATGTAACCCATCGTTGCTACTGGAAAAAAATAAACAAACTCCCGACACTTGTCCTACTGATGATGGATGGCACTTGGAAGACATATTTCCAAGAATCGTGGCAGGCTGAAATTGGTGGCAATTAGCCCACAGCTGATACCTTCCTTTGAAAACATTTTCAGTAAGAATGCACACGTTTTAAGTAACATATTCCATATGCACATAAGCAATTGAGATAATAGGAGACTGTGTAGCTAACAGATATGAGAATATAATTGATCAAAGTTAGTGCATATGTATACACTTTAAGCTGCCGCATTATGAGGGTTTAGGCTTGTCATAAAAAGTAGTTTGCACAATCAATCAGTTTGTTCATTTTCCAATTGTTATACCCACCCAACAGTGTAACAACAAAAAGAGAACATGATGGGTCTCTGGGTATCTTTCCTATGGCAGATGATGGCAGATATTTTAGGTTCCTGCTGTCCTATTACCTTGAAGCTCAAAAGCAGCATTAAAAGGAAATCCTTCATTAAATCAACAATCAAGATACATGATTTTAAAAGAAAGCTCAAGCTACTTTTTATTTCAAAAAAAGACTGTTAATAGGAGTTTCATATCAAGTAAAGTTTGTTCTAATGAAGTTTTTCTATACATGGAACACTGGGGTACAACTGAATTAGAAGGTCCTCAGAGATCACCAAGCAGTACAAGCTAAGACAACCTGGTCACCCTCCTTTCCTGAGGTGCCGGTAAAATGCACAGATAGGTAGGAGTCCAGAAAGATCCCCCAAATGTTATATCCACACAACTGTGAAAAGGTGGCTAATTGAGATTTCTCCCATAAACTTGAATTTTTGGAACAAAAACTAGTGGAGATCTTCTGAAAAGGCTGTATCTATCTTCTGCATAATATACTGACATACTCTTCTTCCCTCTCTTGGATGTACAATGTTATTTTAGCAAATTATCGGGGATTGGAAACTGAACAGAGAAGAACTGTCTCTGGTGTGAGAGGGTTCTGGAAAGTTCAAAATAGTACTCAGCCAAGAACTTCTTCCTTTCCCCAAAACACATGAGTCTAAAGAGATGGCTACCACACAATGTGGAATGTATGACATTTGTCACCTTGCAGAATGTGATTAAAATCATGGCTCCCAGAGCCAGCAAAAAGTCTGCCAATGTGTTATAACCATGAAAGGAGTAGGTGAAAAGTGTTTTTTAAATTATTTGGATAGAAAGTAGCTCTCCTGAAGTTTGCTACTTGCTGCTTCTACTATTTGAGTGTTTTTTTCTCCTTATGACTAAAGGGTAGTATGAAAGAGTCTTAACACAACTGCACTTTTAATTTCTATCTGAGATTCACTTTATAACTGAGGACTAATGTGTATGTAACATGATTACCTCATTATTGAAAATGTGAAAGGACTAGCTGAAAATCACATCACCCTCCTTTATGTCTCTACACACACACAGGCACACACACAAAATAATTCCTTTGGAAGATAATTAGGAAGGATACCATTCCTATACTCACAGAGGAACCCCAAAAGATTATCTAAGATACCCAATCTCCTAGAAAGAAGTGGGATTGGTTTCTCAGGGGGACATTTATGTGACTCTATGTTGAAATGCAGATCAGAAAAGGGAAAACCTTTTAAAAGGCACTGAAGGAGAGGCAAGACAGAAATTCAGTAGTTTGTCAAGACTGGACAAGCTACTCCAACCAGGTACATTTTACAAGATACATATTCCCTGGACCATGAAGATGCCTTTTCATAAAATGGAATTTAAAAAAGATAAAGAGTTTCCCAAAATAAGCATGGTGATTGGCATAATGGTTAGCTGTGTTGTATGACTTTCAAAAAGTCACTGAACCTCTCCAGTTCTCAGATTCCTCATCACTAAAATGAGGAGGTAGGGCTATATTGCTAAAGTTCTTTCCCACCACTATGGCTCATGATGTAATATATCAGGCCTACTCTTCTATTAATCTGGTTTCTAACTAAGACATCCCAAAACCTCTACCCCCAACCCTTACCTAACACCCCCCACTTCCCTCACCCTCCCTATACCCCTTAAAACTGATCTTAATGATGCTATCTGCAGATTTCTCACCTTAATGAAGGGCAGACAGGTGACACAGGGCAGGGACCTGTGGCAACTGGCATCCTTCTGTGTCCTTGGAGGCAGCCCTATGGCAAGGCTTGGAGCCATTGCCTCCTTTGATCTCTACCCACATGCACATTTCCTGCTGCTTCCCAAAGGTATTCCAAGATGGTGTCACTGACAGTGAGAAGAGGTAGTTGAGGATACTGCTGCAATCCACCTCTCCCCCGACTGCAGCATAGTACTTTGGGTTTCTCAAGCTATTCCCTTGGAGGTGATAGTCAAAAATGCCTTTTAAGACATATGCTTAGAATTTGACAAACAAAACAAGTTATTTCAAAGTAGTCACCAGAAATTCAAAGCATTCAACCTGTCAACAAAGATCCTTCCTCACTTTGCAAATGATTGGCAATTTGAGACTGGAGACCCAGCCAGTGAATCTGTGCTGTAGAAGAAATAAACACTAAGCTGATTGGTCTTACTAAATGCAAGCAAGCTGTGTTCATGGCTACACACAAACCATGGAAGTCTGCATATAGCACCCCATGCAACTCTCCATCAAGGCCTCTGATGGTCTAATTCCCTAAGAGAGAGGAAGTTGCGCATCACTCAGTTAATGTACTCTCCCAGCATCTGAAAGCAATATATTAATTATCCAAATGCATAAATTACTCCAGAGCATATATATGAATGTATGAACCTCCAGGAGGGAACCAAAAGAATCCATTTCCAAAGCACCACTGAAATGAAGACAAACACAATTCCCTGGGGCAGGGTAGCTGGGAAACTGGAAGAAAAAATTAGCTCCAGTACCCTTCTGCACCCCAAAACTCCCTACCTTTTTTCCAGCTTACATAGCTCCTGAAACTATTCCCTTTTGTAAGCCTGAGGTGAGTGCTTTCTCCAGCTGCTGCACAGGATAGTAACTATACAAAACAGCACACACTCAATTCTCTCTAGCTTCCCACTTCCAAACTACGTGTTATACACTGTCTTCCACACATACTGTGCTCTTCAATAAAAAATGATCTAGAATATGGAAAATTTAAACAAATTTAAGCACATTGAAAACGTCGATGTATAGCCACCTGTTAACAGTCCCAGTATTCGTATAAATTCAAACAATAAGCTTTAGAGCACATTCTGATTAATCTGTCTTTAGAGGTACTCCCTAAGCATACCAAAATAGACTGGTGTTCACATGGTATTACTCAAGTAGTACATTGTTCCAATAAAAAGTCCTGTTAAAAAACATCCCCTCCCCACAACCCTTGTCCTCACCCTCAAAACAAGAACCAATAAAAGGGGGAAAATGATTAAAAGCATTTTTGCTGATAATCTGCAGCTCTTGATTTGGCCGTTTAGATGAGATATTCCACCATCTCTGCATCAGGCTCTTGTCCCAGGATCTGAATGGGAGTTTTTCTTTCCAGAGTATTGGAGTGGAACACAGGCCCATCTAAATGGAAATAAGGGTTAGAAAACACTTAGGGATGAAGAAAAAACCCATATTTCTAGAACCAGACACCATCAGAGCCCTCATGAAGCCAATGGCAAAGTGAGACTTGCCTGCCACCTCCCTCATTTACTTCTGCTAAGATAATGGCCTCTACTCATGCCTGTTCCCATCTTGGTGGATGAGAAGTCATTTACAGACTCTCTTCTCTCTCCTTTAGAACGTGAAAAACTCAGTCCAAATGATAACTCTGCCCAGACATCAGACAACAAGAAATAAATCTGTATTTGAGAGCAGAACTAAACCAAAACCTACCTGCTAAAGGGAATAATTACCTGTTTTGTCTGGATTGCAGGTCAAACTTGGTATAGACAAACGATGTGGTCCAGGACCGGTAGCTGGACTTGCAGGAACCTCAGCCTGAGCCACAGCTGGAGTTGGAGTTGGAGCTGGAGTTGGAGCCACAGCCGGAGCTGAAGTTGGTGCCTGAGTCTGAGCAGGAGCAGAAGCCTGAGCCGCTGCTGGAGCTGGAACCGGAACCAGAGCCGGAGCTGGAACTGGAGCCGGAGCAGCTGGAGCAACCTGAACAGCAGCAGCAGCAGCAGCAGAAGGAGCAACGGCAGCAGCTGAGGCAACAGAGGCAGCAGCTGGAATCTGACCAGCAGCAGCTGGAGAAACAGCAGCAGCAGTAGCAGCGGCAGTGGCTGGAGACGGGGCAGCAGCAGCAGCTGGAGCAGCAGCAGCAGCAACAGCAACTGGAGCAGCAGCTACCATGGTGGTGGTGATGGTGGCAGCAGTGGCAGTGATGGCGGCAGCAGTGGCGGCAGCAGCAACTGGAGCAGGAACAGAGATGGGAGCAACAGCTGCAGTTTTGTTCGATTCCGTCCCACGTTCAGTTTGGGTACTGCAGTCTCGGCTGCCTGTCTTGGAGTGAGCCGAGAGCAGGGGAGTCGAGGGTGGCACAGGCGAGGGTGTGGAAGGGACATATTCAGCACGGTAGTCTCCACCCAGGAGAATGCCTACAAATGAAAGAGGAACAGATGTTAGAAAACAATAGGTGATTCAAATCCAGACATCTAATTACCTGTTCTCCCATTCAAATTTCAGAAGAAATTTATTTATTTTTAAATAAGTAAATATTATTTAAATATTTAAAATATTATTATTTTTAAATATTAAATAATTTAGAATAGTCTAAGTTATTTATTTTTGCCTCCAGGGAACCCAGAAATCAGTGTGTGAGGCTCCTCCAACCATGGCTAAAAGTTTCCTACAGACTTCGAGGATCCCTTCTGGTCCTCATCCATCACCTGGCACAACATATTAAGCCTGTAAGTGACCTGGGTATCTGTTTTGATTTATTTTTCCAATGGTGATTGGGTTCCACCAAGTTGTCAGAATGCTCCTACTCGGCTCCACTTATAAACCATTACCACACGTTACCAGGGAGCAAGAAAGGATCTGGGGAAGAAGTCTGTTGACACAGATTGAGTGTGGTAATAATTGTGTGATCTGAGGTTCTCACCATGACCATAGTCCCCAAAATGCTTATTCTAACCAAAAGATATTACAAGTATCAGAGGACCAAGAAAGGAATTAACAGCAACAAAAAGGGTTAAAATAAAAATATATATAAGCTTCCTTCCTCGGGCTCTAAAAATGTGCCTCGTGGTATCCACAATATGTCTGGGGTTTTGATTAGAGGGGAGGGAATGGACAGGAACGGAATGAAAAAGTACATTCTGTTCTCATCTCACAACACTGTGGGAACAAAACCTGCTACCCAAACGATTTAGTGTAACTAAAACTCTGGGTTCTCCTATTATAGAGGAGGAAGGAACACAGAAATGCCGGAATTTTGACATTTGGAACGACACAAAGGCCACATGGGCTTTGGAGAAAGATAAAGGTGCCACATGGCAAAGGCCAAATCTGAGAATAGTTTAGAGGAAATTAGAGTTATCTTCCTTGACACCCAAATGAAACTCAAGATTCTTGTCCTCTAAGCCTTGGCCTCAATCGGTATTCTCACCGGGAGACTTCAAAGTGTGGAGGAGCTCCAGAATGTGGAACTAGGGTCTCAGGAGGAAAAAAAAACTCCAAAACCCTGGTACACCTTCCTCTCTAGAACCTGGACCATCATCCCTTTTCCTTAAGCATGGGTGCTTATCTCAGGGCTCTCTTTGAACACGTGACTATAATCTTCCTTATTTACTGTCATTACCTAGGCTCCCCTTCCAGCTCTTGTCGTCTCGCTTTTCTTCCATGATGGGGGAGCCAGTCAGGGTGGATGAGTGGGAGAGCAAGCCTGATCCAGCATTGGAAATGGACATCAGAGACTTCGCTGGCCGCATGCACGACAGCTGCTCTGTCTTGCTCGGCTCCTTCCGGGAACGCTGCTGGAGTACTTTGATCATGGCATCCTTCTCAATAATCTGGGCATGGAGGGTCTTAATCCTAGGAGCCAAAGGCAAAGAACATATAAAGACCTTGTTGTGGGCTGGGCGCGGTGGCTTACGCCTGTAATCCCAGCATTTTGGGAGGCCGAGGTGGGCGGATTGCAAAGTCAGGAGTTCGAGACCAGCCTGGCCAACATGGTGAAACCCTGTCTCTACTAAAAACACAAAAATTAGCTGGGTGTGGTGGCAGGCGCCTATAGTCCCAGCTACTCGGGAGGCCGAGGCAGGAGAATCACTTTAACTTGGGAGGCGGAGGTTGCAGTGAGCCAAGATAGTGCCACTGCACTCCAGCCTGGGTGACAGAGCAAGACTGACTCCATCTCAAAAAAAAAAAAAAAAAAAAAAAAACCTTCTTGCTACCTCCACATTTTGGTCTAATTGACTACATGACTACGTGGAGCTCCCATTATCTTTTCGACTAAAGGCTGATCTAGTTAGTTCTGAGTTGGAAAACAAGGGATGGTGTGCTACAGTTTTTAAAACATGTTTTTTCTTTTTTCTGCACACCCAAATGGATACAGCAGAGCATCCAGGAGCTGTTGCTTAAATCTTAGTAAGTCACAATAAAGTACCAGTGAAAAAAAAGGCTGAATATGAGAGAATGAACTGATGTACTAGGTGCTGTAGTGAAGAATCTCAGTCAATGGAAACAATTTACTCAGTGAGAAGATGAGATCTATGAATGAGCGACAACCTGCAGGTAGTAAGTAAATGATCATGTGTTTATAAAAGGAATCAGGTATCCTACCTCCACTTTGAGTAGATGTTCTTTTTGTTGTTGTTGTTGAGACGGACTCTAGCTCTGTCGCTCAGGCTGGAGTGCAATGGCATGATCTTGACTCATTGCAACCTCTGCCTCCCAAGCTCAAGCAATTCTCCTGCCTCGGCCTCCTGAGTAGCTGGGACTACAGGTGCCCGCCACCACACCTGGCTAATTTTTGTATTTTTAGTAGAGACAGGGTTTCACCATATTGGCCAGGCTGGTCTTGAACTCCTGACCTCAGGTGATCCGCCCGCCTTGGCCTTCCAAAGTGCTGGGATTACAGGTGTGAGCCATTGTGCCCGGCCGAGCAGATGTTCTTTTACTCTTTTATTAAGCAATCTGCTGTATCACAGGGTTGTGGTGCAGTGCTAGAAAGAATACTCCAGAGTGCAAATGCCAACAATTCAGCTCAGGCAGAGGGAAGAGGAAAAGCAATTAGGAAGGCCAAAGGGACAGAAACCCTACCTGGAATTCCATGTTTAGTGGAGATTATCAAGGTAAAGGTCATTGCATCTCACACCTTTAAGTGACAGGCTGGCAGGGGTGATGGTGGAGCGGGGAGGCTGCATGATCAGATTTCCTAGCTGTGAATAAAGATCCTATGTGGTCTCTATATCAATGTCTCAGATTCCTCAGGGTCCAGAACAACATTTTACCTGCCCTCCATGTCAAGGCAACGCTTATTGGCCATCAAGATTTCTTCCTCCTCTTTCTGGATGCGAGCTTCTAGAGCTGTGTCATAGCTGGTGTTAGGAGAGTGACTGATGACTGTTGTGTCCCTGGGGAGGAAAATGGAAGTGATGAGATGGGAGCATAGCAAGATCAATGAATGTTATCTTTCTTCTAAGTCAAGGAAGGCTTTTCTGGAAAGTCCTAAGCTGAAATCAAGCACATTTGGAACAGATGGTTTCTGGGGAACTAACCCGTAAGAGCCTCCAAAATAGGACAGTTCAGCGTTCAGGGTAGAAGGCAACGTTATTAGTATAGAAGTGGCTGCAAAAGTCAGTGAGGGATGAGATATGCACAGACTTGCCTTCAGAACTGAACAGATATCATCCCAAAACCTTCTGGCAGATAGCCCCTTCAAGTTTTTAGATCATGGCCAAGCAACAGGAATATGTATATATTGGGCCAGGCATGGTGGCTCATGCCTGTAATCCTAACGCTTTGGAAGGCTGAGGCAGGTGGATCATCTGAGGTCAGGAGTTTGAGACCAGCCTGGCCAACATGGAGAAACCCTGTCTCTACTAAAAATACAAAAATTAGCCAGGCATGGTGGTGCACGCCTGTAATCCCCGCTATCTGGGAGGTTGAGGCAGGAGAATCACTTGAACCCGGGAGGTGAAGGTTGTTGTGAGGTGAGATCGAGCCACTACACTCCAGCCTAGGCAACAGAGGGAGACTCTGTCTCAAAAAAAAAAAAAAAAGGAATATGTATATATTTCCATTTTATTCTCCTAGAAGTCATAGAGGGGGAAAGGTCAGACTTTCAAGAAAGTCAGAGGGTATACTAAGTAACTTATGGCTACAGATGAACATTGGTAAATACACCTGAGTACTAGAAGCAAACAACAGACACATCAGCTAAGATTAGGTAGGGCATGTGAGCTAATAAATAGTGCCTTTGAGTCAGTCCCACTCGATTCCTATCTAATCTACATCTGAAACATTCTAGCACCAAATCAATGGGTCTACCCCAACAAAGTGACTGTTCTCTTGCCAGAGTTCTAACTGCATAAAGGACCATCATGTTCCATTTGAAAGTGTCTCAGGCCATTAACTCAAAGACCAATTAATAAGGAAAAACATGTGTGTGTGTGTGTGTGTGTGTGTGTGTGGTGGGCGGGTGAGGGAGGTTATTAGGATTAGGGAGAATACTGATGCAATTATATTGGTCTTCAAGGAAATCAGACAATAGACCGAGAAAACAATGAACTGGCACTGCTTCATTATACTTCCTAAGAGAATGGGGATCTGCAAGAGAACTCCAGGCATGTTTTCTGTTGGGAGCTAACTATGTTCTCTTAGCTTCAAGATTATGTCTAGTGCAGATGGGGATGAAGCGGCAAGAAAAAGAGGCAGAAAGTTGCTATTAAGATTGGGGATTTTGGTGAGCCTCTATAAAATTACTGTTCCCCAAAATATACGTGTACCTTATATGCAAGGTTGAAACCATTTATGGAATGATGAAATAATTGGAGAACAAGAAGGGGAAAGAATACAATGGCTTTCATCATTTGCCAAACTCAAAATATTTTACCATCTCAGCATTCTATACTTTCTCTAGTGCAATTCACTGGCTTGTAGTCCTACTGGGTACCCAAGAAGAAGCAGCATTTGCATAGTGCTTGAGAGCACAGGCTCTGAATACAGACAACTCAGCAGGTCCCAGCTTCTCCAAGTACACTCTGCCCCTAACAAGCTTTATGACCTCTGAAAGTCAAATTACCTGCTCTAAGCATGCCGCTTCATATGCCAAGTGGGAACAATATTTGTAACTTCATCTCATAGAGGATAAAATTATGCATGTAAAAACAGTGTCAGGCATGGTCAAAACACTCAACAAAGCTATTATTAAGAGAGAACCACATAACTCAGGAGGCTGAGGCAAAGGGATTGCTTAAGGCCAAGAGTTCAAGGCTGCAGTCAGTTACGACTGTGTCACTGCATTCCATCTTGGGTGACACAGCAAGACCCCTGTCTCTCAAAGAAAAAGAGAAGGAGGGAAAGAGAGAGGTGGAGGAGAGCGAGAGCGAGAGAGAATGAATCACATAGGTGGAAAGATGGAAGGAGACTAACATACAGAGATTACAAGAGATTCTGACTTGAAAGAATTCCAGCTCTTGGTAAAATCCTGGAAGCAATTCCTGTACTGCAGAATTCCAATGTGAAGGTTGGGGCCTTAGAGCCAGGACTGTTGAAAAGTGCATGGTGTCTACGGACACTGGGGAACTGAGCATACGGTTTGTCACTGGGGGAACTAGTGCTGGCCTGCTGCCACTTTCATTGCATAAAAGACCATTTTGGGGACTCAGAGCCCTGCCAGCTAATTGATATGGACACTGTTAACTCCTCAGGAATGGAGCCTGAAAATGTGGGGCACTTAGTGAATTCCGACAGGGCTGCCAGGGCAGCCCTCAGCATCAATCTTCCTTCTAGAAGACTAGGGCTACCAGGCCAATGGCTTAGGCAAAAGCAAGCAAGCACAGTATTTGAACGAGCAACTTGACCTGCTACCTTCCAATACTCCAAGACGTTCTTTAAGAACATCAGGAGAGAGAGATGCTGGGCTACGATCTGAAAATAAAACCTGCAAACCCCAAACTGCATATTCCTGATGTTGACAACCTCCATCTCAAATTCTTAAGTAAACAGTTTGTCATCTTCTTTCTCCTTCTTTTTTTTGACGAAGTTATCCCATCACATTGCTCAAACTGCTTTCTAGCATGTCACCAATAAACTCCTAAAACACCTAGTGGCCTTTCAAACTTCAAGCCTATCTTTTCCTATCAGCATCATCGTTTTGTTTATTTAATATGTGAACTCTACGTAAGTGGAGCACTGTGTTTGAAGTTCCTGGGAGGCTGGAGAGGGGAAAGGCATGGATAAGACTAGTCCTTAACTGTAGGAAACTTACAAGGGAAGAGAAAAAAGTCAATAATTAACTAGTACAGCAGTGAGTTTGGACTTTATTCCAATAGGCGCTGAAAATTATTAGAGCTTTCCAAGGGAATAAAATGATCTAAGCCATGCCTTAGGAAGACGGCCTTATCTCTCGTAGAAATGTGACAGAAAGATAAGAGAAGTGAAACACTGGAATCAGGCAGACCAGTCAGCAAGGTGATTGTAATAATCCCAGCAACAGATCATGAAACTATGCACCAGCGAAGTGGCAACGGAAATGGAAATAGGCTATAGGAAGTAGAACTGATAGAATTTGGAGACAATATCAATGTGGGAGTTAGGGAGATGGAAGAATGAATAACAACTTTGTTCTTTCGAACTCAAATGCCTAGGAAAGATGAAATACTGTTTGCTGTAAAAGGAAACTGAGGAAAGGCTCTTTTGGAAAGCACTGCAATGGGTTTTGATTTTAGGTACACTGGAGTGAAAGTGACTTAAGAATTGCCATATGCCAGTATCTAACAAGTTGTTCAAAGTTCTAACTTTAATTTTAGAGATATCAGAGTTACTATTACGGTTATTATCATTGCTATTATTACTGAGAAGCTAGAGCAGAGAACAATATAACTAAGACAGAAGGTAGGATGAGAAGAAAGCAGAGGAAGGAAATTGAGAAATGCCTACAAAGAGGGAATAGGTAGACATGCATTATGTGTGTGAACAGCTTCTACCTTCTGCTTCCCTTTTCTTTACTTCCTCCTTTCCAGAATTTACTTTTGCTCAAAATAAACATGAAACATTACACATTCTGAGAAAGGTAGCAACCTAATTCAGTAAATGCAAGCTGATAAAAATTACATAGTTGACTGGGTGGGTTATCTTGTCATCCTTTTGCTGCTCTTCAGAAATAAATTCATTGTTTATGAGCTGAAACTAAAAATCTGCATTGCCAAATTGGTTCTTCTGCGAATGAACAAGGAATCCTACTCAGTAGTAATTTCCCCTCATCTATATTAAGCATCTAGAGAGGACTCCCTAGGGACAAAATAATATGGAGCCTTAATTCAGGCCATATTATTGTGATTATTTATAATATTTCCAGGTAACTAAATAATTAGCCTCAATTAGTATCTTACTGAACAGCTAATAATTCCTATTTTACCATCTTTGAGCTACACCATTTCTAAGAAGCAGCAGAATTATAGCAGCTAAGGAGACAAAAATACAGATTTAAATCCTAGTTCTTCTGCCATTTAGTAGCTGTGTGTGATCTTGGGCAAATTATCTAAATAAAATGAAAGAAATAAATTTCCTGTTATCACTTTGAACAAAACAAATATTTTAAGTATCAAATACTCATTTTAGATATGCCAAAATATCTTCAATTTTCTCTCTCTTTCTCTTTATCTCTTGGCCCTCTTAACCTTTCATCAAGGAAAATTCACCTAAACATACAGCTGACCAATCTCACAGAGTTGCTGTATCTGATGTTTAAGATGCATCTCAGGATAAAGGGCAATGCCAGCACTTTCCATATGCATCAAAATGCCTCCTCCTGGACTCTTTAAGGCTAAAAACCTAGGTTTTCACGCTCTGATCTTGTCTGAAATCGTTAACATCAACAGCTTTCCCTTTGACAAGAGGTGTATCATAATATCAAAGTGTTGGAAGGGGTATAAATAGACCACCTAATACGACTTATCACCTGAGAAAAGACACTTGCCTGTTCTTATATTATAATCTATATTTTATTATTCACAATGGCCAAAAACTGGAAACGACCCCAATATGCATATATCCAAATATGCATACATAAACTGTGATACATCCACACCATGGAACACTACTCAGCATCAACTTGAATGGGTTTCAAAATCATTGTGTTGAGTGCAATATGTCAAACAAGAAGAGTAAATGCAATATGATTCCTTTTATATGACATTCTGGAAAAGAAAATTATAATTTTATGACAAAATAACAGATTAGTCATTGCCTGGGGTCAGGCATGGGAGGAAGCGATCAAATTCAAGGGCACAAGAACACTTTAGAACAGGTCCTCTGTGTTAATTGTGGTGGTGGTTACACTATTGTATACAATTACCAACATTCATCAAACCGTACGCTTACAACAGGTGATTTTTTAATATGTAACCAATATCATAATTGAAAAAAATTGTCTTACCCAACTACCATTGATACCATCCAAGCAAGATATCCTAATTGTGAAATCTGTCATTTACCAAATGAGCTATTAGGTTTGGAATATATTAAGTTTGAGATCCTGGTAGAATACACAGAAACCAAGCAGATCATTGAAATGTGGCACCAGATTTAGGGATATAATTTATACATTTAGAAATTGTTTCCTTCTTGCTTTCACATCTTCCTTTCTCCTTCCTTCCATTTTTCTTCTTTCTTTTCTACTTTCCTTCCTTCCTCAAATACACTTGAGCACTTTCCAATTGTAGCCAATATCCTAGACACTTGAAAATTATTTTGAGGGCGGGCGTGGTGGCTCACACCTGTAATCCCAGCATTTTGGGAGGCCGAGACAGGTGGATCACAAGGTCAGGAGATCAAGACCATCCTGGCTAACACAATGAAACCCTGTCTCTACTAAAAATACAAAAAATTAGCCAGGCGTGGTGGCACACGCCTATAGTCCCAGCTGCTTGGGAGGCTGAAGTAGGAGAATGGCATGAACCCGGGAGGCGGAGGCTGCAGTGAGCCGAGATAGCACCACTGCACTCCAGCCTGGGCAACAGAGCGAGACTCCTTCTCAAAAAAAAAAAAAAATTATTTTGAAAGAAAAGAAAATATAAAACTTTTACCATGGAAAGGGGCAAAGAGCAGAACCTTGGTCAATAGCTACATTTAAGATTGAGAGAAAGAAGAGGAAAACAAGTAGACAAAAGGAATAAAAAGAAATGTTGGAAAGAAAGGCAGAAGAGCCCACAGGTTTTAAAATAAAGTTTTCTAAATGTTACCTCTCAAATATAGAATCTCATTTGAAAGGAAAGAGGAAAAGAAAACCAACCTCCATGGTAGAACGTAAGAGGCACTATCACTGGAAAAGTAATATAATCCTAGAAATAGGAAGGTCTGAAGGAATCACCTAGTCCAATTCCCATATTTTACAGAAATTTCAATACAATCTCTCTGTCAGCATCTCCTGTGGATTGGATTAGTAGCATGCCAGAAAGACACACAGTCGTGATCTGGAATGTTCACCTGTGGAACTATTGGAAAGTGTTCTTTCTAGGTGGGAACCAGGCTGTGTTTTAGCCTGTTAAATGATAGGCATGCACATTTTGCCAAAAACAGTGATTAGATGAAAAGTTTCTACGTGATGATTAAAATGAATTCAATTTAAATTAAATCTACCTTGTGGGAGCCAACAGATTCTGAAAATCCATCTGAAAGGGGTTTCCCCGAATACACAAAGCTTTCAAAGGACGAAGGAAGGAGGGTAGTTTCTTTATACAAGGCCCCCAAGTGACAACCCCTGAAGCTCTCCTGCATTTTGACCTGGAGTCTATTCTGAAGTAGGCACCATGAACCGTAGCTTTCTAGTATTTTCTCACACTGCACACTCTCGTGACCTGTATGTTTCTAAGCTTCTGCCTAAACGTGACAAAATTACCCTGTATCTTTCCACCTGTCAATAATAACAATGTTTTTTCAGCATCAGGGTTTCTTATATAACCTCTGAACAAGTGCTGGACACAGGTGTTTCCTTGGGAGCTAGCAGGTAAAATTACATTTAATTCTGCTTCTAACCTGCCTACAACCTTCGAGACCATCTTCTGGCAGAGCTGGGGCTTCTGTGCACTCTATTGCCACACTGGCATGTATTGAGTATGCCTTGCTTAGGAAACAAGGCCAGGAAGCTTAAGTCCATGAGCTTAAGCTCAAAATCAAGCCACAGGCAGCTTCCATCCATTTGAGGCATAGATGATATCTAATGAAGACAAGCAGATGACATTAGAGAGACATGTCTTCCTAAAGAACCGAAGTGGGCTTATAAAGCACCGGTTCAGCTCTTAGCACTGAACCTCCCCACCTCTGATTTGGCATGGAAGGACTCAAAAATAAATGTATCCACTGCCCACTCCACATACATATCCCAACCCAAAGTCTGGCAAGCACTTCCAGACTCTGCTGGCTTACCACGTTTAGGAGAATGTTAAAAACAACACTGTGGTTTTTAATAACTTTCTGGGTAGAGACCTATCTGGGTGCAATATACTGTAGCCTGCCTTTCATACCCAATTCCAGACCAAGGCTCTGTTATCGCCACAACCCAAGTCATCACCTGACTTTAATTCAGTTTTTGTTGTTGTTTCTTTTTCTCTTTCTCTTTCTTCCTTTCTTTTTACCCCAACTGATGATTTTGAGCAGCAGCAAGGTAAGACACATGAGGTAAGAGCAACTATTTCCTCCAAAGGCCAATAATTGACTTTTATAATTTGAAAAGGGGAACAAATAAGGAGCAAAAAGTAAAAATCCTCCAGCCACTTTCTCTCCCTTACCAGATGAAATGTGACCGCTCACGCACGATGAGGTTATGCACATAGAGAATGTGGCCTTCAAATATTGACCTTCCCAAAGGGCAGGGATGGGTTCAAGTTCAGCACAGCCTTTGACATACCTTGGACAAGCCAGAGCTATCAAATGACAGCAGCAACTCCTCAGTGACATTTAGTTTCTGAGTGGTAGTTTCTCTGGAGGGGCTTTCACTCCGGTCCTGGGGCTAAACAACCTGCATATGTGGCTGAAAGAATCTGTGGCTCTGGGGAAGGAGGGGTGCAAATTTTCAGCTGATCCCATCTGCAATCATTCTGGCTTCTGGGGAAAGCTGAACTATGATTCTAAGAAGTTTATAAAACAACTTTGATGTTCAAATCCCTGACCCTCTGTCTCTACAGCCGTTCATTCCCTGCATAATCAGATGAAAGAAAACACACTTAGGCAGAAATTGGGGGGGAAACCCAGAATATTAAAGAAAATAAAACACTGGAAAAATCTATGAATCAGTGACCTTTCTGTTCTTCCCACTCATGCCCTACCAGCTACCTACTTACCTCTGAGCAGCCACAGTTGCAGCAGCATCCAGAGCAAAATGTCTCATCACATTCTCCTCCAAATATTTCTGCTCCCACTTTGTCATATCAGCTTCCAGAGCCAGAATCCTCTCCTCTTTCTCCCGAAGGAGCTCCATCAGTGCAGCAGCATTGTATTCTGAAACGTTGGTGGGCTGACAGTTGCCCTGACGCTGTTGGGGCAGATGCAGAGAACCCTCAAGTTAGTGAGAGAAGAACCATGGTGTCTGAGCCCCTATTCTTGGAGAGGATTACTGCCCAGCCTACTTCTGTTTCGACTCTGATTCAGAAAGAAGCAGGGGGAATTCAGATCTCCTCCCAGGGCCACAGGACTTCCTATCATGGGCTTGAATGTGAGGTTCCCTTGGCCAGGAAAGGGGCCTGTCATATCAAACTGTCATGCTACTCAGAAAGTGAATTAATGGCCTAAAAATTGCCATCCCTGCCTGCCAGCATAACACACAACAGAAATGGGAATTTAAAAATCTGGCCGGGCATGGTGGCTCACACCTGTAATCCCAGCACTTTGGGAGTCTGAGGCAGGTGGATCACCTGAGGTCAGGAGTTCAACACCAGCCTAGTCAACATGGTGAATCCCCATCTCTACTAAAAATACAAAAAAAAAAAAAATTAGCTGGGCGTGGTGGTGCACACCTGTAATCCCAACTACTCGGGAGGCTGACGCAGGAGAATTGCTTGAACATGGAAGGTGGAGGTTGCAGTGAGCTTGGATCACGCCACTGCACTCAGTCTCAAGAAAAAAAAAATCTAGGATTTAGATCCTATCTTGCCCATAACTTGTTGTAGTTATCATTAGTGACTCATGCCAACTTTTCCTAGTCTTGATTTTCATTCATCTAAAACTGAAAAGTGGTACAGCCAGATGATTTCTGAAGACCATTTCTAGTTCTACAATATCAAGATGTGTATTTGTGTAGCAGCGCTAATTCTTACAGCGTCTACTGTTCCTGGAGTTCATGTGAAAATAAAAGGTGCAAGATAAAAGGCTTAAAGGATATTTCTGGGATAGGAAGCTAAGGAAACAGACTTTGTATTCACAATTGGGAGGCACTCTGGAGTAAGATTAGGTGGGAGAAAAATGTAAAAATGAGCAAGTGTGTGCTTTCAGTGTTCATGTCAAATGCTAACTGAAAAATAAGCAACCAGGAATAATGTCATTTTCTTACTTTTTTTTCCCTTTCTTCCTTTAAGTTCTCCATACCTGCTGGATTCTCAGGGATTCCAGTTCCCTCTCCAGTCGTGTCCGGAGACGGTGCTCTAGCTGCTCACGTTTTTCACATGCTGCCTGGAGCTGTACAAGGGCCTGCTGCATCTTCTCCACCTTGTCAACGTACACTTGCTTCTTTTTCAGCTGGAAATCCATGTTGGGTAATTTGCAAGGTGAAAGGAAAAACAGCAAGCAACAGGGTCAATTATGTATCCCCTAAATCCAGCCTTGTGTTTAGATCTCTTCTTGTTTTAGAGTCCAGCTGCAAAAAGGAATGGATGGCGAGAAGGTCCTTCACAATGAGTAGCAGGCTGCCTTGTATTGCTCATAAAGAGAATGTGAAGGAATCGAGAATACCTTTTAAACCTCTTCCTTCTTCCCTATCTCTATACCTTCCCAAAGTCTACTCTTATCAGTACCATCTATGTTAGATGGCCAAGTTTTTCAGATTCCCAATTATGCACATCCTTATCTCTGGCCTTTTTCATTCTCATATGGATTATTCTTGGGAAGGCATATCTTATTTTGGTTATTGCATTAGGCAAATGCTTTAAAAGGGTGGATCTCCAGGAAGAAAGGTTTGCTTTGGTATGGAAAGAAAGCCCACCCCTTTTATGTAGCTGTCTCTTCTCCAAGTGGGAGAAAAAGGGTGATCAACTGCTGAAGGTACAAGAAAGTCAGAATTGTCTTTTTGAAGTCTTTGGTCCTGGTAATCACCCCATATAATCCATCACTGCTCTCCTGGAAAGTTTCTGCTTCTCAAAAGTAAAGGCGTCACGTGATGGGTCAAAAGCCTTTAGTCTCCACATCGCCTAGCACTGCCTTGCTAGTTCTTTAGGTTATTTGTGATTGCTACTTCATGAGCCTGAATTGGAGACCCTGGGCTATAGTCTCTCAACTTTTATTCTGGAACCATAAAAGATCCCGAAAGCCTCAAATTAATGACTCAAAAGTGAAACTAAATGAGTCAAACATTATTATTCCTCTTTGCAAGCCTATAAGCCATATCCAAAAGCAAATGTAGAAGCAAGTAGGGAATAAGAGTGTGAGTTCTTTGCAACCTTGTAGCTTATAAGCAAAAGCTTGACTATGCAGATAAAATAATGAGAAAGATCTCAGAGCTCTTTAAAGAAGATATATATCTTCTTCTTTAAAGAAGATATATATCTTCTTCTTTAAAGAAGATATGGGGAAACTGCAGGCTTCCCAACTTGTTAATAAATAAGCAGATTATGCTTCTCGTAATACTTGTGGGGCCTCCTCAATGCTAATAAATCAACTCATAGCTGTTTCCAAAGCAGAAATTCTTCCAAGTGGGTCACATCTGTCATTATTCTTCTGATGGAAGTTGATGTTAGGGATCAACATCAACTTGATGTTAGAGACACCTTCACTCTTCAGATTAAAATATGAAAATATTCTTGATAATCTAGTCAAAAAGAAATTCAGGCATCCGATTCTGACTTTTCAACAAATTCCCAAGCTCTTGAGTTACCTAGGTAGATAACTGCAACATAAGAAGTTACCCACCCTACCAGCATTGCCTAACAGCCACTTAGCTGGGGCCCAGCTGGCAGAACCAACCTGACTCCCTCATTGCAGAAACCTTCATGGTAATGAGTCCAAATCACTACTTGGTAGAATTTCCAGTCAGACAGCACTAGCATGTAGTGATAGAAAAACCCTCTTTGTCTTATAATGGCCCCCTCCTCAAATTAGAATTGCTGAACTTTCTCTAAGTCGAAGGAACCCTATCTTGTATTTTCCTACCAGACCTGTAGTATGCCTTGCCTAGGTAACTGGCAAACAAAACCTTTTTCGACTTTTGTTGTACTTCTTTGACATTTCCTTTCATTCCAAGTCTAGTTCAATCTAGCCTTGAAAACCAGTTGAGGTGAGTTCGAAGCCTATATGTTTTTATCCATTAGAACTTTTCCTAGGAAATAAAACAAACAAAACACCATCAAACTCTTTACCTCAGTAAGTTTAAACCTTTCTTCCCCGGGATTTGTGGCTGTTTATAACAACACTGACTAGGGCAACCAAAACTTTTGCCTCTGCCTTCCTATTTGCTAAGCTTTGAATAATTGGAGAGAAGGAAACAACCTCTATCCTTCACCTTTTGGGTCTTATAATCCTTATGAGCAATTTAAAGCTGAATGCATTTATTTGTGAATCGCTCTGAAAGTCCTAAGGGAGCAAGGCAATGTTAACGCAGAGAATGTGAACTATAATTACTAAGGCTTGCAGCAGTTATACTTAAAGGCAATTAAACTTAGATAGCATGCAGTTCTTGCCTTGGTGGTAAACTACTGCAATGCAAGCTCACAAAACTGAAAAATAAGCAATCCAGGGCCACGTGGATTTCTTCAGAAAGGAAACCTAAATATCCTAGCAAAAGCATCCCGCAATAGAAGTCACTGAGCCAACTCTCTGGAAGGGAAATGCAATAAAGGCCTGGGGAGTTCTCCGAGTTGGCTAAAGATAGGCATGCAGGTCAGATAAATTCCACAAAGCAAGCCAAAAAATATCTCATTTTGATTTGCCACTGGGATGATTTTCCACAAGGTAGCAAGACCACTGTGGCTGGCATAGTTTTCCCACCTCATTTAAAAGGAGAAAAAGTGCAACTCACCCATAAACATCATAATCACCTAGTAAATGCCTACTCTCTAGATAGGGTAGAAAAAGACAACTCTTGCATGTGACCAGTCCAAGATCCTAGAGATGCAATCAACAAAGCCAACCATCTTCTAAGTTACACTCTCTACATTTTCTAGATCTTATCTACGTGTAAAAAGGAACAAAGACCTATACGCTTTATTAACTCCACTACTATCTTGAACATTATGTGCTTCACTTTTACCTTAGTCATGACAAATCATGATGTATCTTTATATGGATCAAATGAGATGATGCATTAAGTGCTTAGTAGAGTGTATAGTACAGAAAGTACTCCAGGTGGTTTGTTCTTTTTTAGAGAAAAATTAATACCAAGCCATACACATTCCAGTCCTCTCAACTTTGAACACTCACTCCAGATATCCTTGACATGGCTATCATTCTCTCAGTAACTCTAATGATCACATCATTGTCTAATTAGACAATGCAAATATAGCCATTTTCCCACAGGAGGACATATAACATTAGGCCTCAAACACTTTATGCTGTAGATATCTTTGGATAGCAAGTTGTTCATTGGAAATACAGTTAGAAGCAACCACTGAGTAGCTGCAAGGATACTGCATTTCTTTCCAAATGACATGATTTGCAAGGTACCTCTGCTTTAGGAGAAAGAAATATTTTACCTAATATAAAAAGTACTATTTAACTAAAGACCCCTAGGCAAAACAAATTCTCTTTCTCTCTCTTTCATTCTCTCTCTCTTCCCTCTTTCTCTGTCTCTCTCTCTGTGTGTGTGTGTGTGTGTGTGTGTGTATGTGTATGTCACATACACACAGATATACATATCAGAAATTTCTATCTGACAGCACAATGAAAGGTAAAGGAACAAGGTGACAATTAGGAGACTTGGGTTCTAGTCCTAGCTCTGCTATTAATAGCAACTTGCTTCTCTATTCTCAGCTACAGAGACCTCATTTGTTTAAAAAAATGAGGGGGGTTTCAGGAGTCAGCAAACCAAAATGGTCAGCAGCAGCCCAAATCCAGCCATGTCCATTGATTTTGTCTATAGCTGCCTTACAGCTACAATGGCAGAGTCGAACAGCTGAAGTTGCAACTGAAACTGCATGGCCCACAAACTCCAAAATATTTACAATATGGTCCTTTAGAGAAAAGTTGGCAAACCCCTGGAGAGGTCTTCAAATGGTGATGCAGAGTCCCAGTGTTTGGTGGAGGTGCTTGAGGGGCCACTATGGTGGGTGGGTTGTATCAGATGGCTCCTCTTTTATGTGTTTTACGTATTAGGGTTCTATTTAAAATTTCACCTGAAAAAACAATTGCCAGAGCTTTGTGTGTGTTGTATTCATGTTCATTTTTGTTGTCTGTTACCTGTCTTCCCTAGAGAATGGGCCTCCCACCTTATTTTGTTCCATCATCTTTTCATACTTGATGCTTCAGTATGGTTACATAGCTTAAGGTTCCTGAATAGCCCATAATATTTCACCCCTCACTGCCTTTGCACATGATCTTCTCTCTCTTAGGAATGCCCTGCCCCACCAGGATTTCAGAAGTTTAAAAAAAAAAAAAACAGGGCTAGATACATGATCTCAGAAGATCTCTAAGAGTCTTTAACTCCCAAATTGGTTGTGAATCAGAATCCCCTTTTCACCTTCAACACTGACCAATATCCAAGAGGGCTCAGCCAAACGGGGTCCTAAGATTCTGTACTGTCACATTCTTAGGCGTAAAAACAAAAGTTTTGCTTTAGTTTGTGTGTATGTACATGCAAGAGACATACTATATAATGTGTGTTCTTGTCATAAGACCCTAGATGATTTATTTTTCTGTTTTCAGTGTTCAAAGAACTGAAGGTTCACTTAAAGAATTTCCAAAGCCAAGATAGTGGTTCGAGTGTTTGTGCATAAAATGAGTTGTGAGGACCACAGATTAGTCACTCTAGTTTCTAATCTAGAGACCAGTACCCATGAGCCCTCAAGATTCCAAGTAAATCTATCATTTAAGCCAAATCCCTCTTGAACATTCAGTGAATGGAGTAAATCCTTCATCTATTAAAGTTTTCTTACCAAATGCCAACTTTCAAGAAGTTGTCAAATCCTTTCCTTGCTTTCTCCAATTCTGTGTTTTCTTAATGTAGATCCCTAAACTGCTTTTACTCCCTGGCTTGATCTTTAGATCCACTTTCTCCCTAACCCTACCCTGACTCCCGCCTCCTACAGTACTCCAAGGTCCAATCTATGGTAGTTTCCTTTTTTGCCTTTATATCAATGGTTCTCAACTGGGGGCAATCCCCCCACCCCCTACCATGCCCAACTATCCAGGGGACATTTTAGCAATGTGTGGAGACATCTTTGGTTGTCACAACTGGAGGTGGGGTGCTACTGGCATTTGGTGACTAAAAGCCAGGGGTGCTGCTAAATAGCCCACAATACACAGGACAGCATCCTACCACCGCCACTAAAGAGTTATCCAGCTCCAAATGTCAGGAACGCTGAGGTTCAGAAACTTTGCTCAACATTGCAGCACTACTGGAGATCTCCTTTGTGCCACACTAATATTTTAATGTTATCATGTTATCCTCAGTCACAGACCTCTAGGTGACTATAAGATTTCTCACTCTGAAACTTAGCATGCCCCAGATGGCTTTCATCTTTCCTCAAAATGTCATCCTTTTGATAGTTCAGTCATCATCATCATCACTTACCTAATTTTTCCAGTCTCAGAATCTTGGAATTATCATTCTTCCCTCTTTCCTTTGTCTATCATATCCAATCTACTACTATGTCTTAATTCTAACATCTCTCATATTCTTTCATTTCTTTGTATGTTCATAGCCAACACAGTTTAAGCTATAATAACACCTAACAGATCTTACTTTCAGTTGCTCTCCCGATCTATACACACATGCATGCACATACACACACAGACACACAGACACACACACACCCACCCATGAGTCCATCCTATAGACAGCTGCTATAACAGACTTCCTGAAATAGTCATTTAAGAAAAAAAGCAACTGGCTGGATGTAGTGGCTCACACCTGTAATCCCAGCACTTTGGGAGGCTGAGGCGGGTGGATTACTTGAGGTCAGGCATTCGGGACCAGCCTGCCCAACATGGTGAAACGCCGTCTCTACTAAAAATACAAAAATTAGCTGGGTGTGGTGGTGCACGCCTATAATCCCAGCTACCTGGGTGGCGGAGGCAGGAGAATCACTTGAACCCAGGAGGCGGAGGTTAAAGTGAGCCGCGATCGCGCCACTGCACTCCAGCCTGGGCGACAGAGAGAGACTCTGTCAAAAAAAGAAAGGAAGATAAGAAAGAAAGACAAGAAAGAGAGAGGAAGAAGAAGGAGAAGGAGAAGAGGAAGAAGAGAAAAAAAGAAAAGAAATAGAAAGAAAGAGAGAGAGAGAAAGAGAGAAAGAAAGAAAGAAAGAAAGAAAAAGCAAACTCTTAAACTACTGCTAGCACACCCATTCAATTAGTGTTTATTAGGTACCTATTATATCCAAGGCACTTTTAAACCTACCTCCTCTCTTCTTTAGACCAGAGCTGCTCTCTTTCATCCATACCTCAAACTACTTGATGCTTTTACGTTCACCAGTCTACTGTCATTCTCCCCTGTTCAGCCTAGATATGGCTCTTAAAAATGCCTTATCAATCTAGGCTCCAACTGTCTTAAAATTCTTCCAGGTCTACTATGCAAATACTCAAACTTCATATTGGTCTGATCATTTCTTATCCCTCCTTACTAAATCACTAAACTCTCCAAGAGTTCTTCCTTGAATAATCTTATCTGATCCTGATTGCTGCTTTTCTTTATAGCTTCTCATCATGTGTACTCTATTAAGCAGTCATTTTTTAAAGATTTTATTCATGTGTGGATTCACTCATTCATTCAACAGATATTTACTGAATGCTTATTATGCATCAGGCCCTATTCTACAAATGAGAGCAGGAGGGATGTAGCGGGAAACAAGACAAAGTTTCTGCCTCAATTGGAAGGCAATATCCATAGGCCACTTAAGGGTAGAGCCCTTCTATTTTCCTTGGTGTCTCTCTTAAGTTCTAGTTCTAGTTTACTGGTCACTATATTCTTGGTGAACAGTTAATATTAAATAACGATTACATTCAAGAACAAAAATGAGCATAGTATAGCTTATCTACAACACTGCAAATATACAAACAACAAACACACACCTCATAAATGTATTCACTTTGGCCCAGTCAAGATAAGAATTTCATATCATTCCTATTCAGAGATAAGTTTTTAAAGGAAAATCATAAAATTGAGAGGAAGAACAGTGGGAAGGCAATCTATTGAAGCATAAGGCAAATACTCTTGAGCTCAATCAATCATATGATTTTCCATTACACTTCTGTAATATTTTGAACCAGTTCCCAAGTATTTGGCAGATCTCTTAACCCCCTTCTGACTCAGGAAAATCTGATCCCTGCAAATGAATACCACGTGATGGCATCTCTTCCCTCCTTCCAACAACTGTGGGTGTCTTTCAAACTTATTTTTTAAAGGATGGCTATATACAAAATTACTTCTAGAGCCCCATTTGTCTTAGCCATTTGCAAGGAAGCGACTTAATCATTTAGCTTCCCATTTATTCACTAGTGGACAAAGAACAGGGTTAAAATGTTTTAGATTTAAGAGATCTGGGTTTTCTCCTAAATTTATCACTGACTGTATCACCTAATCTGTCTGTACTTTAATTTCTTAATCTGTCAAATGAGGATAACACTTGCAAGGTTCTTTGGGGATATACTAATATATCTGTAAATATTTTTAATGTTTAAAAAATACAAACAAGAAAATACAGATCAGTAGGCAGAAAGGACAGACTATTAATACCAGCTGGATGACCACCAACATATACAAACACTCCATTGGCTAAAGGACATTAAGGTTAAAAATATAAAACTAAGTCCAGTGCCTTCATTGTCTAATTTTCCTCTTCCCCTGTATTGTCCACAACTCCAAACACTCTTATACAAATGTCACAACTGAAGTGTATTTTTATTGTTATTCTCCTTCATACCACTGGTTATATGTTGCTCCAAGAGCCTGATTTTAGTTTGATCTGATTTAGTCTTACCCAGGAGCCACTGGATCCAAGTAAGGGTTCATGCTGAAGCAATTTGGTAACACTACCCTGGTATTAGCAAGCTGCCTCTGTCCATTGCCAGTAGGCTGTGGTCCACTGGTAGATATTAAAAGAATTGAAGAGTAAAAAAAACCACCTCTAAAAACTTGCTACCTCAGGAATAGGGCTCATGTTGTAAAGGCGACTAAAGAGAAACCCACAAGGTTTCCAATTTAGGAATTCCAAAAGCCAAAATCATAGGAAAGACTGAAAGAATTGAGCTCAGAGAGATCACTCCATCTCTATTTGGGGGTAGACATAATTTCTTTCTTGTAACACATTGGGTGGAAAAACACCTACCTAAAAGTAAATACGGCCAGGCACGGTGGCTCACTCCTGTAATCCCAGCACTTTGGGAGGCCGAGGCGGGTGGATCACTTGAAGTCAGGAGTTCGAGAACAGCCTGGCCAACATGGTGAAACTCCGTCTTACTAAATACAAAAAATTAGCTGGACGTGGTGGCACATGCCTGTAGTCCCAGCTACTTGGGAGGCTGAGGCAGGAGAATAGCTTGAACCCGGGAGGCAGAGGTTGCAGTGAGCCAAGATCAGGCCACTGCTGTCCAGCCTGGGTGACAAAGCGAGACTGCATCTCAATGAATAAATAAATAAATAAATAAAAAATAAAAAGAGAACAAAAGAAAGAAAGAAAAGAAAAGAAAGAAAGAGATAAAATAGACTGAGATAAATATGGAGAATGTCATCCTTAGATGAAATGCCCTTCAAATAAATCAATAATGCACCAGCAGAACACTTTGGAAGATTCCTGGGTGGATATGTATTTTATCTGTATCCTATCAATACTCTAAATGCACACATAATTCACATCCTTGGATCTTCCATCCAAATCTATAATCCATCAAAACACTGGGTAAGATTTACCTTCACCAATGAAATCCTATTGCTGTTTGAAAATTATTTTGGAGTATTAGACATATAAATATCTATGCCTATGACATCTTCCTCTAATATCAGGGAAGCAGGAAATTGGTTATGATGCTTTGTGGATAGGTGTCATAGCAGAAAATTATGTATCTTTAAAACCAAAAAGACAAATCAAATTAGTAAGAGATCCAGAAAGAAGGGAAAATATTAGCCCTTAAGAACAATGGTGGAAATGGAGTAAAACGGTATGAATTTAGCCTTAGAGAATTGAGTAGAATTGCAATGGGACTCCAGAAAATGCACTGGCTACTCCAATACGAGCTATCAATGTGACATCTACATCATCACTAGCCACTGCAGTTCAGAAAAGGTTAACATTTGGGCCCCTTCTTGTTGAATCTCCATGGCTTTCATTCTAGCCTAAAGCCAAAGAACAAGGCTCACTGGCTCTCTCTGCCAGCCCTCTCACATTCCACACTCTCCCTTCCTGTGCACTCAGTTCAGTAAGCAGCCCACCCGCAGCATCTTCCCTCTTTGATCTTGCCAAGGCCTTTTTCCCACCATCCCTGAAACAATTACCCAAGCCGCTTCCACTCCGGATCATCATAAGACAGCAGCCAGCCAGAAGCCTGGGCTGCCCTGAGCCTTGTGAGAGGATATGCCAGACATCCATCGAAAATCTCCAGCGAGGTCAAATTGGTAGGGGGTGGGGAGGCTGTCTTTGAATGGGAGAATACCGTGGTTGCTGTAGGACACAGAGCTCTTTTGACTTGGAGTTTAATGAGCCTCCACTTCAATAGGACCTACGTGTCCCGAAAGAAAGATAAGGGCAAGGACGGAAAGGCACCATTTACCTCGTTCGGCTGCTACTGCAATAGGGGCACAGGGTACACGCTGGTTCAAGGCCTGGATCAGAGTGACTCACCAAGAAAACAGGTCTGATTTATAATTACAGTGCTATCCCCTCCCCAGCAAGATACCTCCTTCCTGGATGTCAGCAGAGCCAGGTCCATGAAAGAATGCATTGAACTTGGGAGCAAATGGAAGCTGTGATTGCAGGAGAAAGTTCTTTGTAAGCCTGAGGCAACATTTCTATGTAGAGTTTAGAGCACAGTGATTGTAGAGAACCTCAGGCAAGAGAGTTAATGAGATTAGCAAGAAGGAATGAATTTCAGGAAAAGCATCTAAATGAGGTCTTTGTAAAGAGAAAGACATAAATAAATGCAAGGGTCCTCTGACCATTAAAGTAGTCATAACCTTTCCCTGACCACCTTAATGCAATGAGAAGTAGTTACCTAAGTGACCTTGTAGTTAGAAGGCTGAGAAAAATAGTCTCCTGACAAAAGGTCTAATTTGAGAAAGTTTCCCTAATTTTGATTTGCTAAGTAGGCTAGAAAGGTTTTCCTTGGAAGAACTTCTAAGGTTCGAGAAAAGAGGAAAGTTCATGATGCCATTTGTAAGCCATCACTAAATTATCTGTTTATATGGGACACAGGCAGGTTATCTAACATATCCATGTGCCTTCAAAAACAGCCTTACTTGAGCCATTTCCAACAGACAGAAGGATAACTCTTCTATTCATGAATACCTTTCTCGGTTTAGCAATGTTCAATGATTTTGTGAAGCAATCACAATGAAGGTTCCTTCCTAGATCTGTTCCAGAACTACCTGTTTACCTCAAATACCTCCCTGATGATGTTCCAAACTTTGAAATTTCAGCCCTGAAAGAGCAAAGCCTAATGAAGACTGAGTCACAGCAGCAAAGCAAAACTTTAATTAGCAATTTCCTATATCTGAGGATAAGCAAAAGGGATGTTTTCCTTTGAACAATATAGAGGAGACACGACAAACAGCGCCCAGGAGCAAATCCAGCTCTGAGAGACTGCTAAAACAAAAAGGGAAATAAGAACCAGTTGATTTTCTCTGAGATGTGGTCTTCCAAGCGTTTATATGTGCTAGAAGTGAGCGGGCTTGAAAGTCTGGAAGACATCACATGGCCTCTGAGATTCCGCTGGGTAGAGGGTGGTAAGCCTGCTCTCCCAGTCAAAGGTTTCACCTCCTTTAGCAAGAGCAACTCAGAATTTCCTAACAATTAGACTCCATGTGAAAGCACAAATTGGATGAGGACTAAGAACTTAACAATAATTGATGACCTCATTTGAAATAAATGCCATCATTCAATCCCAGCTCAATACTTAGAACTTCTTTATATTGTAAAGCTACATACATATTTTGGGGAGGGCCCCTGGAAAACTACTAAAAATCTCCAGGACTAATGCCCAGAAAAGCCTCAGAAGTCTGAAGCCAGAAATATATTTCAGGCAACCTTTTCAGCGAGGGCTGCCCAGTGGGAACTAGAAATGAACATTTTCTCCCAACACATATATTATTTTCAATATTTTCAAACAACCAGTTACCACTGTGCCCTCGGATGTTGCAAAGAAAAATGGTTGCAGACAGTCTGTCCCCATTTATCTCCAACTGGCTGAGCACCCTTCCTGGAGGGGCAGCAGGACTCTCTGTACACCCCAATCTCAAAGCAGTCTGGACAAGTTTCTCATAGTCTTTTGAAAAGAAAGGCCCGACGAGTGAAGAAATTTTTAAAAAACTTAAAAGATGCAGAGGTTACTAAATCTGAACAAGCACCCACATTTTCTTTTTGGGAGGTGAACCAAAGGATGATTCAGACAGGGAGAAAGGCAGCAGGGTTTAGGGAATGAAGAGTCATGAGATACCAGTTTTATTTCTGGCTCTACCCAAGACTGGCCATGTGACCACCAGCAAGCTACTTCTTCGCAGCAGGTCTCTTAGCTTGTCCTTCTCTAAAAGAATTCAGTCTTACCCCATCCTGTAATTTTCTCTGGAATGTCCTCACAAAAATGTGAGGGAAGGGAATATATGGGGTGTAGCAAAAGGATGCAATAAGCTCCTTAAACCTAGACATCAGGTAAGTACAAGTCTTCCTCATTTTCTGTTGAGCAACTTAGCATAGTTCTAATATAGACAACTGATGAAGCTAGATATTAACCTGATTTTATACTACCTGGAGTTGATATTCTAGCAAGTCAGGCTAAGGGATATCATGAATTAGATGGCACTACCCACTGGTAAAGTGTGAATTTACAGCCCAACTCCAACAAGCATTTTAATATCCAAAAAAGAAAGCAGAGGAAATTGATAAGTTGGGAAATCTCCAGGAACTAGACCTATTCTTATTGAGGGAAAGGAAGCAAGCAATGAATGAAGGCAGTAAAGATACCTCATATACAATAGCCAGAATGCTTTTTAAATGCTAATAAATTTCTTTTGTTTCAAATCTACAAATTTCTCAACTTTTTATGATGAAGGCTATTTTTCCCCTTAAAACAATTCAAATTTCAGAGCAGAAGTCTGTGAGATATGAAATTTTCTTTACCAAGATACACTCTAGCATCAATTTTTGCTGGAACACACCCATCCCCTGAAGGGCAAAACATCTAAGAGTTAGTAGTCCAGTGCAATAACAACTGACATCCAAGATAAATTAATGACAAGCCAGCAGCAAATTTCCCTCTATTTCACATGAGTACAGTTTAGTGTTGCAATCAAATAGCATCTATGTCAAGCCTAATCAGATACATATTAATCATATGCTTAATAGTTTGGGGGCCCTTGCATTTGTCAAGGGAAGGCTTCATCTCTGCACACACATAAATGACAAGTCCATTCCTCCACGTAACTATTTTCTAGAAGTAGCCACTGAGAACCACAGCACAGCTTTTGGCCAGAGCATTTTTTCTGAAATAAGCTGTAAACTGTCCCTGGGTCCCATCCTGTCTCAGACCTCCCAAGATTGCTTCTATTCAAAAACCAATCTGCCAAGTAAGTCCAACAGTAAAAGATATGGCCAGCAAGAATCATTTCTGACCTGAGAGGGGACTGACTTCCCACTAAGCCTGGGTAGACAAGGGCTGTTCAGATTTCAAAATCCTTAGAGTACTTTAAGCTACCTAGAAGTATTTTCTAGTTTTATAAAGTTTTAAAATACCTGTAAGGGCAGAAATTAAAATATACATCTATACATATACATATCTATACATCTATGTCCATATATATATTTATATATCTGTCATAGGCTTATGGTACGGCTAGGTATATAGTAAGAGCTTGGAATATGGGGGCAGTGAGCTTATTATATGAATGAACAAATGGAAACTGTTTCTTGACCCTGGTGATTTCCTATTTTGGAGCAAAAGAAAAGAATTTACCAAGAAGAGAAAAGAAAGCAAAGTCCACTCACATCAGCACAGTGGAAACTAGGAGCAGCAGATGGCACCTCCCTTCTGGGGATTATGCAGCTGCCAATTCACCACAATGTGGAGCCCAGTGTCCCCGATTTCCCAGCCCTCCCACCCCCAGGCTCATATGCTACCTGAGGAAACCATACCTCTTCTTCCAGCTTTACCACCTTGGCCTGGGCATTACTCAGGGCCTGATCTCGGATTTCGATGTGTCGTCTTTGGTCCTCATTGGTAGAACGGGCAGTGGCCAGCTCCGCTTCCAGCTTCTCCTTCTCACGCTGGCTTTCTTTATCTGTCAGGACATTAAACATCAACACTGCCAGCCTGGAGCTAGCTCAAAGCCTTACCTGAGCAAAATTGACACATCATACCCTTTACTAGATAGCCTACTGCTCTAGTGCACAGCTGAAGAACCAGTATACCCAAGATCTGGACTCTATCACTGGCTCTCTCACTAACTTGTTGTAGAAATTCAGAAAAGTCACTTAACAACTTAATGGTTGTTGAGCAGAAGCAATGAGAAAATAGTTGTAACGTGTTCCAAAAATTATTAGGCATTATACAAAGAATACACACACACACACACACACACACACACACACACACACACACACACAGAGCCCTCAGAAGAAAAGGTAGGCTCATCTCCTCAATTTTATTTCTTCCAAATTGTCTTACATTGGCAAAAAGCAATTGAGCTCAAAACATTTTTCCAATTGTTTCCTCATGACAGTACATTAAATAGTGCTAAAAATGACATTTCATAAACTGGATAAAAGCTCATGCCCACCCTTCACACACTAACATCACTTTGTAACTGAGATCAAGTCTACTCGACAACATGTCCTCTCCACGGAAAACCTAACCCAACACCACCCCCTAACCCAACCCACTTTATCTCAGCATCTGCTTCTCTTGGGAATCCAATGTCTTTTAAAAGATAATACACTAAAACTGGAAGCCATGTTATGCTTTTATCCTACTCCTTCTCCAGTAGGATAGGCTAGGCGTGGAGGGAACACTGTAAAGAACAGGGCAAAGTTAGATGGAAAACATCAGGATCAGAGGAAGAAAGGCAGCCATTTCACCTGAAGAAAACATCCTCTATTTGTGAATCTCCTTTTCTCCCTTTAAGCCTATTAGAGTTTGAAAGTTCAGTTTTTTTTAAATAAAGTAATCCAATATGGCTGGGCACGGTGGCTCATGCCTGTAATCCCAGTACTTTGGGAGGCTGCGGTGGGCGGATCACGAGGTCAAGAGATAGAGACCATCCTGGCCAACATGGTGAAACGCTGTCTCTACTAAAAACACAAAAATTAGCTGGGCGTGGTGGCACACGACTGTAATCCCAGCTATTCGGGAGACTGAGGCAGGAGGCTGAGGCTGAACCCGGGAGGCAGAGGTTGCAGTAAGCCGAGATAGCACCACTGCACTCCAGCCTGGTGACAGAGCAAGACTCCATCTCAAAAAAATTAAAATTAAAAAAAAGTAATCCAATATGCTTGTGTGCTTACACACACACGTTTTATACATATGTATATATACATATGTATAAAACGTGTGTGTATATATATATATATATACTTGCATATATACAAAAACGTATGTGTGTATATAAATACTTGCATGTGTGTGCATATGTGTATACAAATATACTCTATGACCTTAGAATGGAAGAGCTTAGTGGGCAGATAATGGTCTTTCTGGCTTGGGTTTTAAAGAGAGCTCAGTTTAGCAGCACCTATATAATGAGCGTTTAATAAACATCTGTGGATGGATATAAGAAAAATAGAGGAAGAAAGCACCAGTATGAGACAGTAGCCAAAACTATAATTTTTAGGAGAATGAAGGAACATGATCACAAGCTAGCATTTGCATAAGTTAATACAGATTTATAAGTAATCCCTAAACAGATTTTACACTTTGGTCCATACACTATTCTTATCTCAATCTGCCCTCTTCTAGTGGCTGGCTGTACCTTGTTCCAGTACCCACAGCTAATGAGAATATCAGAATATTACACCTGAAGTGATATCACTGAATTCCAACGAAGTAATTCTCACTCTTCCCAAATAATCACTTAAAGATTTCATTGCTTGGTCCTAGTTGTAGATGTCTATTTGTGAAATGGACCCCTTGTGACTCCAGCAGGGAGAGGGAAAAAGGAACCATTATGAAATATGCCAGAGCATTCTGTTCTTAACAAGGCCTGCCCTCAAGAGAAACTATTTAACCAGAACCTAATCTATGAGTTTTTGGGATTTTGTTTGCTTGCTTGTTTGTTTCCAGAGCCTAACCGACCCACGGGAAAGGAAACATCCAACTCCAGTCTGCTCTGGCCTTCCACACGAGAGAAGGAAATAACCAGCTGAAGCCCTTTCTAGTGATCCTGCACCACCTAAAGGGGTGAAAAAAAACTGAGATGCACTTGTGAAGTTCAGTCCAGAGGCACAGGCTCACTAAAAGACTGAGACCTAATCATAGGTCTAGAGCACTTCCCTTTCCCCCAGATTTTACTATCACATCCTGAAAGGCCTATTTACCACAGTTGCCTTTTACCCCATACATCAGGTCTGCCATTTCACACACACACACGAAAAAACCTACAAGTCACACTAAAAGGTAAAATATACAGTTTGAAAAGACAGGGCAAGAATCAGAACCAGACCCCGAGATAAGGCAGGGATGCTGGAATTAACAGACTGGGAATTTAAAACAAATATGATTCATATGCTAACGGCTCTAATAAAAAAAGTAGACAGCATGCAAGATCAGATCAATAATATAAGCAGAAAGAAAGACATGTTAAGAAAGAATCAACAATGCTAGATGGTAAAACAGAGGTAACAATACCATCTTATTTAACCTCACAATATTTGTAAGGATCAAATGAGATAGAAGATTTATTTAAGTGAAAGAAATGTTAGAAAGCATAACCAAACACCAAAGGAACTTACTACATAAAGCAGATGATGATCATCATCACCACGATTAGTAATGAGAATCTGTAGCTTCAAAACCTTTCATTGTGATACAACAGATTCTGTACACTAATTTTTAGTATGAGAAAGTTGAGAGTCACCTGACCTATAAAATCAGCAATTCCATGTTTCTGAATCAAATCATTATAACTACAGGGGACCATGACACATGTAGTTATGTCCCTTGTCTTTCCTCTCCTCTTAACTAAGACAGACCTCACACCAGAAACTCAAACAAGTAGTTTCGATTTTTTGGAGGTTAAGTGCTCTTCATCTGGAGACTTAAACCTTAAGTTATAGGAGAAACTTCAATAGGGCAGTCTCACCTTCTTTCCCACTCTGACTTTGCATTTGGAAAGAAAGGAACATTCGTTGAATACGTATTGCATACCAGGTATTGTACTAGCTTAATCCTCAGAACAACCATACAAGGAAGGTACTATTCTCCTCTCCAATTTGCATATGAGAAAACAGAGACCCAGACAGCTTGACTAACTTGTACAAGGTCCCACAGTTGGTAAATAAGTAGTGGAGCCCTTATTTACACCCAGATTGGTTCTACTATACCGGGCTGCCTTCTTCTAGGGTTGAGTTGGTTTGGTTTCTCTAGGATTCCTGCAGTACATTCCCCAGAGACGCTTTTTGAGAGGGCTTTCCTTTCTCCTGCCACAGTTCCAACCATACAGGACCCTGTCAGTGTCCCAAGACGAAAGAAATTAGGAGGGACAAGAGTCATGCCCTCTTCCCTGGCTAGTTGATGAACTTCACTTTTCCTTCCTAGAGCCATTTGACAGTCTTTTGCCCTGCCGGTAATACCGTCTGATTTACTAAGTTACCACATTTTATAAACCTGTAAAGAGCTCCTAGGACACCTGAAATACCATCTCCACACAGAAAGGAGTATGATCTAGCTGATCCAGAACAAAGAATCTATACATTTTGTTTTGTTTTGATCTGAGAGTCTGCCACCCTCTTTCTGCCAGTGAACTAGCTCTGAGAGCAACTGTGATACCACAAAAGCAATTTCACAAAAATTTATACTAGGCACTGATGACACCAGAAAAACTACATTCCTTACTCTAAGATATGCTGACAAAGGAACAGGAGGTACAGGGAAAAGAAAAAGAAAAAACCTGTTCTGAAACCAGAGCACAACAGAACAACCCAGGAAGGGAGGGCAGTATTGTAAGTGAAGATCAAACGAACTTGTAAAAGCTGGCTAGAAGCTGCATGGAATGAGCTGAAAGGGTCATTTGGAGACCTAGCAAAGATGGAAGAGAATGGCAAATCCCTACTGAGCACAACTACAGCCAGAGCTACACTGAGGGAGACTGGGGGTAGAGGAAACTAGCTACCGGCATCTGCAGAAATGAGAGCAGTTCATGTTTCCCCCCGACTAATTCTCCCTGTGGACTCAATCCACTATGAAGTTTTTATTGCTGGTTTTATTAAGGCAATTGGAAATAATTAGACATTGTCTAGCTGGGTGGGGTCCATTAGACACTGATAAAGAAAAGGATTAATTCATTGTCATGGTCCTAGGAGTATTTCCAGACAAAGGAAACACTATTATGAGGAAGACACAGCTCTGCCCTCCCCCACATCCTCCAACTCTGCAGCCAGAGTCACTAGTTCAGGCCATAGGATTAGCTCCCCTTGCAATCTGCTGCTGTGTAACAATAAATACTAGGGAGCCCCAGGTACAGGTGAAGTATTCCAAACACTATCATCGATCCTGCATATTAATCCCATCTCTACCAGAGCCAACACACAGTTTCTTCTAAGAAAATCCCTTCAACATGAAGGGACCTCATGTTCAGTAAGCCTCTTTATTTAGATAGCAATGACACTAGCAGGGATTTCAAGGGGCTTCTCTAGTTTAATGCTGAAGGACCAATGTGATGTGACGAGATGTTGTGGCAAGCAGCCTTCTTGGCTTAGGAGGAAAAGAACAGAATCTTCCAACTTCATGCCTGAATAGGAAAAACAATCCTTAGGTGATATTGACTCTGCCCTGGCTGTTCTAAAAGGCTAAAGAGAACAGTGTAATCTTTTCACGCACCTTGCTCCCATCCACACGTTAATACCTGTTTCTGCAGCTTGCAGACTTACTTTTTGCAAAGAGCTGCGAGATGGTTTTTCTGGTGTCCTCTGACCCCTCATATTCCTTCTCTGCAAGCTGCTTGTTGGCAGTCTCTAGACGCTCTGTGAAATTTGGAGACAATCAACAGGGTCTCAAATGTAAACTTTCATGCACATACTATTGGCCCTCTAAATACTGACCTTTGGTAAAACAAGCCTGTTTCTTCTTGTTAAACAGGAATGGGTGACTAACATGAGTTTGCAAATGTGAATCCCAAAATAATACTAGACCATGGCCGGGGAGGAGGAGGTAAGTATTTAATGCTTTCACTCCTCACTGCCAAAACCTAAGTTAAGTGCAGAATTCTAAATTTCAATGAAATTATCCATCCCCAAATATATAAAGATATCTTTCATTAACCAGAAAAAAAAGAGTATCACAGTTATTATAAAGTATTTAAACTCATGTAATGTCAAAGTTGAAAGGGACAACTAGCAGCATGTATTTGGGCCCCCTGACTTTAAAGATAAAATAACCAAAATTCAAAGATAGTAACATCCCTGGCCGGGCACAGTGACTCATGCCTGTAATCCCAGCACTTTGGGAGGCCACGGTGGGTGGATCACCTGAGGTCAGGAGTTTAAGACCAGCATGGCCAACGTGGCAAAACCCCATCTCTACAAATACAAAAATTAGCCAGGCATGGTGGCGCACGCTGGTAATCCCAGCCAGCTACTCAGGAGGCTGAGGCAGGAGAATCACTTGAACCTGGGAGGTGGAGGTTGCAGTGAGCCGAGATTATGCCAGTGCTCTCCAGCCTGGGCGACAGTGCAAGACTCCAACTCAAAGAAAAAAAAAAGAAAAGAAAAAGGAAAAAAAAAAGAAAGTACCATCCCCAAGGTTAGCAGTTTTGAAGGTGCTGAAGGCACTTTAAAGTAGAAATATTTCCCAAAGTCTTCAATATTATCAGGTGAAAGTCAAAAATAAAAGGAGTCAGTCAGTCCTGGAAATAAGAGAGGACATTATACTTCAAGCTTGCAGTCAAAGGGCACGCCTCTGTAAAACCTGTTAAAAAGAAGAGGCAGCACCTATTGTGGGGGTGGGCCAGGTGGGTCCAGGAGTCCCAGCAGGGATCCTGCCTGATTAACACATCAGCTCATTGCTCAGAAGACCAGTGAGGTACATCCACACTTTGATCAATCAAGCTTGGGACTGAGGACTATTGCAGTCACAAAAAATTAGCCTGGCACATGCCCAGCCATTTACTGCCCATACCGGTGGGTTGGACAACCCCAAAGAGCCTAGTTGGATCCTGCTCAGCCCTTCCCTTCACCACCCTGCAGCTGCTTCAGAAGTACAAAGACAAGTCTGTTGGTTCCCTCACCTCTCAGATCCCTGTTGAAATCATGCATCCTCCGAATCTCGCCCTCTAGCTTGTTTCTCATGGCTTTCTCTAGGGCCTCTCTTTTGGAGGATGACTTCACGAGGTTCTCATATGCCTCCGAGACGCGCTGGATTTCTGTCTCCACCTTAACAACAAAAAAAGACAATGGTGGTGATGGTAGGAGGGTGATGGGGAAAATGGTCTGAAAACAAACAGGCAAATCCTCGCTGACAGCTTCTCCCAGGGCTCACAGATGGCCAGGAGGCAAGCATAACACAGTCAGATGACACAAGTTTCAAGAAAGGATCTCCACCTTCAACCATAAGCTTAGTAATTAACTCATGGTGTCATGGTCTTTCCTCGGGTTAAAAAAATAGACAATTTCTGCCTTCAGAGGAGATGGTAAGATAGAATAAATTTTATAAATAGTTATAAAGGATTTTAATTTCTGAAGAAAACTCTTAATTTTGAAAATATTAGTAATAATATATATAGTATGTAGATATTCCAAAGCATTCAAAGGGCTTTCACATGTTGGTTCCAGTCTGCACTGATTATCTGCCTAGACAGGATACCTCTTCTCATTTTAGTAGAGAGAAAAGTCAAATTGCCTCTGAAGATCAACTGTCAGCAGCAGAGACCAACCCTAAAAACCCCAAGCTTCATGAAGTAGTTCAGTTCAATTTAACAAACATTTACCAAGGGCCAAATATTTACACGAACTCTTTAAAGTACTATTGGGGGTGTGTAAATATGAATGAGAACATTCTCACTGCCCTCAGGGAGGTTTCAATCCAATCGAATGAAAGACTATAGGGCAAGATACATCTTTAAGAAAAGTAGAAGTAGTGCCATAAAGTACAGACAAGGAAGAAGTTATTCCTGGTTGGGGAAGTGGGGAGGAGAACAATTTCTGAGAAGAGGTGGCATTTACAGTCAGATCCTGAAAGCTGGGTCAGATTTCAATGAGCAGAGGTGAGGGGAAGGGTATTCTATTCTGAGTAAGCAAATGCATTCCCAGAATGACCAGTCGTTTAATTTGGCTGGACACTGTGGGGTACGCAGAGGGAACCTGGCGAGATATGGCTGCTAAGATAGATTGGAGTCAGATCATAAAATGCTTTTAATGCCAGGCATTTGGACTTTATCCCATAGTCAATGGGAAACCAGTATAGGTTTTTGAACACAAAATCATAATCAGAGTTGTGTTTTATGACACCCCTGCAAATCTCATAAAATGGGGAAAATAAACTCAGAGAGAAAGGGTCTTCCCCTGAATCAGCCACAATCAGGCCGAAAATGAGAAATTAGACTCCAGAGTTTTTCTGTAACTAGTATAGCTCCATTGCACATATAATAGCCACACAGATATTTGCATATAATTTGTATAAGACAAATAAACCCACGGTCTATTAAGCAATTTTCAGATTAAATTGGACTCTGCAACCATTCTGCATTGCTTCTGTGTTTTCCACTATCCTGTTTAACAAAGCTCAGGGTACTTTCAGGGAAGAAATATCAGGCCCCTAATGGGACACTAGGGGAAAGGTAAGGTTGCCAAACCAGTCAGATTCAACCCGCCTCCATCTCCAAAATTCTGCCAGAGACAGGACTGCCTGCAAACAAATAAGGCTTATGCCACAGAAAAGAGCAGACTCAAAAGTGTTTTTCTCTTCACAGATGGCACCAAGATAGCAGCACAGAAGGTGAAAACTGGTGAATGGCATTTAGAGACAAGATCTGCAAGGCCTGCGCCTGATGAAGCTTTTGCATGAAACTCAAGCGCTGGGGAGAGAAAATAAACATTTCCATCTGAAAGAGCAGGCTTGGTGTTGGTCTGCTCTGGGCAGCATTTATAGTTCAAGGCTGTCCGGTTGTGCACAGAATGCAACACCTAGAAGGTAGTCCCTTTCCTCAAGGTGTGCAGACTGCTATTTCAAGATCTTGTACTAATCCTTCCCCTACCCCCTGTGTAGATACTCCATCCTTCAAAAGGGCAAGTCCCACAGCTCTCAATAGGGCCTTCCAGGAAAAGCCATCACAGAAGGATATATCCACTGGTTTGGGCTGGGTGATGGTGGGGGCAGAGAGGAGGGTGGCAGTGGGTTTTCCAGACTTACTCTGTCTACTTATTCCCCTCATGAGCCTCAGGCCTTTTCATTTCCTCCAGCACTACCTGGGATCTACCTTAATTTTCCCCACTTTCCTTTTCCTCTCCTGGTCCACCTTCCCCTCTACTCTACCTCGACACTGGGTCAGCCTCTACTTTCCCAACATTCAAGCTGTTCCAGTTACACTTATTTGAGGCATCTTTTCCCATCTTGGGGAACAAACAACAGCAATCCTATTCTCTGTCCCTCTTCCCTGTCACTGGCTGAACCCACTCCCACACACACAAAAAATCACCATGGATCCTCTGGCAAAAAGGGCCCGTATTAGAGCTGGGTTCATCCTTCAGTGATTGTATCAAAGATGGGCTGGGATCACCATGAAGAGAGAGTTTGGAGAGGGGGTGTCAACTGTTAGCCTAATCAGCCAGACTGGGTTTCTAGTGTATGGATATAATTAATTTATTTCACCAAAGCGATGGGGATAGGGATATAGTTAAAATTTGCGGGTGAAAATACAAAATCAGGGAAAAGCCGGGAAGAAACAATTCTCAGAGCACTCCAACAACCCTCATCCAGATTTAGGAAAACTAAGGGACAGGGAAGCCATTTTCCTATATAAAAATCCTCTGTTTGCCAGGCGCAGTGGCTCACGCCTATAATCCCAGCACTTTGGGAGACCAAGGCGGGCGGATCACCTGAGGTCGGGAGTTCGAGACCAGCCTGGCCAACATGGAGAAACCCCGTCTCTACTAAAAATACAAAATTAGCCAGGCGTGGTGACACATGCCTGTAATCCCAGCTACTCAGGAGGCTGAGGCAGGAGAACTGCTTGAACCCAGGAGGCGGAAGTTGCAGTGAGTGGAGATCGTGCCATTGCACTGCAGGCTAGGTAACAAGAGCGAGACTCCGTCTCAAAAAAAAAAAAAAAGAAAGAAAGAAAAAAAATCATCTGCTGATAATAAGCCCCTGTCTCCTTGAGGCCCCCAGATTTGGTGTCTGTTTACAAATACTCAGCTTCATTCAGGCCTCTGAAATTTTCACTCCTGGTGTTTCCTAAGGACAGAGTTGCTGGACAATACAAGGCATCCTCCTGTCCCTCCCCCACCTTCACCCTCACCTCTCTGAACAGTTCACATTGTAGGGAGACCAAACCACAATAGCTCCACAATGACAAAAGCTGCAAAGAAGCGGCCAAAGGCATAACCCTATTCACCAGCAGCCCCTGGAAGCCAAGAGCTAAGGTTCCTCGCTTGGGGTACTCCAGAGGTAAAGTCCCAATGGGGGTGGGCAGAGAAGAATGTGAACTGGAGATACACTCCTTTTTCTATTTCCTCAGCCTAGGGCTGTCACCTGTCACCCAGCTGTGGTGTTAAGCCCCTCCTGCCCCCCACATACAACAGAGAAAGAGAGCAGATGTTGAATTTGAGCTGCAGGGAGGGACCAAATCAAAGGGTGGGGTGGAGGGATTGTTGAAAGAGAGTTACTATGAGAACTCCCACTAGGAAAAAGTATTCTGAGCCTTTTCCAGAACAAGGCAGGACTGCTCAAACTTTAGCTGGTGAGATTTTTCTAGGAACTACATTTATTTTTATATTTAAGATTCAAATTCATATTTGGGAAAATGTGACCAAGACAATGAGCCTTAAGGTGCCGTCAGATCCTTTACCTATAAAGGCATCACCAGTATTCTTATCAAGAAGTATCACTGCCTTTTGGAATTCTAAAAGAATTAATCACGTTTTCTTTAGGGCTATAGCGTCTGGAAAAACTGCATAAATTTTTTTCTCCTTGTGTAAATGTAAGACGTTACTTCTCCTAGGTAGACAGGTAGAAGGCTTTTTCCAAAGTTTGACTCATATCTAACCTTCAGATATAAAAATCCTGAAGACCTGCCACAAGTAATGCTGGGATTCACAACTGGAGACTTTAATGTGGATATTAAACAAGTCTCACAAATAAAGACTTAGAGACCCTAATATCCCAAAACGGAAGCCTCACCTTCTGCAGTCTTGCCACCTTCTCATAGCATCCTTCCAACTCTTGCCTCAAGTTCCGGTTCTCGTCTGAGAGGATCTCAACCATCTGCTGGGCTCTGGAAACAATGGCAAAAGGGTCTGCTGGCACTGGCTGATAAGAAGCAGAGGATGGCTGAGCCCGAGGCATAGCTGAATAGGCTTCTCCTGGCTGCTGCTGTGGCTGCTGCTGCTGCTGTTGTTGGTGGTGATGGTGATGATGGTGCTGCTGCTGCTGTTGCTGCTGCTGCTGACTCAGGCCAGGTTGGGAGAGACGGTAATGATCCCCCTGGTGAGCCTGATTAGGAAGGAAATGCTGCTGCGGCCTAGGCAGGTGAGCTGAATGGTCTCCCTGGTTTGGGACCAAGGGGTGTCGGGCAGGAGACAATCTAGTGGATGGTGGAGATTGTAGCAAGGGCAAGGACCCCCCAGAGGTCAGAGAAGAAGTAGGGCTGTGAGGCTGCGAGTTCCTGGCTGACAATGGCAATGAGATGTCCTGCGCTGGCCTGTAAAACATGAAGGGCAGGTGCGGGTTAATTTCTCTCCTAAGGCACTGGGGGAGAAGGGCACACAAAAGTGAGATGAGGAGGCTTCTGATGCCCCCAGGACACCTGCAAAATGAAGAGCAGGCAGGGTCTGACTATGGGGAAGTCTAACCCTGCCTGCTCTATCTCTGCAAAGACCACAGCCCTTTTCCAGCCTGACCTTCTGTGCCTCTGCCTGACAAACAGAGGTGTGATCCCATGAGGGTCAGAACCAGACAACTTCCATGGTCACTTTGTGAAAATCGTAGTGATACACACCTGTACACCCGTTTGCTCAAGTCTAAACATTTCAAACGATTCTTCTACAAGGTAATTTTCATCTCATTATTTTAAATTAAACCTTTTCTGACATTATACACGTGGTCCAGCACACATAAAGATCCTAGTTTAGAAACTATGTTCCATTTGCCAGGATGGAAACAACAAACAGCCATAAAAACCACCCCCATCTTGCTATCTGCAACTCCCTTTAGTAATTCATACATTCACAAAAAAAAAGAAAAAAAACTATTCAAGGATTGGTAGATACTTATATTAGAGACACTAAATGATTATTGTTGCTTCCAGTTGTTAACGATTTAATGATTCCCATTAGCAGTAACCATAAAAAGACTTGAAGAGGGTTACAAGCAATGCTAACATACTATTTTTGATGTAATGAATCGCAAAATGTAAGAACTGGAAAGGCCTTAAAAGAAAATTATTTAGTTCAACTCTATCACTGGACAGATGGGGAATGAGGTCCAGAAAGGGGAAGTCATCTGCCAAATATTAGAGTGGTGGTGCCAAGATAGAATCCTTCTTTCCCAATTCCCATTTTCTGGCTTTTTCTACTGCCATAATGCATTGATTTCTGTGCACTGATACTTAGATTTCCAACCTATTGCTCATAGAAAGTTCCAGAAAGAGACCTTTGGTACATTGTTTAATGTGGCTCTCCCATTTTTGTACCTAATTACCAGGTACAAAATGCTAACACCTAAGTATAAATAATTCATACCTAATGACTATTAGCCATTAAGGGAAACAATTAGTATGTGGATGGATCACTTCCACCATCACCACTACCAGGAATAGTATCTGTCAGTGTGCACTGAAGACAAAAAGCTTGTTCATGCCCTAGCTCATGCCCAATTAACCTCATATGCTCCCATGTCCTGTGGACACTTGTTCTACAGTTGATATTTCTCAATCCAGGGAAGACAGATGGCTAAGTGCATGGGATCTGGATCCCAACAGAGGGAGTCTGGAGACCTCTTCTACTGCTCACGAGCTGTGTAACTTGGTGCAAGTTACTTAATCTGCATGAGCCCATTTTATTCTTGAGGTCACAAATAAATTGCAAAAATACTGGGGTCTTCTCATTTTTGGCGGAATAGGAATTACAGTCACTTCTCTACCTCCCAGTGAGATAAGCTGACCTTGTTAGCTTGTTACTTAAAGGATATCCATTTAATCTTTGCAATAAATTGCATAAAATTCATGGTGGAACTGGGACAAATCACCAGGAGCAATTAACTTTTAACTGGCATTCCAGATGCTAAAGCACATTCCTCAGACACACACTCCAGTTACCATTACTGTTCATGTATCCATCTTTACAAGAGATCTTAACTATAAGGGCTTTTTACAGCTACAAAATCATTCCAAACACTTTCTCATGGATACCCAATAACCTACATCTTCCCCAAGAGTCCTCAAACCTGTACAAACCCTGGATTCTGTCGCTCAGGCCCATCTATGCCTCTGGTGTACCCACATTCTTCCAATCACATACATCTGTCATTATAAATAATTGCTGAATATTGAAGAGGGCATGCGAACTATTTGGGCAAAGAAGAATTGACATGGTACTCATAAGTACAACTGGAAAGTTGCTGCCATACATAATATTTTTCCCCAGAGCTCAAAGCACTCATTCAATCAAAAGCCTGGGAGTTATTTATACATTTATTTGGTGAAGAGCTCCTATTTTCCATTCTATGGATCTTCAGTTTCCTCACAGGTAAAAGACTAAGTGCTCTTTTTTCTCTTTGAATGAGAGCTATTACAATTTCTACATGCCTACAGAGTTAAAATATAATGTCCTGAGATTTGTTGGGGCTTGTGTGTCTCTTTTCTGCTTTGTGGGCAGAAAAGAGGGGCTTAAGTTTCATGTTCTCCAATGCAGCTCTCAAATTTTAAGGGAAAAAAATCACTATATTAACCTTCATTTTTGTTCCCAGGATTTGCAGTCCAAGGCCTGGGAGGTATTCTCTTTTAAAGACTGAACGCCCAGTTCTGAAATGGGCTTTCTCTCCACAGCTCCCCTGGGCCTCATCAAGCAACCCAGGCCTCTCTCTCAAACAAACTCAGCCACTGGCCTCCCTCCTGCCTGGAGACTGAAAGGCCCCTGCATTCCCTGGACAACAGCACATGGCCTTCCAGGGACCTTGGGAAGGAGGAGACCATGAGGTCTCCAGAAGGAGGTCTCTGGGGTCAGATAAGCTGAGGATGAAGATAAGCAGAGACAAGGCAGCTGCCCCTCAATTCCCCAGGCTGGAAAAGGAAGCAGATCTCAGTGCACCGTGATGTTGGGAAAACCAAGGCAGCCCGTCACTGGCTGGTTTGCAAACCAGCAATGGCTTGGGCAGTCACAAAGGGAGAGAAAGCCCTTCAGTGAAGAACTCAATCTGGGCTCCAGCATCCACCCACCAGGGGAAAGCAGGACGGAATGAACACTGGGGTGAAGCTCCCCGTGAGAAAAAGAGATTAAGGAATGACGGGGTAAGGGAGAGTTGGAGGGGGCGGATGTCAGAGGAAGCCAAAATACACCCCAAGTTAAATAATAACAGTAAAAGTAATGACAGTAATAATAAAGGTGGCAGCCATGTGAGCAGCACACTCTCCAGGTCCTTCCAGCACACAGCAGCCTGAATCGCTCCCCACTGACACGTTAACCAGGAACAACAAGCCGCCTGCAGACAACAGAATCACATGATTCCATGCAAGCCCTGACCTGCCTCCTGCCACTTCCGTCCCCTCATCCTGCTCCTTCCTAAGGCTACCTGGGCCACTGGGGCTCTGCAGAAAAGGGGACATAGCATACATGCAGGACAAAGGCCAGTGACTAAAATCAGGATCCTCCCCAAAGCTGGGAAGTGGGGTAGGGTGGGGGGTACACTCCTCCCAGAGACAGTAGTAAGGACTCAAAGGGAAAGTAAAAGCCACTCTACCCAGCTGACACAGCACCTTCCACCCTGCCACCTCGATGACTGGGAGCCCTCACCCTCCCCAGCCACACACACATGCACACATGTGCATGCACACACACACTCCACACTCCTGGCACACACATGTGCAATCCTGCACACACACTCTCACCAGAGCAGGTGCCACCCAATAGCCTGGAACTTGATTGATCCTCACCACAGAAACTGCCTTTCCCAGGCTCTGCAATGGTGAATCGGTGAATCTGTGAATCCTGGAGCAGGCTGCAAATTCCTGATGGTTTCTCTTGCACAACCAGCTCTGCTCTGAACTACAGAGTTAGGTCACCCTTAGATTCCACTAAACAAGGATTTCAAGAAACCTCAGATCTGGGCATGATTTCAACAATTGAAAGGAGGTGGCTGCTTTATAAACAGAAATGATTTAATTTTTAAAAGCAGTTGATAAATGTATAAACCCAGGATGCAGAAAAGGTTCAGCACTTAGAAAGACAAAGATTCTGAAATTTTAAAATTATTCAGATAGCCTTTGCCTTGTTTCTCATCTGGGGTTCTGGGCATTCAAGGTATTTATTTTTTAAGGGGAGGAGGGCATAAGAAAGATGAAGTAATAAAAGGATTGTTTATAATTTTGTTCATTTTAACAGCAAATCTCCAGCAGTTCACTGCACCTCGAAAAGCAAGCAAATGTTTTCTTAACAGCAATTTGTTCAAAGAGTTTGCTTTGCATCCTGACTTGTAATTTGTGGATTAAGGGCTCAGAATGTAGTCTTCTAATTGGTTGCTGCTAGCAGCAGTTACTTGGAAAGGTACTCACAAACTGTATAGCTAGTTGGTTAAAGGAAATAAAGGAGGGAAAATGTGTCACCACCTTAAAGCAGTACACTTCTGGAAAGCAGTTCAACTACCTCCTTTTGCCAGTAATTTGTCAATAGGTGCCACTCCCTCATGTAGGGCCCTGCAACAATTTTACGGCCAGTATTTGCCTGATGCAGACCCAAATTTCATATGGAGCATCCTCCCACTAGGGCCATTTTAGGTTTGCTTATTCATCAAGCATTATCAAGCACTCTGCTCCTTTCCCATAGAGAAAAACCTGTTACAGCAAAACTGTGTATTAAAATGCTGCTCAACAAGGGTAGATCATCATGGGCTCTGTTGCTTTTGAGGACAGAAAGAAAGAGAAATCCACAGATAACTTAGGTGGGAGGATAAAAAATATGTATCTTCCTGTAAAATACATGCAGCTAAATTTCTCCGGTGGTTTAATCAGGATGGGAAGAAAAGGAAAAAAAAAGAAAACCTCTTTGGGCTCCTCATTATTTATTTAGGCAGATCAAAGGGCAGATAATTTTCCATCTAGCTTCAAACACTGTGGGAGTCATTTCAGATCACAAACAATACTGGTGAATGAGTTCTGAAAATAGCTTTCCTGGGAAGGCGGGCTGTGTGCTGAGTGGGGCTGTGGCTTCTGCTCCACACCCCAGCCAACACACTCCCCTCCCACAAGGCAACAGACATCAGCCCATCAACAGACTCTTCCATACTGATGGGAAAAGCAAAATAAAAACCCCCAGCTTCATTGATATTTTGCTGGCTTGAATGGGTTTCCACTAAGTGAGGCAGTCTTGAACAGACCAACCCCTCCCTGGGTCTTCTGTTTCATTGGTCAGATGGGAATCTGGTTCTTGATCTCTTTTAAACCTGAGTAGCCTTGTTGGTTACCCCATTTCCTGTTCCAAGACACTGATCAGAACATAGGCTCCTGCCCTTTGAAAGCTGCACAGAGGAGGTTGAAAAGGGTTAGGAAATCAACCTGGGTTAAGAGGGAAAAAAAAAAAAAAATCCTAAACTGGCAAAGTTAGAGGTGGAGTCCAAAGTGAATTGCCTCTGGCTACAAAAACAGGACCTGCAGGGGAAAAAAAAGAAATACCAGGAAATGCTAGGTGCCTTCTCTCACTTTCACCCTACTCCACCCCATGACTGCCTTCTCTCCTGAGTCACTCAATGAACTTCAAGCCAGAAGGTTTTTTCCAAAATGAGCAAGTAGGGTACAGGAGACAAAGAGGTAGACATCAAAGGACATCACAGACCTAGTCTGTGAGCCGCATATAAATGAAGGCCAGCCTAGGACCAAGCACTTCAAACCTGATGGTCACCCATCATTACTCATGGCCATGAGGCAGGATACCACACTTAAATGCCACCATCGGTCCCCATGGTTTAAACCTTTTCTCCTGCCCTATATGTGGAAATACTACTGATCAGAGACATGGCCCAAATACTAACAACAGGAACAATGAACAGAATCATAGAATCATAAGGTCTAGTGAATATAGCAGTGGGACAATGGACCTCTGAATAATTAAGAAGTATATATAGGAACAACTAAATATATAAGACAGAAATGGTAATATTTTTCCTTCTGTATTTTAGCATCTGACCAAAATTTCTATATGATGTGATGGGAATTTAACTCAGAGGTTTAAAAATGTGACAGGCAACTAATAAATTCTCTACAAAAAAAAGATACAACAGTCCAGATTTCATAAACTGCAAGCATAAGGCAAGTAACATTCTGAACCTACATACATACATAGCTCCCCCACCATAACATCTGGGTGTTTGTTTAGTCCAAAAGAATAATGGTAATTCTATGGAAAAATGGTAACTGACAAGAAATACACAGATTTGTTTGCAAAAATAAATGATGAAAGCTTCATGGAGGGGAATATGTGCAAGTGATAGGATGTTCCAGACTAATTAAAGTGCAAGGTAATTTGCTTCTACCTCTCAAGGAGGGCTTATGAGAAACACAGACCCCTTCAACATCCTAGGAGAGAGGACAGCAAATAGCTGCTGAAAACAAGACTTTTGCTCCTGTTCGTCCACTAGGCAGTTGAGGCCATGCTCAACCTACAAAGCTAAGGGATTGTTAATACAGTGCTAATTATGGCTAAAGAGGATACAAATTCGGGTTGGCAGGCAATTCACGAAGCCAGAGGCCTGTCATGCATTGCAGAGTTTGTTATATCAAACACCTGCCCGTTCCTTCCCTAAGATTCCCAACACACAGCAGAAGCTGGTTGGGGATGAGGTCAGGAAATGACAGAAACAGAACTCTCTTACCTGGCTGCTCCATACTCAGGGGGATGCTGATACCTCATCAGTTGCCCCTCTGTTCTCCCTGGCTGGTTCAGGCGATGCTCACTATAGAAGTGCCCTGGCTCTTGGGGCTTGCACACTACAGATTGGGGTGGCATGCCCTTGAAGGGATATTCTGGTGGGGGGCCTCGGTGTTCCATGCCCTTCAGGCTATGCTGGTTAGGAAGTGGCCCTTGGGCCTTGTAGAATTCACTGGAACTTGTGGGATTCTTGTAGAGGTCATTGGGTTGTGGTGGGGAGAGGGGAGCACTGGTAACAGGTGGATGGGCCTTAACTCCACTGGTGGCCAGTGACATCTGCATTAGTCGTTCACTCAAGGAACGGACATGCCCTTGCTTAAGGTCTCTGAGTCCCTCATCTTGGTGCATCTTTCCAGGATTGAGCCGCTGAACTGATGGGCGTCCCTCAGTCCTCATCTTCTGGTTGGTGACTCCAGTGACATAGAAGGCAGCTCCAACACTGGCATGCTGTTGGCCCCGAAAGTACTGGGACTGGACCTTGGCTTCTTCATAGGTCGGGAGTTCTTCATTATTTTGCATTCGAGGAGACAGCTGCTTCTCCATGATGAGGTTTTCTGACTGGATTTCCTGCCCCTGGGGTTCTTGTCGAGCAGCATGAGCCACAAGCTGTTGGTGGTGGTCTTGGGGACTCAACACATCACTCTGAGGGCCCGGGTTCCCACTGCCACTGGGGAAAGGAGGGCCATTCCCTGTGGCTTGCTGGTGTATGGCAAGCAGGCTGCGATTCTCACTAGGATTGCCATAGCGAAGCTGCTCTTGTAGCAAACGCTGCAATACCGTGGTCCCTCCACTTGGCTGTTCTTCAGAATTTCTCATCTCTATTGCTGGTGGTGCCTTGTGAAGAGAGAGAGAAATTGGGCACCTGGGCTGCCCTTGACCTGGGAAGGGGAAACAGGAAGCTTAACACCCAGTTGATGGATAAATCAGTCCTCTAAAGGGAAAGAAAATGGATATTGGAGGGTGAGGATTCGATTGCAGAAACAAAGTAGAGAATTGACTCTAAAATTAATAGATTGTTGGGGATTCCAGGCCCTAGCACTGATATGATGAAGAACATGGAGGCATAAGAGCTCTAGGTTTTCTCTTTCACTTTTAGCATGAGTTAAATATTCAATCTGGACTTAACTCCTAAGAATGCTTGAGAAACCTGGAACAGTCAACTAGGGTAATCAAAGGGGGTAACTTTTCAAGGTCCATATTCACAGGCTTCATCTCTCTGTATTCTATTTAAAGCAAAAACCCAAATCTTATGGCTGTGGAGGTGGGGGCAGGACAGTGGGGAAAGTTACCCCATAACAGGATTTGTAAAGCAGCTCAGCATATGAAGGCAGCTACAAAATGCAAAATAAAGACTCAAATAAATAAAAGGTGAAGAGAGCTTGGCTTGCACCAGACAGTAATGATCCCTGCCTCGATGCAAATCTTTTTCTCTGATCTCATAAGGCTCTGAAACATCTTTTTAAAAAATCATTTTCATAGTCTCCATTTTGGATGCTCCTTGGCTTAATAAGAGAAGGACTTGGAATACTTATTACTGACAAAGTTGCCTTTCAGCTCTCCAGAAACAGTCATTTAGATTTGCTGTTATTGTTATTGGGTAGAAGCTTAAAGGGGAAGCCTCTTTTATTTGAAGTGTGCCTCTGACAAAATTTAGAAATTGAAAAATATAAAGATCATCCTTCTGGAAAGGGTATACGATTAGCATATCCCCTCCCTCACCATCAATTCTTCTGAACAGGTACTATGGGTTGACTGAAACTGATTTTAGTAACACAATTTAATATTCAAATTCTAATCATACTATTGGTTTACAGGGTATACAACTGATTCCTCTTTTCTTGATGTCTATTTTCTCAACAAAAAATGGCTGGTAGGTGATTTCTCTCTCTCAGCACTGTATAGTACACACTAATTCATTAGAGATTCAAAAATTCTTTGGGCAGAATCTGTCAATGTTAAGTATTGGAATTAAGTAATAATGTTCAATAATGAAACTTTCACTCTAAGGATCTTCAGTAATTGGTGGAGAATGAACATAATGTCACACGAAAAGTCACAATAAAGGTCAGTTTAACCAGCATCAGGTTTCTAGATGGCAACTCTGGATCCCTGGCTCCCAGGCTCTTATTTCTATGATATTAAGTGGCCTGCAATCTCTCTGGAAACACGAACCCCTTTCTTTTGGTCATGCAGAGAGAGAGTGACCCAGAATGTACATATAGTATATGAAGAAAGTTCATCTTCTCTCTTTCTTCACGTCTTGTTGGTTACTGCTACCTGGCTTCCAACTGTTGCGCTGGGCAGTCTGACAACACGAAGGGACCCTCCAAAGTCCCTCTCATCATATTCTCTTGGGAAGTGCACACCAGTGGGTTAAGCAACCCAGTCCCTTTTCCATTCCTCCCAATGTGCCTCCAGGACTCCTGTACTTGAACTGTCAAATTGGGATATTCTGATAGGCTGACAAGCATAATATATAAATCCTTTTTGGTGCCCAAAACTAGAGAGATGACTACCAAATTACTTTTCCCTGCTCACAAACTGGAAACAGGAACAAGTATGGTGTTAAAGCAAAAGTGATTTACAAACCCTCCCTGTAAGGCAGGGAAATGCAGACACTGAGCTGCCCTGGACCCTGAAAAGTATACCACCCCCTCCCACGTCACACCCACCCCACCCAGCATGCACACAGGCACACATGCATACACACATGCACGAGCGTGTGCACACACACACACACACACACAGAAATATTCCATACCTATTTCTGCTTTCTTTTAGGCTTAAAGCCTTGATCAGGATAGGGAATTCTTGCTTATGAGCAGCTCCAGAAACCGCAACGGCAGATTCCCTCTCCCCTAACACTCAGGTTCAGGGTAAGCGCCGCCAAGAGTCCAACCACTGGTCACTCTGAAATGTTCAGGAGAGGGAGGGAGGGAGAAATAAAAACGTCGTTTCTATTTTGCCACCAATGGCCAGCAGTTAATCAAACCAGTTCTTCCAAGAGAATGACTTGTCCTCCTATGGTGCTTGGCTTTTAAATGAGTAGCAGAGTCCATCTCCACTAGGGCAGAAAAGAAACCTCAGTGTCCAGTAGCTGTGTCCGGAAGGCCAGGCCAGTCTCCAGTGATGGAAATGTTCAGGTCTGAGACTTGCTCTGTTCTGACCTCACAGCCCTAGAAAGCTACCACTTCCATTCCAAGTTGGAATGGTGGATGATGACAAAAGCCAAAACCACTGTCACCTTTAGGGTGCAAACTTTAAACTGCTATTAGTAGCAGGGGAGGTTAGTGAGGCTCACTGTCCCACATCCCAGAAGGGAGGGCAGTCATCATAAGGTAGGTTTTTGGTCAAAAAAAGAACACTCAGTGAGGCTCCCAATTTGAGTGCCTCAAGCTCAGATAGGTGGAGGGGAGGGGAAGAACCTTCTTTTCAACCAAGTCATTAAGTATTTATTGTGTATCAACTATTCCACACATTTGTCAGCCTCATACTAGACACAATAAGGGCTACAAAGACACATAAAATATAATTCCTGCCCTCATGGAGCTTACACTCTGATCATCTGATCAATGGTCCATCCATTCTTGGAGTAGGAAAGTAGACTGCCCTTCCCAACACAGAGCGCAACCCTTCTCCAAGCAGAAGATGCCTCCACTTGCTTTCTTGGCACTTCCACTGCCCCAGTGTCTCAGTAAAAAAAACTCATAGACTTACATTATATAGACTGGATGCAAATGAATAATAGACCTGGATTTGAGATAGTCCTTATGTCTAATTTCTGCCTGGACTCTCTGCAAAGCCTTGTCAGCCTAATCAAAATGATTCTAAGACTCAGGAGTTTAAGTGACATGCACATGAACCACATTCCTATCTTCTATCCTGGCCTATGTATGATTCATTCATATCACTTAAAGGAAAGGCTTAATCCACACCAGTGACTCCATGAGAGGAGGAAAGCAATGCAAAAGAAGTACACAAACATCTCTGTATTTTGAGAGCATGTTCAAAACATTCAAGTTTTTAAAAACTCCACAAAACCACAAAGTGATTAATTTAACATTATTTCCTTGCAATGTTGCCAAAAATAAAGTGAACAGATATAGAGTGAACAAACACGGAAATGTGTCTTTCCATCTTGTTTTGGCACAACATATAATCATGATCAAAAGCAAAATCATCTCAAATCTGCAAGGTAATTATTTTAGGGTATCTCCCCTAATTTTGAAGCAGAGGAACAACTTCTAATTGGAATCAAAGCTGGACTGTTAACAGAGCTATGGTACATAACCACCGTGCTTCTATTGTCCAATTCTGAACAAAACACTCATCCTTTTTTTTCCAACTGAAACACCAGAAAACAGCCCAAGGCTTTTAAACGCGAGTCCCTGGAGAGAAACTACCATATGATTTTTTTCCAGTACTACTTAGATTCTTCATGCTGATATTACTGACTTTCTCCTGATACTCAGCTCTTCATTGAGAAAACTTTTCTCGTGCAAGGTCTTACTCTCTTCTCTCAATTCTGTCCTCTGTATCCTTTTCTTATTTATTTATCTATTTTTGAGATGGAGTCTTGCTCTGTCACCCAGGCTGGAGTGCAGTGGTGGGATCTCGGCTCACTGCAACCTCTGCCTCCCAGGTTCAAGTGATTCTCCTGCCTCAGCCTCCCATGTAGCCAGGATTACAGGCACGTGTCACCATGCCTGGCTGATTTTCATATTTTTAGTAGAGACAGGGTTTTGCCATGTTGGCCAGGCTGGTCTTGAACTCCTGACCTCAGGGATCTGCCTGCCTCGGTCTCCCAAGGTGTTGGGATTACAGGCGTGAGCCACCACGCTAGGCCCCTCCATATCCTTTTCAAAACCCAAATCACTTTATGTTAACTGGACACAGATCGTTCCCCTACCCTCTCACCCTCCTCCTGCCATCTTTGTCTCTTGTTTAAAAAAGAAATCAGCCTAAGAAAAAAGCTTTGCAGAGTCCTCTCCAGTTTACTATTTTTTTCTTAAAGAACTTATGTTCATCTACATGTCAAGAGTCACATAATGAGGAAAACACTACTCCATTTATTTGAGAAAGGAAAGGAAAAGACTCCTTGTTTCATGCACAAGAACTAAAACAGTATGAACACTATAACCTTTAATCTCCCTGTAGCTTTAATCATGCCACTGCCAGGGGTCTGACATCATCTTCAATCAATAAAATAACCTTGTTTGTCCTGGGCACACAGACTGTCTCTGAGAATATTTGATAGGAAAAAAAGAATAATTGCGGTTCTGTCTTTAAAAATGCAATTTGAATCTATATAATCAACTCTTCTGTAACAACAACAGGGAAGCAAGGCCAAGCTAAATTCTTACTCCATTTGCAGTCATTGGCCTCTCCCAATACACCTGTGAGGTTGAGCCAAAACACATTAATGTTTCCCAAGACAAGTCCCAGAAAATCAACATTACAAGGTGGTCAGGACAGACCAAACTCCCACCCTTCAAATAAATTTTGCAATATGCCTATAAGATCTTCTTTCTATCCCCTCTTCTAAACCCTCCCACATTCTGCCCCTACCTCTCATTCTACCAACCAGGATAAAGAATCTAAGTCTAAGAAAGCTGTTTCTCTGCTAAATCTTGGTCAACTTGTTTCATCCAATTTGACTCCCAGATAAATGGAAGGGGGCCAGTTCAAAGTTTTCCCTGTACCTATGTGTATGTATTTGTGCAAACACACACACACACATAACCTCTCACAAAAAGTGAGGCCCCAGTAAATTCTTATGTTCTCTCAGGTTGGTCCATATTGTAGCCAAAGTACCCTAGAGAATAACTTTCCCAACAGTCTTGCAACCCAAGATACCAATTCACTTCATTTAGGATGTGAAAAACAATGGTCCTTTTGCAGGTTATCTCAATGGATAGGCATCATAAACACCGTGGCACAGAGTCTGGGCCTAGAGTCACACTGCCCAAGTTTAAATCCTGGATGTATGGCTTACTAACAGACCTTGTACATGTCTCTTGATCTCCCAAGTCTCAATTTCATCATCTGCAAAATAGGGATAATGGTGTTCATACTAGATAGGGTTGTTATAAAGATTAAGGGAATTAATCCATGTAAAGTGCTAAGCATGGAGCCTGGCACATAGTAAGGCCTCAATAAAAGTAAGCTATTACTATAATTGTTATTTCAAAGTAGCCTTTTTTTTTTTTAGAAGTGTACAGCAATTTTATGAAGAAAGGTTGTTTTTTTGAAAAACAAAAACAAAAAAACTTTATTTGCAACTCAGTCTACTACACAGGGGTCCTTAGATCATTGAAAGCCAGAACTGGAAAGGGAGACCACCTAGTGGTCCCACCCTCTTCTTGTATAGATGAAGATGCCAGGGCCTCAAAGGGTAAGAGAGAGCCAGGACCAAAATGAAAGTTTTTATAACGCCTAGGGCAAGAGCCCTTCCACTACAACATATTATCTAGCATTATTTGCTTGTACAAAGGAGATGCTTAATAACTATTTATTACATAGAATTGACCCTGATTTTAAAAGACTATAAACCTGCTTTAACGCTACCACTGATTTTCCAGTTCCATTGGAAGTAAAATGTTAATGGAAGGAAGGAAAATTCAAGGCAGTAAGGGGGAAGTGTTTAGCTAGAAGTACTACTATAGAAAGGCTTTGCAAATTCGCTTTTTAGGCTAAGATGTGAGGTGGATTGAACAGCAACATGAACCTCCACAGATGGATGTTTCCAGGCCCCCTGTTCCAGGTCTGTTCAATATCATACCAGCTTGGCATTTGCTCTTACCTAACTCTAGCACTAGTTCAAGAAAAGGCTTAAGAGAAGAGTCAGCCCCAACTCTTCTTTGTTCCTATCTCTACCTCTATGATATAGTTTGGATGTGTGTCCCTGCCCAAATCTCATGTTGAATTGTGAGGTTTGGTGGGAGGTGATTGGATCATGGGGGCAGATCTTCTTGGTGCTGTTCTGATAGTGAGTTCTCATGAGATCTGGTTGTTTAAAAATGTGTGGCATCTTCCCCCGTTGTCTCTTGCTCTCGCTTTTGCCATGTGATGTGCCTGCTCCCCCATCGCCTTCTGCCATGATTGCAAGCTTCCTGAGGCCCCCGCCCCAAAGCCAAGTAGATGTTCGCACCATGCTTCCCATAAAGCCTGCAGAACTGTGAGCCCATTAAAACTCTTTTCTTTATAAATTACCCTGTCTCCGGTACTTCTTTATAGCAATGCAAGGACAGCTTAATACACTCTATTGCAAACATCACAATTATTTTTGAACACCCTATTAGATTAGGTTGAAAAATTATTTTAAGAACCACAGCAAGGCCTTGGCATTTCCAAATCTTACTGAGGATCAGTGTGAGAGATCCGTTTCTGGGATGGTAACTCAAGGTCTTGGTCGTTTTTGGTCCCAGTTTGACTTTGCTTTGCTCTGAAGCAATTACCTTAAACATGTTTATAGGCAACAAAGGTGATCAACCCTGAAGTGGATGTGAGCAGTGACATACTGGGTAGCAAGGAGAATCCTGTTGCCACCTCCCTCTATCTCCCAGCACACACATCCATTCCAAAAGAGGAGTAGACCACACCATCACATCCCCTTCTTTATTATCTCGAGAAAAGTATAAAGAGTCCCTGTAATTAGATGGAGCCTAAAATGAGAAAAGTTTAAGAATATACCTAGAAGCTGCCTGCTTGACCAATCTTTAACCGCCAATGCCAGACCACCCATTTTCATATCTACTTATATTTTATTTTACAAGTAATATAAGCACAGCATGCATTTATTTTTAATAAAGAAAAAAATCACTTATAATCCAAGCACCTCAACTTAAGCACTGTTAACATTATATTTCCTTTAGTTTTCCTATGTGTATTTGGGTTTTTACAAGCAATGAATTATTAATAAGATGTAATTTTGGATCCTGCATTTCACCTCACCATAAATACTTTTTCCATGTTGTGGCATAACTTCATAACATCGTAATGGCTGCATAATAGTGCATTAAACAAGTGTATCAGCATTCACTTACCCATTCTTCAATTATTAAGACATGTAAATTGCTTCCAATTTTATGCTAATCTAAATAATGTTACAAAAACATCTTTGTGATTTAACCTTTTTCAATATTGTAGATTGTTTCTTCATGATAGAATCCCAGAAGTGAAACTGATGGGTCAAGAAGCATAAATGTTTTTAGACAACCCACTAAAAAATAAAATTAGCAAAACACCAGAGTCCCATGAAATCCCTCCCTCATTTAATGAAAAATTCTCCCGCTCTCATTTTTCCACCAGGGCAGAGCAGGGCTCCTGGGAGGGAAAGAAGCCAAGAGAAGCAGTGTAGTATCCCAGTGGCTTGCGAAATGGCAGAGTGGAATGCGGGCTCCCCTGTGAATCCAGCTTGCATGCACTTGCCCCAAATTGCCACCCAGCCAAGAAGCTAATTAGTAAAAGCATCAGGTGGGTGAAAACAGGTTCATGGCCTGTAATAGCTTATATCATCTTTCATTTTTGCCCTTGGAAAGATCTGACAGTCAGCTTGAAGACATTCAGTTCTTGTGACCCAACCTGCTTACATTCTGAGAATTGAATTTGTCAGTTTTTAGATCCCAATCTTCAATATATCTTAAGGGACATTTTGCTGTATAGAACTAAGCAGGCATGATCAATGAGCCTGTGTGTGTAGCTCTATTTTCAGCCTCAGTTAAGGTGGCACATTTAAGGTCAGCCCTGTTTAATACTAGATGACTAAGTGACACCTGTCTTAAATGGTCAATGTATTATAGACAGAGGTTGATTTGCAGACCTGACCATAAAAATCATCCGGTCCTAAAGCAGGGGAGGCAATAGGTCAGAGATGCCCCTGGTTTAACAACAGTGGACACAACAGGCATTCCTTCCGTGACTTCTTAGCCAGAACTCTCAAAATAAGGCAGTTCTGCTGTCCATCTTCTCTTTGAAGATTTTTCCCTAATCCCTCTCCATCTATTCCTGACCTCAACTCTGCTCAACATGGAAAATGAATTCTCTATGATGACACTTATCACAGCAAATTTTCCATAAACTTTTACTGAGCACTTACTGTAGCCAGACATTGTGCTAGGTAAGGCCTAGGGTGGCAATAAATAAATAAATAAATAAATAAATAAATAAATAAATAAATAAAAAGAGAGCCCAGTACTTGAGGAGCTCCCAGTCAGGCAGAGGAGGCCCAATTCAACGGGAAAACAGAGGTATGAGCTAATAGCTCCGGCAACACATAGGGCTCTGCAAAAAACCCTGGGCTACCTGAAAAAGCTCCCAAGAGGAGGAAAATATCAAAAACCTATAAGCTGAGTAGAAGACATGGAGTGTGATGACCAATTTGACATCAAAGATAGGTTGAGATATATCTTTGGGAGTCATTAGCATATGGATGACAGCTAAGGTCATAAGAGAGGGCTGGACCATATTGACTAGGAACAGAACAGAACCCAGGATGAAACTAAACATGGACTTCTGGGGAAAAAAAAAAAAAGATCATTCAAGGGTTAGGTACTTTGCAAATGTGGGAGGGAAAGAAATTCCTTTATTTATCCCGATGGCCTTTCCTCCCATATATCTCCAAGCTAGACCTTGCAATACACAGCTCCAGGGACAGAAATCCCCAGCTGTAGTGTGGAGAGAAAAAAAGAAGTTAACTCTCACCTTTTAAGCTTCTGAGTGCCCTGGTAGCAATCACTATTACGGGTTGAGCCAGAAATGGAAAGGGAAGTTGCTAGACTGTAAGATCTTAGAGGGCATGGGCGGGGTGCGTGATTTTTCATTGTATGCATCCCAATACCTAAAACATTAACTGGTACATAAAATGTGCTTAATAGTTGCATACTGAGTGAATGATAACTTCCCCAAAACTTTGCTAGAGGCCACAGCAGGAGAAGAAAACAAAGAAAGACATGGAATAACAATAATAATAATGTTATTATTACCTTTAGTTTCTCAGCCTTCCTTCTAAGGAGACAAAAGCTCTTTCACTCTGCTATCTTATTTGTCCTTCTTAGCAGCTCTGTGGGGAAATAAAGGCAGATGTGATTAATTCCATTTTAGAACTGGAGAGGGAAGCTCAAGTCCAGAACAGATAGCTAATCATAACTAATTGGACCAGAATTTCACTGTTGCCCATTGGTAGGGCCAGCATTGGAACCCAGGTCTTGCGACTTCCTGCCCTGTGCTTGGTTCTAAGACATAACCCTCCACAGAATTGCCCCTCCAGTTTTTAAGAGGACAGTTCACAAGAGAAATTCATTAGGAAAGCAAACTCCTGAAACACTCTAACAGTATCTTGAGCAAGTGAGTGAGCTGCATCTAAAAGAAAGTAATCTGTTTCCCCACGCCAACACTGGGATGACTAAACCCAGTTCCCAGTGGGGCTCTACTAACATAATTGAGAGCTCCCTGTTTCGCTGTGCCCCTTTTCAAGGGAGCCCCATCTGCCTTCAGTCTGGTTTTTGTGTCTGAGTGGGGCTCAGGTGCTGACTGCAGGTGTGGCATCCAGCAGGTGTATGGACAGGAGCCAGCATTTCATATCTTCATACCAAAGGGCCTGAGTCACTCTCTGAAGGCAGAAGGCAGCCCCTCCTCCTCCTGCTGTTGCCTTGCAAGCACAGGGAACCTGCCTTGCCTGAGGTGCCACTGCAGAACTGAATCTAAACCCTGCCTTCCCAAGAAGGACTAAGGTGAGATTAAACCACAAATCATATAACCCAGCTAACTTTCTTATTTGCACAAACTACTGCAGGCATACACCTACACCGTGGGCACAGCATATGGGAACCTAGGTACAGAATGACCGTCACCTAAAGTGATGCGGGGAAAGGAGGGCCACAACTGGCCCATATTTTACATTTGGCTATAAAGCATTGACTCTACTGCAAATGGCCCTAAAATCTCAGAAGCAAGTACTCACCCCCCTAAAAAAAGGTGGAGTACAGTAAAAAGAACCTGCTAGAAATCTTGCACTCCTGTTCTCACCATAACCTCTTTCCTTCAGGCTTCCAAGGGAGAACCACTTAGCCTGGTCACAGAAAGCACCAGGTCAGAAAATTCATCATGTTCCCCTAACCAAAGCCCAACTGGTCCCAGCCTGAGGCAGACAGAATGTTCCTGGGAGTAAAGGGGGGGGGGGGGTCATCAAAATTTTCTTAGCTTCAAAAACTGTTTGCTTTTTAAAAAAACAATCTGCCTCCCCTACTCTCTCTCTCAGGCACACACACATAGACCAAAGAGAAACTAATTGTAGAAGAAAAAAATGAAATCTTACCTTAATAAAATGGTTTGTTGTCATTTGTTCTATTTCCCTAATTCATACGGGAAATTCAAATAAGCTTTGGTTTATAGCCCATGATCCAGAAAGCAAAACTGGCTACCACACTAAAATGTGATCATTGTATATAAACATAGTAAAACAAAACTCTGAACTGAAAATCTAAATGTAATAAAGAGGAATTAGGTTTCTTCAAAACAGGCAATCTAAATAATTTTCCCCATCTGTGATTTTTATCTTAGTTTGCTATCACATGGAACAAATGTCACTAATTCAATGCAAATACATGCCCCTTGAAAACAACCAAAATGAGTAAGGGATGTACTAATTAGCTTCCTAATGGGGAAGGTTTTAATTGAGCTATTCTTTAACAATCTTCATCAAAGTTTCCAGGGCAACTTCATAAAAGGATGTCAAACCTGGCCCATATTTTTATTCCCTTAAAAATAATTTTCAATACACAGAAACACAGAAAGCTGATTTCTCTTCAATGCTGTTAACACTCAGGCCACTACATTTTCTGATGTCAGCAATCCCCTTCCCACAAATATTCCAAGTATGCACCACCGTCATTCTCCTTTCAATTATGTGGTTTCTCTGCTCCTTTACTGATTGAGTCCAGGCCTCTCGGATAATGAGAAGCATGTGCAGGGAAAATATGCTCTTAAAAAACACATACATCAGTTTTATCTGCATTATAAAGAGGAGAGCAGATCGTTTGTCCATATCAAAAAGATTGAAATGTGAAGTTTGCTATGGGGTATATATAAGGGGAAAAAAAGATCAGTATCAATGCCTAAGGTTGATAGGGGGGCGGCACAGTTATTGTGATCTGATGTGACACCAATAAGAAGAAGGGAGACTCTCCACCAAATCCACCCTTTCTAGCTTGGCCACATTTATATTTCATGTTATCTTAATGTTTCTTTTGGGGGTATTTAAGTTCTGACATACACATGGAAATGAGCCACGAATTGTACAGCAAGCATAAATATTCCATCATTAATAAAATCCAGCTGTGTATAAAACACTACAATGGCTGGGTTTCAGTTACTGGCTATCATCAGTATGTGTCACAAGCAAATATTACTGAAAACTTTCTCCCTTAAAACGTGCATGCGCACACACACAGAAGTTTGCTTTATTCTTTTTCATCTTTTGGAGGAGCTTTGAATAACTCACTGATCTCTATAGCCCTTTTCAACTAACGTTTCTTTTTGAAGCTATTTTTCACCACCCTGTAAGATGCTAGAGTCCTCTTATTTGTACCTCAACTTACCACACAGTACAAAACTGTTTAATTTTTTTTCCAAAAAGCCGAGAGGGCCAATAATACAAATGTTGGGTTAATGGTAATTACAGTCAGTAAGGCAATGGGGCACCAAAGGGCACTGTATGTTATAAGAGAGCAAAGCTCATTAAAAAGGAACACCTGCTCAAGACCCTATAATAAGCCTGCTCTGCCATCATGCAAACACCTTTCATCCAATGACCTCAAAGCATGTGCCCAATATGAAGCATGCCGAAACACCTCTGTGATTATTAATATCCTTGCTTCCCAGAAGGGTAACTGAAGCTTAGAGCAGCTAATTCATTTACCCTTGGTCACATGGTAAGACAGAGAGGGGCTGGGCAGAGAAAACCAGATCCTGGCTTCAAGTCACACAGGCTAATGATATTTCATGGAGTTAGGGCAAGAGTGAAAGTGCCTTTACAAATGTCAAGGCAAGCCCACAGACTTAAAAGAGTAGATTTTCAAGAATTGCCTTAGGAAACATTGGCAAATACACCCATTTGCATTTTCTCCAGGATCATATATTACAAAAAAAAAAAAGTTCCTGTTCCTCATTTGCTACTTTCTAAATACTAAAAACCCATACCACACTTTCTATTCCAGTTAGAGAAATTTAATCTAATTTATGATGAGCCACTGGTTTCCAGGAATGAATCCATCAAATCTTTTTTTTTTTTTTTTGAGACGGAGTTTTGCTCTTGTTGCCCAGGCTGGAGTGCAATGGCGTGATCTTGGCTTACTGCAACCTCCGCCTCCCAGGTTCAAGCAATTTATTCCTCAGTTTCCTGAGTAGCTGGGATTACAGGCATGCGCCACCATACCCAGGTAATTCTGTATTTTTAGTAGAGACAGGGGTTTCACCATGTTGGTCAGGCTGGTCTTGAACTCCTGACCTTAGGTGATCCGCCCGCCTCTGCCTCCCAAATCGCTGGGATTACAGGTGTGAGCTACCATGCCTGGCTAATCCATCAAATCTTAGAGATCACATGTATACCACACCTTTGTTATCAAAGGAAAATTAAAGAACTATGAAATTTGACTACATGGTGAAGACCTCAGATGAAGAACCCATTATGTGTGGGCCATTCTGCTGCTGCACTTCTTGTCTTTTATTTAACTGTCTAAAATCCTTAGTTTCTTTGCTATCTTTTAGTCTAATTTAAACATATTATTTTCCATGCTACAAAACAAGTATATTTGTGCTTTCCTGCTTCTCCTTTCTCATTCTGGAGATTTCATATTCCACTCAAATTTATACTCACTTGATGGGATTTCACCATACAGTGACTTAAAAATCATTGCCAATGATTTACACAAAGTAAACAGTGGACCCTAGTTTTGTTGTTGTTGTTGTTAACAAGAATGGGGGAGGGATAACAGGAGGTCAAAGGAATTAAATTAACAGCCTTGCTAGATACATGAACAACTCCTGAATCACAGAGAGTGTTTAGGGATTACTTATTATATCCATTAGCCTCTCCTGGCATTTGAGAAACAAAATATATGGGAGTCTTCATGTGTCCTCGGTCAGATTCTGACTTAGTTCCTCCACATGGGTTCACAAAGTTAAGTCTTGGGTGGGCTCTTATTGAAAAGCAACATTGTATATATCTGTGGCTCCAATTATCTAAAACTCATGTTAGTACAGGAACCAGGACTTGAAAGGAACTAGAAAAAATGAAAGCAGGTGATCTCTTAGGATGATGGAATTCTTGAAGTTTTGGACAGAGTCTTAGCTTCTTAATTTTGGGTTGTTAAAATGTAAAACATAATGCATCTATATTCATATATCCTTACAGGATCTTTTTTTCTTTAACATGATGACTAGATGATTGAATTTCTAACAACTGTTGCACTTCATTCTAGTAGCAATCATTCACATTCATACTAGATATTGAGGCCTAGAAAGAAAACCATAAACGTATAAGAACTGGCTCTCAAAATTACCCTGTCCAAACCCATAATTTACAGTGGAAAAAAAAAAACTTAACAGAGGTAGTAAACCGAGTTACAGTTGGGCCTAGAGCCCAGGTCCTTCTCACCAATAGGCTCACTAGGAAATCTTATTGCAGATTCTTAGGTTAAAGTGGCATCAGTCGCCATTATTTACTAGAAATAACTTTCTGGATCCCTGGGTTAGTCAAATACAGTAGCTGGAAATAAAACATTTTACCTATATGGGGTGGATAGTCTCATCCTTAGAATTGTTCAAAATCTATAAAGTCTGATTTATTTTCAAAAAGTAATACTAGCTTTCTTCTGCAAGCAGTTGTAGGCCAGAGCTAACGTGGCCAGCATTATTACAAGCCAGAATGATTTAGACAATTAACTAACTCCATTCCATATAACAAAAAGATTTCAAAGGCCAAATAATGGCCTCACTTAATTTAAGCGATAATCATTACAAATTCTTATGTATTCCTTTATGCAATAAATATGCTTCCGAGAAGGCCCAGTTAGAGTGAATTTTTATATATCAAGTCATAGTTTAAAGGCACTAACTAGGAAAGCTAGTACTTACAAAGAAAACCTGTTGTGGATTCTTTTATAAAGCAAATGACCTCCTATTTTCTTTCTTTCTTTTTCTTTTTCTTTTTTTTTGTTCAGATTGTGTGTGTTGTGTGTGGAAGGGGCGACTTCCCTCCTTTCTCTGGGTTAAAAGGGGTCAGAAGCCCACCATGGAGGAGAGTAATGCAGTATGGCCAGCCTGTTTAATACCCCCTTAGTTCCTGGGACAAAATTCTAACCTTTGACTTGGGGGTGGAACCCTAGAATTTGGACCAAAGTCCACAAAAGGCAGCAAGGAGGGAAAAGTAAGTAAGACTAAAGACAACACATCATAGTAAAACACCAACAAAAATTCCTGGGGACAGGAAATCAATGGATCACAATTCTAAACAAATTGGTTTAGTCCCCAGCTAATTAACTTGTCAAGCAGATCACTAAACCTACTGAATCCATGGGAGAAAGAGATGATGTAATAGGAGATTTGGAAACATTTACCCATTTACCATCCTAAAAGGCTCCAGTACGACCACACACACCTCTCCCCACCCCTTTCAGTGTTTAAGCTGGGCTTAATGGGTGCAAAGGACAATTTCTACCAGACAGTCCCCAAGAATAGACTGTTCTCATGCATTCCAAATGCTCAGTCTCCATGGAGGAGGCTACCTGGTCACAAGCATTTCCCAAGAGGGAATATATCCTCTATTCCTCCTCATTGGTAACAACTCCCCCACTCCACCCCCACGCCCCAAACAAAACAAAACAACTTCTAACCATCCTGAGAACTTCAGGGGACTTTTCTGGGGTAAAGGAAAAGAAGCGTTAAGAGGGGAACAGGAAAGTGTGAGAAACCCCTCTTGTCTCCAAATGGAAAAAAAGGCCTTAAAAAGCTGGATCAAAGGAAGAAAGGGGGATGGGGAAGAAGGGCCGCTTAATTACAAAGACACCCTTTTAAAGAAGGCGCAGGCCCTGGGAGAGGGCTCTTGGGAGAGGCACAGAAGCAGATGTACCCACTTAGAATTCTGGCACTCAATGGGACCTCAAGGTCATAGTATCCATCCCCCTGCCTTCTGATTAGGCTATTCTTAAAGCATTCTAGAGTCTGATGCAGTCTTTACAAAACCTCAGAAAGAAAAAGCAACTCTACAAATGTCCTTGTTGGGAATTAGTCTAATAAATCAAACTTCATAAACCAGAAATGAAATTTTAATTTCCAAATCCAAAACTGCATTGACTATGAATTATTAAAATTCCCTTTCTAAAATCTTTTAAATAGGTAAACAGATCCACAAATTTCATGTAAAAGTGACTCCACATACAATTGTGGTCAGAGGTTTACTTCACATCTAGACTGTGAAGGTAGAAAAAGCACTTACAATTTTACAAAGCCACGAACTTTTCCAAGGAAAGAAGTAATTTAAAATGAAGTATGATGTAGTGCCAGAAAGTGTCTGTCAATGACGCCGGATAAACCCATACAGAATAGTTGGAACCTTAGTTATCATCTGTAAATAGAGGCAACTACTCTACAACCACCTGGCTGTTAAAATGTCCCAGGCCAGTTATAAAATGTAGTTTGGTCAGGCCAGCTTTTCCCTCCCAGCTGATCTGAAACAGGATAGCCTTTAAAATTGTCGCCCTTCTCTACCTTCCTACTTTCCTTTCACTCATTAAAATCAACCAAAGTTATTTTAAAATGTATGTTAATAATGTGTTCCCAAATAAGCAATGGGTTAAGGACATCTCAGTAATAAGTCTTTGAACACCATCACTTACAGGCTTGACGCACTTGTCCAATTGAAGATAGGTGGGAGATGGATGAAAATGTATACCACATCCAAAATGGCATTTCAAACTATTCTTAGCTACTAAATGAGGGTGCTGAAAGGTCTAACTGAGAAGGCTTCACAAAGGCTGGCCTGAGAAAGAACTTTTCACAAAGCCTAGCTCAAGGAGACTTAAATATCCTTAGCCCTTCATCATTGAAGATTATGGTGACTAATTATCTTCTTCTCTGAATGGGAGAAGAGGGTTATATTCATAAAAGTTTTAAACTGCCTCCCAACGTCCACTCTTCATGGCGGGGAGGGAGGAGAACTTCATGCACTAAACATCCCAGGTTGTTGAAAAGTTCGTTCTAAAACATACACTAGAGATTGAAAATGCTGTTTCTCACCAACTTTCTCTTTCCTTGCTCATTTAATTCTACTTAGTCCCTTTATGCAAATTATTATATTATTATTAGTGGCAATCTACCAGGAACTGCTCACAGTCTATTAAAGACTGTTATTTTCCCTCCCCCTTTTCTTTCTCTTCATTTTCACAAACCCATGAAGCCCATCTTACTGTTGAAGCACCAATGTGCAGTGGCCCAGGCTTGGACCCTCAAGACACCCTCAAGATCCCCCAAAACTATTTACTAACATCTTTGGATCTTCTAAAGCAGATAGGGGCAACTCCCTCCTCACCACCACTATCACTACCACCACAAGCACTACCACCACCACCACACATCTCAAAGAGTAGCCTTGTTTTAGATTACACAGACTTTAAAACTTCAAGAATTCACGGTCCTACCCCTCCTGCTCCCGCCTCAGGGAGTGTGAGTCCCCACCCCAAGCCTAAGCACTTAGCAGAAACCTATCTAGTTATCTGAGATAAGCACTGACATGCATGCTGGGCTAAATGTAGATTTCAGCTTCCCTCGGGTCTTTAGCTCCTCAATGTGATTAATTACCTAGAGACCCACAAGAACCCCAGGAGGTAAAGAAGTAAAAGTACCATCTAGTAGTGGTACCCACTAGCATCTCCTCACCGAAGTAGGACGGGAAAGCAGCGCACACTCTAACCGATTTAACTTGCTGCACATCCAAAAAAACTCATGGCGAGCTGCAAAGAAAGTAGAACACACGGGCATTCCCACACGCGCCTAGATCGATTCACTCACGCCGAGGGCACGACCAAGTTCATGCCACCATGGATTCCTGCCCCAGTTCCCCGCGAAAAGTAACCACGCGTCTCCTACCCCTGAAGGCAAAGAAGACAAGGTGACGACTCTCTGCTCGCTCAAGTGGCTTCGGTCCCGGGCCAGCGGCCAGGGATGGGCAGGGGGGAAGCCCCAACTCCCGGCTGCTCCCCTCCTCGCTGCTCCGTCCGGGCTCTCCTTGGTGGCAGCGGACAGGCAGGATACCGGGCCAGAGGGTGGAGCAGCGGATAGCCGGAGGCGAGACTGACTGGAGGTGGTGGTAGTTGAGGGGGAGGCGGAGAGAACTAAGAGAAGAGGAGGCGAAAGAGAGCGGAGATGGAGGAGTAATTCAGGGGGTCTACCAGTTTAGGCAGCCAGAAAGCTCCTCGGAAGGAAGGGGCGTGACTGCCAAGGCAGCTCCTGGGCAAAGGATGGGAGGTAGGGGAGGGGGACGAACGGGTGGCTTTTCTTCTTGCGGTGAGCGGCTAGGACCGCCCCGGAGCAGGGCGGCGGGAGGGGTGGACGAGGGAGGAAGGCGGAGTAGAGGGCGGGGAAAGAAGGGCGGGAGCCTGCCTGGACCCTGGAAGTGAGGAGTGAGGGGAGCGCGGAAGAGAGGCGGGGCCGGGGGGCGTGGAAGTTTCAAACAATTGAACCGCGGGGTCCGGGAGCTCGGGCGAAAGCAAGGGACCCTCGCTCTCGCCTTCCCACTAGAGGGGCACGACTCGGTTGCCGTAGCCGTGAGAGTCTGCGCGGGGACTGGCTGGGAAGAAGGAAAGGGTTTTGCAAAAGACTACAATAATAATCTGCGGCAACAGCGCGGCATAGACGCGTGGGAGAGCCAGTGCAGCTCCCCGCCCCACTGCGGGAGGAAGAAAAACAAATAATAGAAATGCTGAAAAGCAGCTTCCACCAAAGCCTGCTTAAAATAATGCAGGAAGGAGAAGCGCTCCTTCGTTTTCCTTCCCCTCTTGCTTCCTATTACCAGCAGGCCCCCACCCAGGTCACAGCTCTGCGAGACACCCTCCTTTCTTCCTCCGCTCCCCCGCCCCGGGCGCTTGCCCCCCTCCCGTTGGCGGGCCGCAGAAGCTGAGGGGCGAGGGAGGAGGGGTCGCGGGCGGCGCTCCGCGGAGGCTCCGCCCCTGGGCGGGCTGGGAGCGCCGGCCTGGGCGGAGCGCGTCCCTGAAGCGTAAGTCCCGCCCACCATTCTTTTGCAGCTACCGGTTGGCCCAGCCTGGCCTAGTATACGCTTGCGATTGGGCCCTGGAGTCGCCAGTCTGATCCCTTTGTCCCACCCGCCCTCAAAATTAATAAAACTAAACAAGAGGCTATTGTGTAGTTCTATGTTCTACCCCAGCTACTGCTGGCAAGAGAAAGATGAGACGCTTTATTTCTCAGTCTCATAAAAGAGTGCAACAGTGTGTCGGCCGACTCTGGTACGCCTTTATGTTTATGGCACTGTCCAGCTTTCTGCGAATAGGTAACTTTTCTTCCCCCTTAGTTTATTAAATCAGGAGGGGGGAAAGTACATGAAGTGTCATTGTGGTGTTCTGCTGACTGTGAAAAAAGCTGACATTGGTTAAAAACGAGAGGGTTGAGAACAGCATCCTGGGACACGGAAAATCTACCATTTTACATCTAGAAAAACGAAGGCACAAAGAAACAGTGTCAGGGTAGCAAAATAACATGGAATTTGGAACCAAAGGAAGAATTCATTTGGGGCCCTGGCACTTACTAGCTAATTGTATGACTTCTGTTAAGTGGCTTAACTTCTCAGCCTTAATTTTTCTACCTGTAAGTAAATGCTGTAAGACATGCCCTATTAACTTAAAGGCACTGGTATGAAAATAAAATGTGTGTGAAAACTATAAAGCACTCCACACATGTATGTGTTCCTACTTGTGTGTGAAACATAATGGAGAGTCTTAGATGTGTTAGAGGATCAATATTTTGCTCATCTGTTTTAAGCATTTACATCCAAGGTCGTGTAGGTTTTGTGGCTTTATTTTAAAAAGTCAACTCTTTTCCTACAATTTTGGGGGTGGATATGAAGTTGACTCCCTGCAGTTAGAATAATAAATTACCCCTTTTCTAAGCAGGGTGGGTGAGATTTCTTTTTTAAAGTTCTACAATTTCATGACAACTTAAAGCTATTGTGGTTCTGGTACTGAAAGAGGAAATCATGCTGTGTATCTCCGAAGTGAACTTAAGAAAACAAATATGAAGGAACATTTACCATGGAAACCACCATTCTCTACAGATCCATATTTCCTAGAAAACATTTCAAGTAGGAAGCAAGCCTAAATGTAAACGCCTTGACAGCGCAAGGCCATTATAATGGCTCATGCCAATGAAAGAGTGACATCCAATTCAAGCCTGCCTAATGGGAGCCATCTGGGGGGCCATGGATCAAGGCATGCAAGAGGAAGTGTGCTTAAAGGAAACACTATCACACAGTAAACAGGGGCTCAGAATCCAACTCTGCAGGAAAAGTAGTGGACTATTGCATGTCATGGAGTGTGCAGCATGCTCTGCTAGGAGCTGTGGAAAGATTCAGAAGCAGGAGTGTGCACAAAATGATTCTCGTTATGATTCTGTTTATGTATGAAGTGAGGTTATTTGGGTGATTTTTCATGGAGAAAGTGAGTTTTTGAATGTTCAAAATATGGAGACACCTGGTTTGTGAAGCAAGGAAAGGTTATTTCAGCCTTGTTATTTGGAGTGGACAGGAGAGCTAGATGTGGGGGGGCGGGTATATGCTGCAGGACTACTACCAATCACAGAGGCAAAAGGATATTTGTTAAAATCAATGCTGTCCAAGTGAAAAAAGTTAAACATGCACATGGAAGAATTCAGATAAAACGGTACTGGGCTGGGCACGGTGGCTCACACCTGTAATCCCAGCACTTTGGGAGGCTGAGGCGGGTGGATCACTTGAGATCAGGTGTTCAAGACCAGCCTGATCAATATGGTGAAACCCCTTCTCTACTAAAAATACAAAAATTAGCTGCACGTGGTGGCATGCGCCTGTAGTAGCAGGTACTCGGGAGGCTGAGACAGGATAATTACTTGAACCTGGGAGGCGGAGGTTGCAGTGAGCTGAGATCAGCCACTGAGCTCCAGCTACTCGGGAGGCTGAGACAGGATAATTACTTGAACCTGGGAGGCGGAGGTTGCAGTGAGCTGAGATCGGCCACTGCGCTCCAGCCTGGGTGACAGAGCGAGACTCCGTCAAAAAAAAACCAAAAAACACCAAACAAAAAGGTACTGAAAGACTACAGTGAAAAGTTCTTCTCCACCACTCTGCTCCCATAGTCCCATTCTCTTTATGACTGTATGTCATCTTCCAAATAGATTATTTGCATATTCAAGCATGAGTGCATATTCCCTTTTTGTTCCTTACAAGTGGGATCATTAATCAAGGCACACCTTGCATTTGTTTACTCAACAATGTATTTGAAATATTCTTCCATCTCAGGATAACTATGTTTACCTTATTTATTTTATTATAACTCAATATTCTATTGCATAGCTGTGCCAAAATTCCTTTACTCATCCCCTTATTAAATGGGGATTTGGGAGACAGACACGGTGGTGGCACACGCCTATAGTTCCAACTACTAGGGAGGTTGAGGGAGGAGAATCCCTTGAGGCCAGGAGTTCAAGGTCAGCCTGGTCAACATAGCAAGACTCTATCTCTAAAAAAAATGGAAGCAAATTTGGGCTATTTCCCATCTTTTGCTACTACGGAAGATGCTATTTAAAAAAATCCTGGTAACAAAGGCCTGGTGGCTCATTTGTAGTATGCCTGCCCCTAGCCTTGAAGTTGCCTTCAAAACACTTTTCTAACATGCTTTCCTTTCCCCACAGCGACTTATACTGTGGAGCAATGGAATTGGAGCAATGGAAACCTCTAAAACACTTAATTCGTTTAACATCCGCTCCTCAAACCCTGCTTGGGCATTACTCTTCTCCAAATTTTGATGGAGTAGAGTTAGCAGAACTCTGAACTTAATGGTGAGTCAGGCTGTGTGTGAGTCATTTCTTAACCTGTGGCAAACAGCTTTTTGGTACTTCTGTTTAACCCAGGTCTTCCAAGCCTTCTATCCTGCCATGCAAGACTTCTTTGTTTTCACCCTGAAAACCTTTCAGTTTGTTTAAACCGAGTTTGGATTTAAAGCTGTGCATTGCCTGCACTACTTAAAAGAGAGGGGGAGGGGGAGGCCAACATCAACAAACATCGATTGAGCCGCTATTATAGACAAGACTGAAAAAACAAAGAGGCATGAGACTTAGCTCCTGCCTTCAAGGATATAAACATAAAAAGACAACTAACAAGCATGTGCTAAGTGCCAAATGAATGGTATTGACAGTAAAAGCTGTGGAAGTTAAGAGCAGAGAGTGAAAACTAGTTCCAGAGAGTTAGTTTATACAGCACACTGTGCCACACACATTTAACTAATCCCCACAGCATCCCTGTGTCTTCATATCCTGACTATAAAGTATAGAAAGCCCTCTGGGGGAGACCAGGAGAATTAACCACTAGCTGTAAAACACCTGTGTAAAGACACTGGGTTGCCTAGATACTACACATTAAAAACCTCCATATAACGATATGGAAAAAAGGAGGATCATTTTAAGCTCAGAAGTCAAGATTCCACATCCCAAACTACCTGTCCTATTTGGCCTTTATTTTTTTTTCTTAAAATACACCTTTATTGCACAATAAAAATCAATATCTGTGCTGTACAAAATAAAATCCATTAAAAAAATCAAATGTCTACCTTGAAAACATTACACAAAATGAAATAAGCCAGATACAAAAGGACAAATATTGTATGATTCCACTTACATGAGGGATCTAGAATGGATAAATTCATAGAGATAGAAAGTAGAGTAGTGGTGATCAGGGGCTGGAGGAAGAGGGAGTGGGAAGTTAGTGTTTAATAGTACAATTTCTGTTTGGGATGATGAAAAGGTTTGGAACTAGATAATGGTGATAGTTGTATAATATTTTGAATGTACTTAAAGCCACTGAATTGTACACTTAAAAATTGTTAAAATGGTAAATTTTGTTACGTATCTCTTACCACACACACACACACACACACAAACACACATGCACACACACAAAAGCTAATAACCCTTAGGCTTAGTGTCAGGAGACAATGCCAGTGATAGGGGTTGCAAGAAGGCAGAACCCATGTGAAAGGGGCAGCCTGATCACCACTACAGGGAAATGCAGGCCAATGTGACCACAGCTTCTGATTTTTCAAGAGAAACCAGAAGTCAAATGTTTTTAATATAAAATCTCCAGTGTTTCATGTTGCCAACTAATAAATGTCTTAATTAAAAAATCTTCCCTTTGTGTGCAATATTTTTGTCCAACGTACAGGAAAAGTAGGAAGGAGTGTATAGCTTATGGTCTATTCCCAATCCCTGGCCAGATTCTTCTTGAAGGAAAGATGATAAAACCATAGTGCTTTGCATTGAATGGCATTCTCCCCCACTTACCAAGTGAACCAGGAATATGGAATGTGCACATCTTCCTCTAGTTGCCTAGTGAACAACTAAATGATTTAAATGCATTTATGAACAAAAGCAGAGGCAAGCACGTATACGAGAAAAAATAAATCTTAAAGATTTATGTCTCTATACATAACTGTCCCCCTTAATTCCTCCAAAGACAAACGTTGAGAAACAGCCTTCTCCAGGACACCTCCAAAAGTCAGCCTCCTATTTATTCATAAGGACACACTAGCCCTGTACATGCAGAAGCCAGCTGATCAGAAAATAGCAGGTTTATCTGAACAGGAAAGGAACAAAGGGACACATATGCAATACACGACTTCAGTTAAATGCTCTTCCTTCTGGATTCCCTCCCTCCCCCCTTCCACCCTTCCCAACCACACACACACACACACACACAGCATGCACACACAGTCCAGACACAGGAAGTTTGAAGCCCGATCCATGTGTGGAAAACAGCAATGTGGGAATTCAGGAAACAACACCAGAACTGTGCTCCAAGGCCAAGACCTGCTCCAGCATTTGGGAGCCAAGTTGCTCCTGGGGTATTTGTGGGCCCCAGCATTTTGGAAGTAAATCGGCTGTAGAAAAATAAAGCTGCCTACAAGTCTATTCCCCAAACACCTCCTAAGGTCTTGTTTGAGTAACCTGGGCTCGCCTCTTTATGATTTATGCAGGGCTTCACTTCAGCTTAACTAAATACCATATCTCCTTCAGCAGCTTGAGTTTCTGGAAAGGCCCAGACTGTCCATACTTCTCAGTAGGGTTTATTTGCAAATTCCTAGGTTAGCCGGAGCAAGAGGGAAGCAGGGAGGCTGAGGAACGTACATCAGTCTGTACCCTGAAAGGTGGTGGGCTGAGAGGGAAAATATAATTTAGTCAATGGTAAAAAACAAACCTCTGAAAGCAAGTCAGAGGAAAATCAAATTCCTGAGCCAGTAAACACGTTAAATGTACAGAGTTAGCAGGATTTAGAGGAAGTTCATCCTCTGACATTACCCTTTGCAAATAAACTCTTGATTGATTCAGAGCTCTCTCTGTTTCTGTAGTTGCCAGAGTGTCTGAGAGTTGTTATCCCAGTTGGAGGAGAAGAAGGCTGTGACTGCAGTAGAGATTTATCTTCTCTGGCTCGCTGCCCCACTTTAGGAACTCCAGGGAGAAGGTAGGTCAATGCCATTCCAGTGTGATTTAAGGCAGGCCCACCTTGCAGGCCCAAATCAGCCTTCTCTTCAGGTCTGCCACTGTCCTGTGAAATTCACACAGGAAAGACCCTTGTTAAAGTGCAAATATTAACCTGGGAAGGGTTAAATAGTAAGCCATCCTTGGTGTGCTCTGTGGAAGGGGTATAGACTTTTGGAGTCACCCAAGCCTAGATTCAAGTCACAGCTCCACTACTTACCAATGAGGCAGATTCCTTAACCAGCCTGAACTGCCATTCCCTCATCTGTAAAATAGGGATAATAATTTTTCCACCATAAGGGTTTCTTTGATAATTAAATGAAATAACACATTTAGAGGTCCTATCATGATGTCTGGCATATAGTAGTCCCTTAACACAGTTTATTTCTTCATGCCCCTCCATTCATTCTTCTTAGGGCATTCAAGGGTGTAGGACAGTGGGTTTGCTTGGTGGCTTATAGAGCTTAAAAGCACCTAGCTGTAAGGCCCTCGCAATCACTCTTCTCTACTAAATCTGCTCCACAGGGCAGTGCGAGGCTAAGCTATGGGCTTCCGCACCAAAAGGACTTAGTTTCATAGTCTTCATTCTATTGCTCACTAGCTATGTGACTTCAGGCAAATTTTGAGTATCAGTTTCCTCATTTGTAAAATGACAGCATCTATGTCAGAGGATGGTTGTAAAGGTAAAATGACAGTTGTATACAAATATTAGCTGATATTATTACTTGTAATATTTTGTACAATGGACTGACCAAAGTTTACTTTTTTCTACCAGCAGTTTCTGATTTAAACCAGGGAATGGTTTTTTTTTTTTTTTGGACAGAGTTTCACTCTTGTTGCCCAAACTGGAGTGCAATAATGCAATCTCGGCTCACTGCAACCTCCACTTCCCAGGTTCAAGCAATTCTCCTGCCTTAGCCTCCCGAGTACCTGGGATTACAGGTGTGTGCCACCAAGCCTGGCTAATTTTTTGTATTTTTAGTAGAAACGGGGTTTCACTATGTTAGCCAGGCTGGTCTCGAACTCCTGACCTCAGGTGATCTGCCCGCCTCGGCCTCCCAGAATGCTGGGATTACAGGCGTGAGCCACCGCGCCAGGCCAGTGAATGGTTTTAGTAAGAGTGTTGAACACCCTTAAGCAAACAACAGTTATATGTCCCTGGCTTCCTGATCTTGGCTAGGGAATTTGGGGTGGTATGGGGCAGTCGTAGGCATCTCAGTTCTAGGTGTTGGACCTCCTGCCTCCAAGATTCTCACAGGGGTTTGGCAGGATGTAAGTGGAAAGACAGACTCCTGGGAGGTGCTGCTGCAGGAGATTGCGAGATAATAGAACATGTGCGCTGTGAGCATGGGCCTGGGAGACTCAGGCCTACCGCTCTTTTAATTCCACACTTTTCCCCTGCCTTAGAACCCTTGTGCACGCCACTCCTTCTGCATACCCCATCTTCGGCCCCACTCTCTTCCCACTCTTCGCCTCATGAATTCAATTCATTTCTCAGGCTTCAACTTAAATATCATCTTTTCAGGGAAGTATTCCCTGAGTGATAACTTACACTCCCTTCTCTTGTTTATCTTTAAACATTTATGTGAATTGTGCATTCTACATGATAAACTATATTGGAAGTGGTTTTAATATAAAATAATATTGAAAATATTTAATATGTAAATTATTTAACTTTGTTTCCCAGTCTAGAAAATTTCAGGTCCAGGAAGAAGCTTCATGCGTACCCTGCAGCTCTGTACACCCCCCGGCACCCCTTTCCTACCCCCTAAGGAATTCATAGTTTTTAGAATTATTCCTACACTAGGTGAGGGCATTGAACTAGATGATCTTCAGGGTTCCTTGCAACTGTTAACTGCTAACAGTTGTCAGAATGCTGACAAGTTTTCTGAATGCTGGAGTGGGAAGCTGTAGCTGCAGTGGCATCCTCCTGCCCCCCAGTTATTTGATCTTGGTGTAAAATGGGGAGTTTTGAAATATATCTAGGAAATGTGGGTGTGAATGCTTTAAGCAAAAGGTGGAGTGTTTATGTGGTACTAGCAAATGAGAAAGACAGTGCAGGCATGAGTGCTAGGGAGTAAAGTGTGACTGGCTGGCTCAATGCCTGTGATGGCAAACAGACAGTTCCAGATGACTTAACAGATGTTGTCACTTCCTGTTCTCCCATCAGAACTGTGAAGTAGGACTAGATTTACCAAAAGTGAGCCAAGTATAGTGGAAGAAACAAAGATTTTAAATCAAATAGAACTGGACTAAATTCCCCACATACAGCTGGTTGTGTGACCCTGTGTAAATCACTTAACTTCTCAAGTCTCAATTTTCTAATTGATTGGTCGAACAAATGTGTATTGTGCATCCACTATGTGTTAAACACTTTCTAAGCACTTGGGCACACATTGGTGAATAAAATAGGCAAAATTCCTGCCCTTATGGGACTTATGCTTTGGAGGGATATGGGAATAGTGGGTAGATATTTAAGATCTGTGATGATTCATGATATCCTTACAGTCCTGGAATTGGATAGGTACTCGATAAATACTGGCTGTTACTATTATTATATTTTAATAAAGCAATTACCGTCTGTTAAAACTCAGGTGAAACTGGGTAATTTCTGTGCAAGGGACAGTAAGTGGCTTGAAAAAAGTACTTGAGATTCTTGCAATATAGTAATAGCAGGTGGCTTGCACGGGTTTTTCCATTCTAAGTACCAGTACTTTTTTCTACTATAGTTTCCTTAGTAGCAATCCCTCCTGAGGTAAAATGTAGCCCAGGATGGCTCTGAACAGTAGGCTTAGTGTTTATTTGGATAAACTTTCCTGCTTCATTATCTCCAGGAGATCAAAGAGTATGCATCTGGATTAATGACATTCCCCTACAACCACTCCCACCATACTCTTACCTGGATGACATTAACCAATTGAACTTTTAACATAAATTCTATGTCCCACTCCTCTAGTTCCATAGCCCCCTTTCTAGAAGCATAGTGTGTCAGAATGGGGGAAGGAGAAGATGCTGCTCATATTTTTTTATGGTTCGTAGTATCTAGTTTGATTTTTTTCAGTTGCAGTTTTTACCTTATTGCAGAACAACAGAACTGTGACTATGTTTCACACTTTATGTGGTTAAATTTCACCAAGTGCCATGTTTCATATACTATCACATTTCCAGCATTTTAATTACTGTTTCCCGTCTACCCCAGGGTTGGAGCAGGCATTAGCTCAAGGTGTTCAAGGAGAGATAGTGTTCCTTGGGCTAGCTGCACATGTCCCCCTAGCTTCCTTTCTCTAGATTTCAGTTCTCATTCTAGTTCCTATCTCTATCAGATTACTTATCACATTGTTTTGTAACAATTTATTCTCTGTATTGCCAACTAAGCCGTAGGTGCCTCCTATATCATAGACAGTGTCTCAATTCACTGCTGTATCCCCCACACCTAGCACAAACTGTATCTGGCATGTAGTGGGTACCCCGTAGTTGTTTGTTGGATGAAGGAAACATGTATTTTATGATGCAGGCTTTTGTGTAAATGAATTCTTTATCATCCTTTTAGATACCCCATCCTACTTTGTGTTTAAGTCCAAAATCAAAGCTATTTTTTTGTATATATATATTTTTTCATAGAGATGGGGTTTCACCATGTTGGTCAGGCTGGTCTCGAACTCCTGACTTCATGATCCGCCTGCCTCGGCCTCCCAAAGTGCTGGGATTGCAGGCATGAGCCACCGCGCCCGGCCAAAGCTATTTTTTTCTAACATCTGTAGTCAAGTCATCAGGCAAAGTCATTGCTCTTCTAGAGTATTCCTCTGCCTTAGATGAAAACCCCTACAAGCCATCCTAACTGTATCTCAGTAGCTTTCCCAGGTAGCCCTCAAATTTTTTTTAATTTTAATTTTTTTTTTTTTGTAAACTCAACTCTCTGTTTCCTTGGAACACAGACTCTGGAATCAGAACTGTTTTAATTTAAAAGCCTTTTAAACTTCCAGGCCTCTGAAAGCCTTGTTTTTCCTGACTCCACCGTCCTTATCTTTCCATTATTCATCTGCATTCCACTCACTCTTAACTCCCAAGAGGGTCACCTATCCTAAAAATGTTGTTATTTGCCAATCATTTCCCACCTTGGTGTAAAAGTAGCATTGGATTTGGAGGATACTTGACTGTAGTGTTGCAATCTACAAGCTGTGCACACTTGGGCAAGCATCTTAACCCTTCTGAGTCTCAATTTCCTTGTCTGTTAAAAATGAGAGAATAACTGCTGTCATGTCTTGGTACCTCACTGGCTTGCAAGCTTTAGATCAAACAATGGTTGTGAAAACAACTTAGAAACTGAAATAGATGGTTATTTTCAGGACACCTGTGGTTAGCATGGTTACCACCCACACTAACGCTTCCTCCCCCCATTAGGCACCAAGCATTGATTCCTTCTTAAACACTCTAGCCCTGGGCTATCGGTGGGTGGGGAAAGCATTGTTCTTCCTATCTTCTTGACATGTTGATCTTGGCTTAAGACTTGTTGCCCTTAGGTCTTTTCAATCAGTATCTAGGGGGAGCCACTCCCTTGGCTTCTCAAAAGCTTCTTGTCAGGTGCTCTTTAGATACTATGTAGCTTCTACCTTCAGGCCAGCTTTGTCCTGTCTAGTGAAAAGTGGTTATTGTGGGGGAAGGGGAAAAGGGAACATTTCCAACCTCTTCCTCCCTTGCACCAGAACTCCCAGGGTCCCCAGACTCCAATTTTTCAGGCATAGTTTCTTTACATCCATCAGAGTCTACCCTATAAGATATTTTAGACTGATCCCAGGCAGGTAAGTTACATTTTGCAGAGATTTCACTTATTCCCAAAGTGGTGTCAGCTGGTTGGTAATTACAAAACCCAGGACTTCCCCCGCCTTTGTGGTCAAAAAACACTCTCAGCGTTTGCCTCTCTCCTTGACCCCAGCTTCCAGACTGCTTTCGAGTCTGCACTGAAATCTCCTGAGGGAGTTCCCCAGCTTTAATTTGGCCAGATGCTCAGTGTCCTGCTCAAATTGCACTCAGCATTTTTTTTTTTCACTTTGAATAGCTTTTGCACAGACTGTTAGATTCACTCAAACCTGCCCCCGTCTTGAGCTAGTTCTTCCTGCTGGAAGTAGTTGTCTTATTGCAGGCTGAGGAACCCTGATTAGTTTATTGCCAGGTTTAGTCTTTTCCTCATTCAGAATCCTCTTTATATTTATCATAGAGGGCTTCCACCACTGGCTTTGCATAGTTGATCTTTTTGCAGTAGGTGCTCGGTAAGTATTCCTCAAGTTGAAATGGAATTGGAATTTAACACAAAAAATCACCATCTTCTGGAGCAAGACTGGGGAAATTACTGTCCACCAGTGGCTGGTTTTTGCGAAACCTCAGCTCTCCCTCTCTATATGTGTGTGTGTGTGTGTGTGTGTGTGTGTGTGTGTATACACATTTTTAAAGGGTTGTTAAAAGAAACAAAGATTATACAACAGAGACTAGATATGTAGCTCACAGTGCCTAAAATATTTACTGTTTGGTTCATTACAGAAAAAGTGTGTTGACTTCTAGAGTTTTCCTTAGTATCCAAAAACAGAGTTTGAAGCAGTTTTAACCCTATCACCTTCTCTTCCAAGGTTACAGGAAACTTCTGACTTTTATCGCCCCATTTTACCATCTCTATCTATCCCTTGCATTCAGTTTCCAGTCTAGCCATGGAGAGTTTAAAAGGTTTCTGTTCTACCTCCTGAACTCACATTTCATTTCTTTCCCAGCAAGTAACTTCCTTCGGTAAAACCAGCTCCCTGCTCCCTCCCCTCCTGCCTCTAATTAATATCCTTTTGGCTTTTGTGGACACTTCGGAAAGTGAGAGCTCCTTGCTCATTTTCACAGTCTCAGAAAAATGCTCAGGGTAATTTGAAGACAGAGCAGATGTTAAATATGGGGAGATTTTTGTGGACGACTAAACCATGGAGACACTTAAAATCCCCCTGCAAATGGAGACTAACTCTGTTTCACCCACAAGGTGATTTATTTCCATAGCTCTTTGGAAGAAGGCAGGATCAGTTTACTAGGGCTCAGCTTACTCAGCAGAAGGGCTAATCTCCTCTGTTAAAATGTATTTTCTGCTGAATTTAATCTTACTCTCATTGGTTTTCCTTGTGCACTACCTTCCTAGTTACCAGGGTAGGCCACACCTAAAGAATGTTGCCAGACTCAAACAAAGAACATTAGCTATTAGTCCAAACACAGATACTTACTGAATAACTGTTAAATACCTAGCATGTGATTGGTGCCATGTAGGGTACAAAGAAGTCTAAAATTGGACTCCAAACCTCCAAAAATTCCAGTATAGCTGGAGAGACAAAATGTTTAAATAACTATGCAAGGGGTTCTATAATACAATCCTGATGAGTGAATGGCTTTAATTTAATATTTATTATTAATTAAATATTAATTTATATTTAATTAATATTAAATATTTATGTATATTAAAAAATATAAAACTGTTACTTTATTCTGAATAAATGGTCACTGCAACCATGCCTTTTGTAATAGAGAAGAGAGAGATCATTATGAGCTTTGAGTATCAAAGAAGGTACATAGTAGGTGTTCAATGCAGATTCTTTGAATGACTTTATGAAGAGAGGTTGGGAAAAGCTTTCCAACCTCATAGAATAATAGCATTACCAAAGGCTTATAATCAGAAAAAGTTTGGTTTGTTTGCAATACAAGTGAGCAGCCCGGCCTGGTTGGAGCAGATAATTTGTTAGAGGTTAGGAAAAGTTAAATTCAGCTCTGTAAGTTAGGACCAAATTTTTGAGGAACTTGAATGCCAACTAGAGCAATTGGAACTTGTTCTTTCAGAGGTTTTGGAGACTGATGGGAGTGGTATTTTACAGAGCACCCTGGTGGTGGTTCAGAATGGTTTAGAGGGTGTATAAACAAGAGGCTGGGAAGACTTTATAGACCATTAAGAACCAAGAAGACTAACGCCAGGAGTATACAATATCTTATTTATTCTGTTCGTTCTCCTTGGTGCATACATGCTATTGTGTCCGGAACTGGTGGGTTCTTGGTCTCACTGACTTCAAGAATGAAGCCGTGGACCCTCGCAGTGAGTGTTAACAGTTCTTAAAGGCGGCGTGTCTGGAGTTTGTTCCTTCTGATGTTGAGATGCGTTTGGAGTTTCTTCCTTCTGGTGGGTTCGTGGTCTTGCTGGCTCAGAAGTGAAGCTACAGACCTTCGCAGTGAGTGTTACAGCTCATAAAGGCAGTGTGGACCCAAAGAGTGAGCAGTAGCAAGATTTATTGCAAAGAGCAAAAGAATAAAACTTCCACAGTGTGGAAGGGGACCCGAGTGGGTTGCCTCTGCTGAATCCGGCAGCCTGCATTTATTCTCTTATCTGGCCCCACCCACATCCTGCTGATTGGTAGAGCCGAGTGGTCCGTTTTGACAGGGCGCTGATTGGTGTGTTTACAATCCCTGAGCTAGACACAAAGGTTCTCCACGTCCCCACCAGATTAGCTAGATGAAGAGTGTAGACACAAAGGTTCTCCAAGGCCCCACCAGAATAGCTAGATACAGAGTGTCAATTGGTGCATTCACAAACCCTGAGCTAGACACAGGGTGCTGATTGGTGTGTTTACAAACTTTGAGCTAGATACAGAGTGCCGATTGGTGTATTTACAATCCCTGAGCTAGACATAAAGGTTCTCCACCTCCCCACTAGACTCAGGAGCCCAGCTGGCTTCACTCAGTGGATCCCGCACAGGGGCTGCAGGTGGAGCTGCCTGCCAGTCCCGCACCTCCACCGGCACTCCTCAGCCCTTGGGTGGTCCATGGGACTGGGCGCCATGGAGCAGGGGTCGGCGCTCATCGGGGAGGCTCCTGCCGCACAGGAGCCCACGGAGCGGGTGGGAGGCTCAGGCATGGCGGGCTGCAGGTCCCGAGCCCTGCCCCGCGGCAAGGCAGCTAAGGCCCGGCAAGAAATTGAGCACAGCAGCTGCTGGCCCAGGTGCTAAGCCCCTCACTGCCCGGGGCGGTGGGGCCGGCCGGCTAGTCCCAGCGTGGGGTCCTCCGAGCCCACGCCTACCCGGAACTCATGCTGGCCGGCAAGCACCACACGCAGCCCCGCTTCCCGCCCATGCCTGTCCCTCCACACCTCCCCTCAAGCTGAGGGAGCCGGCTCCGGCCTTGGCCAGCCCAGAAAGGGGCTCCCACAGTGCAGCGGCGGGCTGAAGGGCTCCTCAAGTGCTGCCGAAGTGGGAGCCCAGGCAGAGGAAGTGCTGAGATCGAGCAAGGGCTGTGAGGACTGCCAGCATGCTGTCACCTCTCACTATTTAACTAGCGAGAAAGACTGACAAATACAAAGTTTGACTTCCTTGAGTCTTTTACCATCCTCTGAAAAATACCTTAACTGCTGTATATGTCAGATTTTGCAGCCAAATCGACACACCCATGCTGGGTTAAGAGCAGCTAGACTGTGCTGGTAGTGCATATTCAGCAGGTGGCAGGACCATGAAAGTGTTTTAAAGATACCTGGAAGTTTCTCTCCCTTAAAAATGCCTCTGGTAGCTGCTCTTGAAGATTCAGAAGCCAAAGATGTCTTATGGCCTCAAAGAATGACAAGTGAACATGGTGGCTAATAATTCCAAAATCAATACCACCTGCTAGATCTCTTACAAGATCCATGTATCAAGCTGCCTACTGGAACCCTCTGAATGTTTGATAGGCACCTCAAATTAGAATGTATAAAACCAGACAGGTGCTAGTTTCAACATTTCAACATTTCTGAACATCTGAAGTCCCAGCTACTTAGGAGGCTGAGGTGGGAGTATTGCTTGAGTCCAGGAGTTCGGGGCCATAGTATGCGATGCTGATTGGGTGTCCACACTAAGTTTGGCATCAATATGGTGACTTCCCAGGAGTTGGGGACTACCAGGTGGCCTAAGGAGGGGTGAATCAGCCCAGGTCGGAAATGAAGCAGACCAAAAACTACTGTGCTGGTCACTAGTGGGATCACGCCTGTAAGTAGTGGGCAATATAGAGACCTGGGCAACATAGAGAGACCCTGTATGAAAAAAAAAAAAGAATATATAAAAACCAAACATATAATCTGCCTCCATCGCTACCCATTAATCTGTTATGCCTCTGTCTGTATGCCTCATCTCCATGAATGGTACCACTAATTGCCTAGTTACCCAGAGAGGTCACAAAACACAGATTTACAAAAATCTTTCCCTCCTCCTCACCATGCACAATCAATCATTAAAATACCTCAGAGCTTTGAGATATTTTACAGATTTGAGATATTTTACTGATTGATTAAATATGGGTGGTAAGGAAGAGATATTGATTGAATATTTTAGTGATTGATTAAATCTTGCCACTCCTCCATGTACAGGGCTTAAGTAGTGCCCCATATTCCTCTCGAGGTAAAACCCAGACTCCTTAGTTTGGTTCACAAGCCTTCTAGCATATCTCACTTTTCTTTCCAACTCATGCCTTGTGTTCCATTCACACAGAACAGCTACTCCTTCCTTAAGTGCCTGCTCATGCCCCAGTGCCTTAGCACATATTGTGTGCACACTCTCTCTCTGGAAATTCTTACCTCTTCTTTGCTTCTTTATTTACTACTTGTCATTCAAGATAGCTTAACCATAACCTGTTTGAGAAACCCTTCCTGAACCCTCCTAGTGTGGGTCAGATGTTCCTCTGTGGTCCCTGTGGTACTCTAGTCATACTTTGAATAGAAAAGGAATCACATTCCATTATATTGTAATGGTCTGTTTGTCTCTTCCAAAGGAAAATGAGTTATTTGAAGGAAAGGGCCCGTGTCTTTTTTTTCTGTTAACAATATCTACATCCTTTAAAGTATTTGTAATTGGAATAGATCGGTGAATGAATTTAAACATATTCAAAGTGACATATAAAGGGATGATACCTGACCCCTTATGGAGTCAGGTACCTGACTGAGGGGAGAAGGTAGAGCATGATAGAAAATGGGTTCTCTAATCATGAATATGGGAATCAAATCAAGGTAAATACAGCCTATTTCATCAATTTGCCAAACAGCAGGTTTGGTAGGTACAGAGCAAAGAAAGCATGAAGGTGGCAGTGGACTTAAAATATGGGGAAGATGTTATTATGTGGAACATTAGGGGATGCCATGAACAGAGAAAAAGTCACACTGAAGGTCCCACAGAAACTGCCCATCATTGGAGAGGGCAAGCCCTGGCAAGATAGGAATCTCTGTTCCAAAAGAGAAACAGTCCAGCCTAACCAGGAGAAATAGCTGACTTCCTGGGAGGGTAGAGCACAACAGGATGCTGGAAGTTAACAGAAGGCTACTGCTCACCCAGGGGAAAATAGACATTGCGTATAGAAGGAAAAAGATTTTCAGACTTTCGGTCACAAGAAAGCATCTGAGTGAAAGCATCGTTAACCACCTCCCCCTTTCCCCCAACCTGAGTGACTCAGAATGAGAGTTCTTTAGACTTGGGCAAGATAAGGTATGAGATAGTCTGGTCTTGAGGCACTGCCTGCATGATATGATTTGATGGAAAATAGGTTCTAAGTTGCTAGAGGGCATGGACATACTGTACCCTTTTCGGCATCATCCCATAAGGCTCAAGGCAGAATCCTGCACATAGAAGGCATTCCTTCCATCTGTAACATGTCAAATGAGGCAGTGTGGTATAGAAGAAAGAGTACTGACTGGAAATCAGAGAGGCATGAAGAGCTTGTTCTACCTTTGACGCATTCCTGCTTTCTGCCCGTGGGCAAGTCACTTCAGTTCTCTGGCCCTCAGTTTCCTGCTCTTTAAAATGAACATGTGGGCCAGGCGCGGTGGCTCACGCCTGTAATCCCAGCACTTTGGGAGGCCGAGGCGGGTGGATCATGAGGTCAGGAGATCGAGACCATCCTGGCTATCACGGTGAATCCCCGCAGAGGAACATCTGGTCTCTACTAAAAATACAAAAAATTAGCCGGGCGTGGTGGCGGGAGCCTGTAGTCCCAGCTACTCGGGAGGCTGAGGCAGGAGAGTGGCGTGAACCCGGGAGGCAGAGCTTGCAGTGAGCCGAGATTGTGCCACTGCACTCTAGCCTGGGCGACAGAGCGAGACTCCATGTCAAAAAAAAAAAAAAAATGAACATGTGAATATCCACTTCACAAGGTCCTTGTAAAGAATACAGTAAGCTAGATTCGAGGGTTTTTTTCACCTCTAAGATATCCCACTTTAAAAATAAATGATTCTTCTGAGGGATCATATCTCAAGACATCACCGTGTTATAAGTTACCACAGCCAGCCAAAGGAAGACTATGACAAAGACCCAAGGTAAGAAGCACCTTACTAGGGTAAACAGAGGGGAGAAGGTAGAGCATGATAGAAAATGGGATCTCTAATCATGAATATGGGAATCAAATCAAGGTAAATACAGCCTATTTCATCAATTTGCCAAGGACTTCACATAATAGCAGCACAATATCGCCAAGTGATGAGGCCTAGGCTCTGTTACTGAGGTAGACTTTTAATTGGTCTTAAATATGTACACTACAGACACTCACACCATAAACCATGAGGTGAAGGCCTCATATTGTGATATAAAATGAACTGTGTATTTTATTAAATTTTGGGAATGAAACAGTGCCACAGTGTGGTCCATGTACAGAGTTTGATAAAGTGTGTGAGGAGCTACTCATTTTATAGCAGGGGAGATGTCATTGGTAATATGGCTTTACCAGGAAATATATGGGCAGGAAATAAAATGAAAGCTATCCTGGAACCTTCTCCCTTTCCCCTTCCCCATTCCCCTTCCCTTGGAACCTTAAAAAGAAGAAGGAGCTGTCTGAATGACTGTGTTCTTGGATAAATATTATGTAGAGTAGTCAGAAATGCCAGGAGACATCTTGTCTTTAAAGCACTTACATACTCTGCATACATGAGCAAATAAGACAAAAACTAGATATGGTTGCAGGTCACAGGACAGAGAAAGGCATCTGTGGGGCCCTAGAAATTACCTACTCCATCACAGAAAACTGAAGTCAGCTTTAAAGCAAGAAAATGGCCTGTCTTATCTTTGTATTTTCCCAGGGCTTAGCATAGTGCCTGGCACATGTTAGTTATTCGGTAAATGTCTTTTGGATTCCCAAGTAAGGGCTGGTATTAGTTTTCTAGCGCTGCCATAACTAAGTGAGACAAACTGGGTGGTTTAAAGCAACAGAAATTATTTTGTCACAGTTCTAGAGGCCCGAAGCCCCAAATCAAGGTGCTGGCAGGGCCAGGTTCTCTCTGAAGCTCCTAGGGGAGGATTCTTCCTTGGTTCTTCTAGCTACAAGTAACCCCAGATATTCCTTGGCTTGTGGCAGGATCACTCCAATGTCTGCCTCCATCTTTACATGGCTGTCTTCCTTCTGTGTGTCTCTGTGTCTCTGCATGGGATTCTCCTCTCTGTGTCTCTCTCTGTTTCTTCTCCTCTTCTTAAAAGGACATTAGTCATATTTGGATTAGGGCTTACCCCAGTGACCTCATCTTAACTTGATTACATCTGCAAAGACCCTATTTTCAAAATAGGTCATGTTCACAGGTACTGGGATTAGGATTTCAACACATCTTTTTAGTGACACAATTTAACCCACAGGGTCCAAATGAACCCAGGCTCCTAACAGCATTTTTTGGTTATTAAGTTTAGGGAACAATCTTTTTCCAGACCTAGCTTTGGGCTTGATCTCTATTATAGTCAAGCTCTCACTTTTTCTGTCTAACTTTCTTTGTACAATCTTTGTTTGAATGGTCATGTTTTCAATATCTTAATTTACTTGGACAAATGGCATACCCTCCCCATTGTTTAAGGTTTGTTTACTTTCTTTGTGCAAGTGTTCTTTGTTCAAATTCTTTCGGTGTAACTATGTTTATTTTCTCTAGTTTGCAAATATTGATGGTGGTGGAAAAGATGGCTCTTGAGGAAGCAAGAAGGACTGAGATGCTGATGAAGTGCAGGGAAAACGTTCCAGCCCTGTCCCTTGATTTGCTAGGCCTGGCTAGTTAGGTTGTGTTTCCTGAGATCAGCCATATCTCATCCCATATCAGGGCCTTGGGGTTGCCACCATCAGCCCTCCCTCCCTCTAGTTCAATACTTAGCTATGGGTCTATCTGAATCTGGTTCCTGATTGGTAAATTATAAAGTAGGATGAAAGTAGGGTTTCTCAACCCGGGATCCACAGACTAGCTGAAGTCTACCAAATTGTGAGTGAATATGTGTATTTGTATTAATTTACTGAGGCTGCTATAACAAATTAGCACAGAAATTTATTTTCTCACCGTTCTGGATACCAGAAGTCAGAAATCAAAGGGTCAGGAGGGTCAAGCTTCCTCCAGAGGCTCTAGGAGAGAGTCTGTTTTTTGCCTCTTCCAGCTTCTGGTAACTGCCAGAATGTCTTGACTTGTGGCTATATCACTCCAGTCTCTACCTCTATTTTCACATTGCTTCCTTCTCTTCTATCTTGCCTGTGTGTTTCTTAGAAGGACACTTGCCACCTGATTGAGGGCCCGACTGAATAATCCAAGATGATTGCCTCATCTCAAGATCCTTAATTTAATTACATCTGCAAAGTCTCTTTTTCTAAATAAGGTCACATTCACATGTTCTGGAGATTAGGATGTGAACATATCTTTCTGGGAACAACCATTCAAACCACTACCGTGTGTGTGTGTGTGTGTGTGTGTGTGTGTGTGTGTGTGTGTTTGCGGGGGGAGGGGGGGCACAGGCAGGGAAGTCTGTTTATAGATTTTTACCAGATTCTCTGGGGGCTGTGATAAAAATAAAAATTAAGAACCCATAATCGTTAAGCTCTTTTTAAGTCCAACATTCTATGACTTTGTAATTGGTGTGGTACATATGACTTGGTCTTAGTAAAATACCTTGCATGTAAGAGGTACTCAGTAAATTTGGGTAGGTTTGATTTGGCATTGGAATTATAATAATATTAATATGTAACATTATTGAGCACTTACCATGTGGTAAGCACTTTCCAAATGTCTTATGTGTGCTAATTTATTTGATCTTCACAACAACCCCATGAAGTAGCATTATCAGCCCCATTTTTTATGAAAAAGCTGAGGCACAGAGACATTAAGTAACTTGCTTAAGGTTACACAGATAATTGGTGGCAGGGGTAGGATTCTAATTCAGCCAGTCTGGCCTCAGAGTCTATGCCCTTAACTGCTATACTTTGTGAAAGTACTCAGTTTCAATTTTAAAATTTATGGAACATCCATTGTCATAAAAGACAAAGGACTGCTGTGGAAATGTTCCAGATAAAATGGGGCTAAAGAGACATGACAATTAAATGAAATACCTTATCCTAGCCTGAATCTCATATGGGAGGGGAGCAACATCCTATAGAGGGCATTATTGGGCCAATTGACAAAACTGGAAAAGAGTTAGTAGACTAGATAAAATATTGGACTGATGTTGATATTGCTGAAATTATTAACCGCACTGTGGTATGTAAGACAATATGCTCATAGCTAGGAAATATACATCAAAGCAGTTAGAGGCAACAGGCCGTGATGTATGCGATTTACTCCCAAATGATTTGGAAATTTAGATAGACAGATAAAAATGATAAAGCAAATGGGGTAAAATGTTTATAATAGGGTTATTATCATGGGTAAAGTATAGGTGAGTATTCTTTGTGCCGTTTTATTCTTGTAATTTTTCTAAGTTTGAAATTATTTCCAAACAAGACGCTCATTTTTAAAAATGTATGGATCTTTCTTGGGGAGCTGGATGGCTCCCTTTTGTTAAAATATTTACATTTGATGCTAAATGTGCAAATAACATATTTTAGCCTTCTTTTTTTTTTTTTTTTTGAAACAGAGTCTCACTCTGTCACCCAGGCTGGAGTGCAGTGACGTGATCTTGACTCAGTGCAACCTCTGCCTCCAGGGACCAAGGGATTCTCTTGCCTCAGCCTCCCAAGTAGCTAGGATTACAGGCACCCGCCACCATGCCCAGCTAATTTTTTTTTTTTTTAGTAGAGATGGCGTTTCACCATGTTGGCCAGGCTGGTTTTGAACTTCTGACCTCAAGTGATCCGCCCGCCTTGGCCTCCCAAGGTCCTGGGATTACAGGCGTAAGCCACTGTGCCCAGCCTGATTATTTTAACCTTCTTATTCAAATCTGCTAATGTTTACTGAGTACCTACTATGTGCTAGGGACAGTCACATATAATGTATTATTTAATAATCTCCCAAATACTATGCTATTTATTACCCATCCCATTTTTCTGATGAAGAAACTGAGTTTCAGAGAGGCTTGGTGACTTGCTTAAAGTCACAGGACTATTTAGTGACAGAGCTGGGATTTGAACCCAGCTCCTCTGACTCCAGGCCTCCTGCTTTTTACGTGACCCATAGCTACCTCCAGTTACAAATAGCCCATTTAAACATTTCTGAACATAAAAATCTTTATTGTTAGCCTAACTTTCTGACCCAGTGGTCTGAAGGTCAGTGGGAGGGTTTTCTCTCTTTTCTTGGCTCCACTAGTGATGATAGTCTCGGGCCGTGAGGAGCCGAAAAGGGAGGATCAGACTAAAAGAATAATGTTTCTATCTTTGATAAATGGAATTGGCATTCCCACGTGAACAGGAAATGTTGACTTGTTAATATCCTCCTTTGGGTTTATTACATGCAGTCTATTTACATCCTTTGAATATACTCAGTCAGGAGGTATTCAAGACAAGCAGCCCCATCTCAGAGAGATATCCTCTTTTCTGTTCGTCTGTCTACTGACAAAAAGTAGAGAATATTGGCCCACCGTGGTGGCTGACGCCTGTAATCCCAGCACTTTGGGAGGCTGAGGCAGGCGGATCACGAGGTCATGAGATCGAGACCATCCTGGCGAGCACTGTGAAACCCTGTCTCTACTAAAAATACAAAAAAATTAGCCGGGCATGGTGGCGGGCGCCTGTAGTCCCAGCTACTCGGGAGGCTGAGGCAGGAGAATGGCATGAATCTGGGGGTGCAGACAGAGCCTGCAGTGAGTCAAGATCGCGCCACTGCACTGCAGCCTAGGCGACAGAGCGAGACTGTGTCTCAAAAAAAAAAAAAAGTCGAGAATATTAAGCATACTGCCTAATTTTATTATATTACAACATGGCACAAACATTTAAGATTAGTTACATGTGGATTGAAATATTCTTTATGATTGGATGGACATAAACCATTGTATATATTTATTGAATGTCTATAATTTTCATAGCGCTGCAGCACTGTACAGTAGGTACAGTAGGGGTCATATGGTAGATATAGACTATGTCCTCAAAACCATACAAACTAGTTTGAAAATGAGACATAAGAGCAGAAAATATTACTGCAAGGTGATAGTTAGGAAAGGACTATATAGGCAAAAAGTGCTTCAGTGTCCAGAGGGGAGATAATCATTGTGGTCTAGATTCCTCAGGGACTGCTTTTTTTGTTTGTTAGTTTGTTTGTTTGTTTTTGTTTTGAGACGGAGTCTTCCTCTGTCGTCCAGGCTGGAGTGCAGTGGCGCGATCTCAGCTCACGGCAACCTCCACCTCCCGGGTTCAAGCAATTCTCCTGCCTCAGCCTCCTGAGTAGCTGGGATTACAGGCGTGTGCCACAATGCCCGGCTAATTTTTTTTGTATTTTTAGTAGAGACGGGGTTTCAACATATTGGCCAGGCTGGTCTTGAACTCCTGACCTTGTGATCCGCCCGCCTCGGACTCCCAAAGTGGGGAACGCTTTTTTTTTTTTTTAAATAAACTGGACCTTAAAGGGCAAATAAGATTTGGATAAGCAGAGGAAAGGCATTCCAGTGGATGGTCATTGAGGTGGGAAGGCATAGGTTTCATGAGCTAGTATTGAATCAGAATGTAAAGAGCCTTGAAATTGGTCAATGGGGGGTTATTAAAGGTTTCTGAACCAGTAAGTTGCGTAATGAAGCAGTGTTTGTAAATGTCCTGGCAACAGTGAGTAGAGAGGAATAATCATGGGTTCTCAAACCTGACTGCACATTAAAATCAACTGGGGAGATTTACAAAATATTGATGTCTGGCTCCTAACCTCAGAGATTCTGACTTAATAGTATGGGATATAGCCTTGGCCTTAAGATTTTAAGAAGATCCCCAGATATTCCTAATATTCAGCAAAGTTTGAGAACCACTGCAATCGAGAAAAGAGAGATACTGGCATGGAAACTAGCCAAAAGGCTGTAATAACACAGGGATAGTAAGAACATGAGTCCTGGGACTGCTGAGGTGGGGGACAAGGGGAATAGAGAGGAAGATTTGGATACAGGTGACATTTCAAAGGAAGAACATACTAAGCTTCAGGTTAGACTGAACACAAAATGAGAGGAAAGATTTAAATATGCTAGCAAGATTTCTGAGCTCAATGTCTTGTTCATGGGAAGCACCCAGTTAATATTTGCTGAAATAAACTGAACTTAATATGATAATATGGAGACTCATGCTCCATTAGTAGAAATCTGAATGTCAGGGGAGAAAAACCAGTTTGGATGTTGGAGGGGGATTTTATTCCTAGGCCAAGTATGAGATGACAGAAAATTATGCAAGTCATAGGGCAGTTTTGCGAGGTAGTACTGGAATTCTAAGACAAAATCAGGGCTGGAGATTGCCACTTACAAACCATCTTCATAGTTGATGGTTGAAATCCTGAGAGTGGATGATCTCATCTAGGGAAAGGAATACAGTAAGAAAAGAAGAAGATTGATGATAAAACATTAGGGAAGGCAGAGTCATGTTTTTGTTGTTGTTGTCTTTTTAATCAGTGAGAAGGTCCTGTGCATGTTAGTAAGCAAAGAGAGAGTCAAAACATCCAACAGGAGCAGGAAGAGAAGAGTTACCCAGCACTGCACAGTTATCCTGAGAAATAGAGGACAATGCCCCTCTCTTCAGGTAGGTTATGATCCAGCTGTGTAGACAAGCCATGGTACTAGCTATATTAGTCAGTAGAGTTGTCCATGCTGAATGTGACAATACGTGTTATAAATGTTCATAGGAAAGTCAGGAAGGTTGAACTTGGAGAATGGCTAGGTGTACATCATGTTTTGGGATTGGAGAGAAAGATGCTTTCATGAATTCAGAGGTAGAGAGAAGCAGAGTTTGAGAGGACAAGTGTCATCTGTTTTAAAAAGCAGGCCCCAAGGCCCATGTTTTCTTTGTTACCTTCCCTGAACACTTCAGGCCATTTCCCACTCCTGCTCTCACCAGGACCCAAACTTAATATATCGTTTTCTTTTAATCCAGCCGTGCCCTGAGTCACCAGACAGACAGAGCAATTCTCTTAATTTGCCATAGCCTAAGATTTCCCTGGGGGAACATGTAAGAAAATATTGCTGCTGTTTGAGTAGTTCATTCCTTGGAATGTGTGTGAATCGGTTGGTTAAAATAAGAAAAAAACTAGGTGAGTTTAGTCCATCTCAGAAAGATCTAAAAGTCTTTCCTCAGGGTTCATTCAAGTATTTAGTGAATGAATGTGTTTACCATGTTCAGTACTGTGTACCCAGACAAGATGTGGGACAATGGCCCAGACAATCGCTCGATATCACAGTATTACCATGGGGCAGGCCTCACTGTGCCTCTCAGAATAATCTCAAGTTGCCAACCTACTGTGCAGCATAACCTGAGACACTCCACAGGTTACTAAATCAGCTCATTATTTGTTTAGTGCCCTGCCATTTGTTTGACATTATGTAGACACAAGGCTCTATTGAATAAGGAGAGTGTATTAGCTGATAGGTCATAACTGGGACCTTGGAATTACAATCCAAACAACCTGTCACACATTTCAGTCACACGTAGCAGCAATATAATTCTGTTGCTTTGGAAAAAGTTAAAAGCTAGTTTTACAATAAGAAGACAAGCTCTTGAAAACAGGGAGGGGTGGGGTTGGGTGTGATTGACAGACTGTCATTAGTATTTGACAGATATCTATGATTGTTTTTTGTAACAGGAAAATTGGTGATTCTTAAAAGCAGTTTTAGATTCTTCTATTTTTTTTTTTAAAGAAAGCCTCTTTCTTCAACTTTTCTGTGTAGTGTCAGTAAATGAACTGTTTCCTCTCAAATCATGCATATTGCCTTGCAGCCTTCAACTGCATAGTAATATATCACAAACATTTGGATGTGGGAAGGGGAATGGCCAGAAATAACCATATAGGTCATATGGGTTTCAGATGCATCTGTTTACATACAGAGGGTTCCTACAGAAGACTGTTTCATTTCAGGGAATATTTTACCCTGATGACAAACTGTAAGTTAGTGAGTCATTTTCATGGCCTGACATTTTGCTGTTAAAGTGCTTGAGAGAGGGTGTATCGCTTTTACAGGCTGCTTGTGTCCTAAAGCAAGTTGCAGGCATCATGTATGACACAACACAGGCTGTATTGGATGCTGGACCTTTATGAGACTGGGTTTAAAATGGGAACTTGCATTTTAAAACTTTATTTAAATTACCTTGTTATAGAGTTTAAGACTAGTTGTAATAATGGGTAATTTGAGAACCACAGAATAGGATTGGTATAAATTAGTCATAATGCCTACAGTGTTACAGCTAAATATTGCCGTGATCACTTTTCCGCTAATTAAAACTCTTCATTTTCATAAATCTCTGGATTCCTATTGACACACTTATTGTATTTTCAAAAAGAATTCAGGAAGTCCTCATGTCGAGTTCCAAAAGTTTGTTTTTTTTTGAACTCAGAAACAAATTTCCTATATAAACAATGTTATAAATTATGGTGATATTCCCAAACCAGTCCACCTAAGGCTACTTAACCTATAATGTGCTTGAAGTAAAGCTTTAAGTACATCATATATAATAACATTTCTATGAAAAACAGTTCTGCAATGAGGACACATGGACATAGGGAGGGGAACATCACACCACAGGGCCTGTGAGGGTGGGGTGGGGGTCTAGGGGAGGGAGAGCATTAGGACAAATACCTAATGCGTACGGGGCTTAAAACCTAGATGATGGGTTGACAGGTGCAGCAAACCACCGTGGCACATGTATACCTATGTAACAAACCTGCACATTCTGCACATGTAACCAGAAAAAGTAAAATAAAAAAAAAAAAGAAAAGAAAAACAGTTCTGATCCAACATAGGAAGACCAGAATAAATTCCCCTTTCCTGGGGTGGCTCCCCTCCAGCACTGTTCCCTACCCTTACTCAATCCTTTATCAGGCAGGCAGTGTGAAAGAGAACAAACCCTGACTCCAAGATAGTGGTGATCTCTTCAGGAACAGGAAAAGAGAAGGAAGGCAGACACTTTTAGGCATTTGAGGCTGCTCCCACCCTTTTTCTTTTCTATCACCAGGTATTGGTCTGCCTGCTACCCTGAGAACACACAGTTTCTTTAAGGATTTTTGTGGGTTTTTATTGATAGTAGTAGTGAAAATAGGGATAAAAATTCTCAGATCTGTGCTTCCACTTCTATACATTCATTTACTTACTCAACAACCATGTATTAATCAATTCCTATGTAGCAGGCACCATGCTTTAAACCCTGGGGATATAAACATGAATGAGCCCTTGAGGTCCTCTCAGTCTACTGAGGGATGCAGACATAAACAAACCATTGCAATACCGCATGCTACCTGCAGTGATAGAGTGCTCTACCAGGTAGAGCGGTGATACAAAAGAGGCAGTGTTCTGCTTGGTCAAAGAAAGCTCCACAGAGCAGACACTAAGCCTAGTCTTGAAAGATGAGGTGTTCAGCAGGCATACAAAGGATTCTGAGAAGTCATTTTAGGCAGAGACAAGAAGTCATGAAATACCACATTTTGAAAAGAGCAATGTGGTGTGGCTTGATCAGAGGTACAAAATGGGGCAGTGTTAAGAGATGGAGCTAGGTAGGGGCTTTAGTTAAAGAGCCTTGCATGTCAGGCTGAAAACTTGGCATTTTATCCTATAGTGATTAATGGGGAGTACTGTGGTCAGATTTACCACTGCAGTGGCAATATGGAAAATAGGTTAAGTGGGGGACAAAGGGTAAGCAGACTTTTAAGCAGGACAAGAGGAAGGGAGAGACATGTTTTCATTTATTTATTTTAATTTTAATTTTTAAAATTGCTAATTGGGGTAAAATACATATAATGCAAAATTCACCATCTCAACCATTTTTAAATGTATAGCTTAGAGGTGTTAAGTACATTCACATTTTTGTGCAACTGATCTCCAGAACTCTTTTCGTCTTGCAAGCCTAGATAGAAGTCTATACCCATTAAACACTAACTCAATGCTTCCTCCTCCCCATGTCCCCTGGTAACCACCATTGTATGTTCTGCCTCTGTGAATGCTCCAGGTATGTCACATAAGTGGAATCACACAGTGCTTTTTTTCTTTGTGATTGGCTTATTTAGTTATTATAATTTTTAAAATGAGGGTAATTTAAGTTTGCGGCTTTAAAAATTCCAAATAACACCAAAGTGTATAAAATGAAAAGAAAAAGTCTGGGATGGATGTCGGCTTTGCTAAAGAAATCTTTGACATCTATTTAGAAACTAACATTTACTGAGTATATGCCAAATGACAGTGCGTTGAGTGTTTTACATGTGTAATTTACCTCTTAAAACATAGGCCATGTCATTTACTCATCATACTTTATCACTTAATCATCGACAGTCCCCAAGGAGAGGAATCTGACAAGAATTAAGCAAGAGGTCAGGGTTAATGCCATAAAGACTGGAATGGAGAAAAGAGTTTCTGTGCCAGTGAGAGAACAGGAGTGTGCTCTGGAAACAGGAAGCCCAGCCTCTATCAGTGAACTCAGCACAGCAAGGCCTGGGGAGGGTGTGTAACCTATCCTCTAAACTGTATTTCATGGAAACATACTGGTTTTCTGTAGTATGTTAGCACATAGTCATCAAAAACAAGCAAGCAAAAAAATTCCTGGTCAAATGGATTTGAAAACAGTTCATAGTAGATGCTTCTCCTAAAGATTTATAGCACATAAGCTTGTTAAAATCTCTGAGAATTTAATAAGTAATAAACCTGTTGAACACTTATTATTTATTTATTTATTTTTATTTTTGAGATGGGCCCTTGCTTTGTTGCCCAGGCTGGAGTGCAGTGGCACAATATTGGCTCACTGCAGCCTTGACCTCCTGGGCTCAAGCTATCGCCCACTTCAGCCTCTTTAGTAGTTGAGACTATAGGCATGCATCACCATGCCCAGCTAAGTCTCATATTTTTTTGCAGAAATGGGGTCTCACTATATTGCCTAAGCTGGTCTTGACAATAGACCTGGGTTCAAGCAATCCTCCTGCCTTGGCCTCCCAAAGGGTAGGGATTACAGGCATGAGCCACCGCACCTGGCCCTATTGAACATTTAAACCACTATTTCCCAGATATTTTGACCACCATATATATTTTCTTTTCTCCCTAGCAATATCTATCTATCTATCTATCTATCTATCTATCTATCTATCTATCTATCTATCAATGTGTGGTGGGACTCTAGTGTTCTATAAAACACAGAAGCACAGTGTGTAGGTAGCGTCTTGGCTTGGTTATAGCAACCACATGCCACGGGCCTCCCATGCAATGTTGGTAACATCCCATGAAACCTAGAAAGACTAGGTATTACATGGTATATTTTTGGTGCTTAGAGTATGGTATGGTATTTTGGAGTTGACATCTGAATTCCTTACAAGGTAAGAAACCTGACATTAGAAGGTTAAATTGACATTTCTGGAGTTCTTTATAGAATTGATGCTCCCACTAGATCTGTCCAGAATGTGATGTTCTATTCACTCAAGCAATAACATTGGAGTACATCCCATTATTGCTAAAGTAGACTGATAACCACACACTCTTCTAGTACATAATGAAATACAACTTTCATGAATTTCTGAAAGACTTCAAGGCTGTTATGGATAGTACAGTGTCTGAACTGGTGCACATTGTATTCAGTCTGGAAGGTAGTTTTCTTCTAATCTTCCTTTCATGTTTATATCAATTTGAATGTCTTTCAGAGACCTAGGTGAGAGGAAATGTAGTCTAAGAAGTCATGGATAAGAAATATCAGTTATCTATCCTGGAGAGTGATGACATTAAAGTCTCAATAATACTTATGAAACTGCAGTGGGAAGTAGGAAGTGGTAGACAGTTGTACCTAGTCTTTCTAGGTTTCATAGGATGTTACCAGCATTTCATGGGAGCCCTGTGGCGTAATGGTAAGAACACAAGCTTTGGAGTCAGATAGACCTAGGCTAAATTCCAACTCTGCAAATAAAAATTTATGTTATCTTAGCAAATTATTTAAAATATTGTAACAATATTGATCTAAATAGGATTATTGTCACATAATGTATCTAAAATACCTGGCATGATGCCATGCACACAATAATAATAATGAGAGAACCATTGGCTCTCATTATTATGAGAACATTTAATATGTGCTGATTGTGTGGCCGGATGCTGTGGCTCACGCCGGTAATCCCAGCACTTTGGGAGGCTGAGGTGGGCAGATCACAAGGTCAGGAGATCGAGACCACCCTGGCTAACACAGTGAAACCCCGTCTCTACTAAAAATACAAAAAATTAGCCAGGCGTGGTGGTGGGCACCTGTAGTCCCAGCTACTTGGGAGGCTGAGGCAGGAGAATGGCATGAACCCGGGAGGTGGAGCTTGCAGTGAGCCGAGATCAGGCCATTGCACTCCAGCCTGGGCAACAGAGCGAGACTCCATCTCAAAAAAAAAAAAAATGTGCTGATTGTGTTAAGCACTTAATATCTATTATATAATTTAATATATCCAAAACTATTTTGAACATGGGCCTTCATAATTCTGGATTTGATCATGGATATGGATGACTCATGACTTTGGGGCTATGATGCCATCCATTACGTTGAAACTAGATTCTCTTAAAAATAGGTTGCACAAATATGCATCCTTAGGTAAATGTTCTGCTTTCTATCTAAATTCAGCTCTTGGATCTAGAAAGTCTCTCTTTGACATCTTACTGATTACAAACTTATCTTCGTACATCAGTCCCAGATTTTTGAGCAATGACTCAATTTCTATACCTGCTATAGCAAAATATGCAGGTAGCCTTACTACCCTCACTGGATGTCTCTTACACTGACCACATTACATATCTATCAAGAATACTTCACTCTACACCAAATGTGGTTTTCATCTTTGTATCTTCCAATTCCAACTGTTTCCAATGCTGTTTTCATCATAGATGACCACCTGACAAATATTCTAACAGCAGAAATATCCTTCAGCAAGCAATACCTTAGAATAAGCTTAGTTCCAATCCATGACAAACCCCCAGAGGACATCTCAGTAGAGGTCTGGACCTGTCTGCTCAAAAACCTTTGATTACAAGCGCTTGGATGCTGTAGTGGATATACCTGGTTTTTCTGTCCAGCACCCTTACCTCATTTGGTGGAACTGCTCCTTGTGCTGTACAATCATGTGATTTTGTTGAGGCAGCTGCTAATCATAGTGCTCTATCTCATTGGTCACAGGGCTTGGGTGCTGACCCAAGCCCATTCAAACATAAAACTCCATTTCTGTAACTACACTAATTACTCTGGGTTGAGTATGTGACCAAGCTTAGCCCATCAGATTCCTTCCTTGAAATTTTCAATTTTGATCTAGAGAAAATTGGCCTTACTTTTGAGGTCATAAATCTAGAATAAGAAAGGGAGCCACAAACAGGCATCATTCCTGCCATATGGAAAAATCTATCTTAGGAGAAGAGAATGGGGCCAACAAATAAAGGAAAGCAAAAGATGGACAGAAATATTCTTGATGGTATCATTTCAGCATCTGGCTCAAATATGCCATATCTACCTTAGACTTCCCAGTTAGATAACCCAATCATTTTGGTTTTTTTCCCAAGTGACTTTAATTTGGGTTGCTGTCATTTGAAAATGTACTTTCCTATAATGGCCATGTTCAAACTGGTCGTCTGGCTCCCTCCGTATCCCAGATATAGTCTGTGCTCCAGCAACCCCTCCTCCTTTTGTGTAAACAGGGCAACACTTCATACCTGGCTCTCTGTGGCCCACCACTGAGCACCAATCTAGCAGTATTATACTCCAACTAGTAATGGAGCAGATGTTTTGGACGTAGCCATCCAGTGAAGGAATTGGTCTTCAACATCAGTAGAAGCAGATAGGATTTACAATGAAACAATGGGGTATCCTAATAGGGGACACATTACAACAACGAGGAAATAGAGAGGTGGACAATGCTCAGAAAGTGGGAGTAATAAATTAAATTGGCGAGAAATGTGTTTTTCAGTTTTTTTTTTTTTTTTCAGTTTTTTGGGGCTGCCTCTAGTTATTCTTGTTATCTCTAGTTAACTATTTACCTATTTACCACTACTAATATCTAGTTACTCTCAGTTATTTAAATAAGAAATAGGATGTTATAATTGATTGGAATGTGTGTTTCTGATCTTCTAAGCTTCAGTTATTCTTGTTGTCTATAATATTTAGCTATTAGTTTGCTTGTTACTAGTTAACTAATCGTGTCATTTCTCTGTTTTTTGTTTTCTATACTTCTCGCTCGCTCTTCTAATAAGAAATGAAAAGTTAGATTTAAGAGGAATACTTTTTAGCTTCTTGGTTTACTCTAGTTATCTCTAATTCATTATTTATCTAATCAACGTTAGTTACATCTAGTTATCCCTAGTTATTCAAGCAAGAGATGAGAAATTAGAGTTGAGATGAAAATATCATCGTGAGTTTCTTGGCTTATTCCAGTTATTCTAATTATCTAGTTAGCTAGTTACTAGTTAAGATGATCCTCTATTTTTTCTAGTTTTCTGTAGTTGTCACTATGATTTTAACATGAAATAAGTTAGATTCGAGAGGATTTTGGTTTTGTTTGTTTTTTGCATCTTGGCTTCTTCTAGTTATCTTTAGTTACCTTTAGTTAACAAGTTAGTTACTACCAGTTACATCTAGTTATCAATAGTTGTCCACCAAGATTCTTTTCTTTTCTTAGGAACAGAGCTGAAATATCTTTCCCAGTCTCCCTTTGTCTAAATGGGGCACTGTGACTGGTTCTCCCCTATAGAATGTGAACAGAAGTGATGTGTCTCTTCTGGGTTGAAGCAGGTAGGAGTGGATATGTTTTCTTTACACTCTCTCTTTCCTCTTCACAATGAACTTGGAGACCATGCATTGAAGATGGTAGCATTATAAGACTGAAGGAGTCTCAGTCTTTAAATGACTAGCTGGATTAGATGCTCCTCTGCTCCTACTGACCACATTGGGCTTTGACTCAAATGAGCAAAAAAATCTTTACTGACTTACGCCACTGAAATTTTGAGATTTGTTGTAGCATTTAGCCTATCCTGACAAAAACACTCTATCTGTCATAGTACTTATCATCCTCTCTTGTATTTTATATGTTTTTGTACTTTGTCTCCTCCATTAGATTGGGACTTCCTTGGGGGACAGGACCAGTATATCTTTAGTCATTGTACCCCTAGTTGTTAGCTCAGTGTTCAGTATACAGTAATTACAATAATAAATCTTATTGAATTAATACTATAAATGGATACAAGTGCACTGACAGGATCCCCCTTACTGTCTCATCAATAAGGACCACTCTTTTATTTAAGATGTCTGAATTCTTTTTCTTTTTTTTTTTTTTTTTTTTTTGAGACGGAGTCTTGCTCTGTCGCCCAGGCTGGAGTCCAGTGGTGCGATCTCGGCTCACTGCAAGCTCCACCTCCCGGGTTCATGCCATTCTCCTGCCTCGGCCTCCCAAGTAGCTGGGACTACGGGCGCCCACCACCATGCCCGGCTAATTTTTTTTTTTGTATTTTTAGTAGAGACGGGGTTTCACCGTGTTAGCCAGGATGGTCTCGATCTCCTGACCTCGTGATCTGCCTTCCTCAGCCTCCCAAAGTGCTGGGATTATAGGCATGAGCCACCGCGCCCGGCCAAGATGCCCTAATTCTTTACTAAGGTGATTCACTCATTCCCTCTCCCTTAAGTTTTGATTGTAGGTAGAGAGAAGAACTCCATAATGATTTTGAAAAAAGTGATAAGGTTCAAAGATCAACTAGTTGCCCACACACAATAGATTAGGACCATTAGTCTACCAGGTTGAGCCACATTTTAAGTTGCTTATAAGCAGCTAACAGAATTTTTCTAAAAAGCTGAATTTCTCTTATGGGGTCCATAGATGTCAGTATAACATAGAACAAATATATTAAAAATGGTTGCATGGGATATCAAGTATGCATAGCAAGGATATTTTGAAATTCATATACATGTGGTCTATGAAATGGCGGTTTGATTAGTCATTCAGGATTAAAATCCATCCAAACAAACACAATTAGCCAAACTAGTATTTGTCAATACACAGCCCAAAGGAAATCTGTTTTTTTCAAGAGAGTTTTTCACTTTAACAGCTTGAGCAATCATATATAAATGAGCCCAGTGTTTTTAAAATGAGTGTTTATCATCCTTAAGCAAATTTAACTAAAATCTCATTGGTCTCTAGCACATGTTTTGAAATGTGACAGGCACTTTCTGAGCTGGTAGAAAGAAGAAACTTGCAGTGTTGGGTGGAAGCATTTTTTTGTCAAGTCTTAGGAAAGGTCACTGAAGAAATCTCTGAGAAACTTCTAGAACATTTTTAGGCTATTTCACTTCCTGAATGGGTTCGTCCAGTTCAAAAGGAAACTGAATTTAAAAGAAAAACCTGGGGGCTATCTCAGGGTCTACTTGATGCTAAGTAACCATTTTGTTTTTGTTTTCATTTTTCAACTATCCTTGTGGCTTTGTTTGATGCAATTTGAGTATGTGCAGTATTACACAGTGCTACAAGGCACTGATCAACTCTGCTATAATTTAATGTACTGGTTTTACTACTCTACACATACTCCTATAAACATCTTCTAAGGAAAGTGCAGAGTGACAGGCAGCACACAAGACATTGCTACTAAAAGACAATGAGATAAGGTTGCAATTTTCCAAATGAAAGTTTTTAGTCATAATTGCATATGTGGCACACTTCTTAACCCGCTTATATAGACTATATTCCAAATTACCTCTTAGAGTTAAAAAGGGACAATTAGGTCCATATTCATACGCTAATAAGCATTGCATTATTTAAATCTGCTTTTCTTTTTAAACTATGAAAATGAGAATTGAGCAGTGGCAGTGGAAACATATAAAGTGGTAATTACCATCTTCAAAGTGCAGCTTTTTCACATAAACACATTTCACCTAGCAGGTTTAGTAGCTATTTTTCAACAATAAAATTTGGTGAGTAAACCTTATTTTTCCCTATAGAAGTAGCCTTTAAAACACAGCATATCAAATTACCTTAAAAATATCTCCAAGGAAAGCAAAGTTTTGCTATAAATGCTGCAAAACTCCCACTTTTTTATGTTTGAAAGACTGCCTTCATGGAATATGATATAACTTCCATTTCATTTTTTTTTCCTTTAAAAAAATTAGTAGGAAGGGGATTAGGAAGTATCCCGGTGTTCTCGCTAATTGGTATTTGTTGCTACACTCCAGAGACATTGGGGAACATGACCATTTTAGATCTTGAAAATTAATCCTAATAGATATCAGAATATCTCAGCTTTGAGACGTGTCTCTCACAGTCTGGGAGACACATCAACAACAGGTTATTGTTCAACATTTGTTAAGTGGGTTGGCTGATGGTTAGTAAAAATCAAGCGATGAGAATAATTACTCCATGACTTGCTTGAGGGGCAGATGTTAATTTACCAAATTTATCAGGAAATAAGCAATCATAAAATCCATGAGAATTAATGCTGTAAATCTGGATGTTTTGTGGTGCCTAGGCCACACTGCACATTGATTAAGTGGCAGATAATGTTGAGCATTAGTTCCTTATTGAACATTACCCATCACATTTGCATCATGCCAGTTTCACTGAGCAACCTGCAAGTGTGCTGCTTCTGCACGTTTTACATACTGAAAACATTAGTTGAAATAAAGATGAGCATGCAACGCACTGCTGTGGGATTTTCTTCTCAATCGGGACTCATAAAAAACAGAATTGAGAGTTCTTCAGATGCCTCCATTCCTTATCTATCTAGCACAAAAGGCAACATATGTATACCAACTTACAGTACAACCTTAGGTAAGTCACTTAACCTTTTTGTGCCCGAATTTCTTCGTCTGTCAAGTGCCTATATTAATGCACATCTGTTCCACAGGGTGGGTGTATCAAATGAGATAACGGCTGTAAAAGGTCATTGTAAACTGTAAAGTGTGATACTAGTGCAATGCGTTAATAACAATAGTGCTCAGTTAAAATGTGTGTGGCTTTTGTTTTTGCTGCTACCTTTTTGCCTTAGAAACTAGACATTTGCTCTCTTGCCCTTTAAAAAAATCAGAAATTCTGAATCAATCTATCTGCCTATTCCATGTTTATGAGCTTGTTCCAAGGCGAATTGCTGTCTACCAAATTGCACAAGCTGCGACCTCCAGCTCAAACCAGAAATAAGCTGGAAGATATGCTCTGCTCTTTGGCATTTGAAGTCTGACAAAAGTTATCTCTATATATATGCAAGACAGGATAACATGGTCAGAGGAGAACTACATGTGCAGATTCTGCTTATTAGTGCCATACAAGCAGTAAAAGCAAACAAAGAAACAATCACATTTTGAACCTAGCAAGTAGTGCATGTGAATGAAAAAGGGCTACTTTTCATCTGTGCTTTTCTCCATGAAATAATTTTAGATATTTATGAATTCTGTAGTGAAACCCAGAGGTAGCATGGAAATTGTTTTAATTAACAGGAGAGTGAACAACAAGCATATAAGGCTTTGTAAGCTGTGAAATCTCAATGAGAAATACATTGTTAGGTCTGCTTGAAAATATTGCTTTGGAAAACCAAGCTCATGGCTATCTAAACTCTGTGATTTCACAAGTACCAGGTGAACCGACTAGTAGTCCTCAGGAATGTGTCTCTCAGTTGACTGCAATCTGGATGTTCACTTTTTGTTGGAGCTTCTTTCCAGGAGCTTAGGAATTTTACACTTCTCATTATTTTTCCTATTAATATATTGCAAGTACCTAGGTGTTATTTAAAATTATAGCAAAACAGACCTCTTGTCATTTACAAGTGAAAGTTAAAAACATTGAGATGATTTCTTGACAGACCAAGAGAAGTGATTCTCTAGGATGTTAAGGGGTTCAAATTCTTTTGTGAGAGGAGGATTTGAAAATGAAAAAGCATATGGGGAAAGAGAGCTTGAGGTTAGTAAGTGCCCCATGTAAGGGGTAAAAGTTGGAACCCAGAGAGGCCTCACCTGCTTCAGCATTTTCCCCTTATAGATACATTCAGGAGACGTTTTATGACTGCAGTGACCTTGGAAAGACAGGATTGCACCATAGACACACACCTGTTACAGGGGCAGCCTTTAGAAGTTTGCTTCTATCAAGCATCTGGCCAGCTTAAAAGAATTTTAATCAGGAAGAGGTTTATGAGGTAACATTGCTTGGACACTCTCCTCTCTGAAGCCCTTTTGATACCAAGCAAAAGGTTGTTCAGTCAATCAGTTGCTTATCAGGCCTATCTTAATTATACCTTGGAAATCAGTATGCAAGTTAAATTGTCGTTAGGCTGTTACTATACTGTTTTAGAAAGTGTGCACTCTGTCTGTTCATTTCTGAAAGATTTTCTTCGTCCTGAGAGTCACAGCTGGAGTAGAACTAAAACCTAACACCGGCAAGGAAACCTCCTGCTGGGTGCAGTTTCCTAGCTTTCAGCATAATTATGCAAATCCATCTTTGACATTAGAGAAAGGCCAGTGACAATGTCAAGCAAATGTTATCCAATTTTCACTTAGCCCCATTTTAGGTATTCACAGAGCTGATGTTCAAGCACTAAAATATGTGAGTCATTTAAATGTCTAAGGGAGTTTCAGTTTGGTTCCTGCTACTGGAGTGGTTCAATTAAAAGGAGAAAATCATCTGCACAAAATCCTCTCCACTTCTGTCTCCTCAACCAGTAATGGGGCTTTCAGTTTACGTGCAAGTCTTGTAACATTCATAGGCAGTTTCCATGACACTCACCACTGTGAACTCTGCTTTTCTGGAATTAGGCTGTGTCTAAGTGTAACACAGACGCACCTGCAGCCAACCTTTTATTCTGATTGTTTTGTTTTGCTTATTTGTTTGTTTTCATATCGCTCTATCCAGCACAGCCACAAAGTTCCAGGAAACCATAACATCATGGGGCTTTTCAAATAGAATAAAAAGGGTACGGAAATCTGTCTTATTGGTTATAGAGGCACAGAAATAGAGTCATGAACATTATAATCTGGAAACAACCATGTTTTCAGCTAGACTGGCCTCCACATTATGCATATGAGTTACCTGAATCCTGTTGCAAATGACTCAAAGTCTCTAAATAAATCAGGACATGGCAAGAAGAAGGATCCAGATTTTCTGACATCCAATCCAGTGTTTGTTCTACTACATTACATTTTCTAGAAGATGTTTCATGACTGGGTGGCAGCCTTCCACAAAGGCAATATGGACATCTTTTTATGCCATGAAATTAGGGGGATTTTCAAAACCTCTTGGTGAGGATCAGAAACCAAAGACTTACCCTTACCAAAGCAAGAATCTTGGATGTTTGCCTAACAACAGTGACCATGAGGAACAAATGACTCAGATGATGATATTTTTTAGAAGACTGACTATTGAAGAAGATTCCCACATTCTGGAGAAGATCAGTTAGCTTTGAGAGACTCTGATGGCTTCACTGATATAGGTTTCTCTGGTTGGTCAGGCTGGACTCCATGAAAGCTGTGGCAGCCCTGGGATCCAGGAAGTCTGGAAAATATGCATAAGAAATGTATTGTGGGTTTTTTGGTCTTATCATAGAGTGACTTGGGATATTACCAGGGTTGATCACTGGGCTTTAAAAGGGTGCTGGCTAGAGGACAAAGAGAGTAAACCAAGAGGAATGGAAGGGGAGAATTAGATCAATATGGAATAGAGGATAATAGGACAAATGAGAGATGTAAGGGCAGGAATTCAAATAAAAGAGGCAGGGATCCTATCATAGTTTTCATAATGGGGCTACAGACAGTTGAGCTCTTATTGCTGAGGTAGAAATAGCAAAGCCAAATGGGCAGACTCTGTGACTATTATAGACAGGATACAGGATACCAGAGACTAGATGTAGTGTAAAAGTAGAATTGCTGAGGAACCAAGCTCTGATAACCAATTCAAGAAAATGTATCTCCAAGTCTGAGCAAGAGCAAACAAAACGAGAGTTGGAAGGACAAGTCCAATGTAAGAACCAATAAAGCAGAGCCAAGACAATTATCTCCTGACCAATTTGTAGTGCTCTGTGTTGGTGGCTGTTATGGACTGAATGTGTCTCCCTAAAAGTCACATGTTGGAATCCTAATCCTCATTGTGATGTATTAGGAGGTGAGGGTCATGAGGGTGAAGCCCTCCTGATGGGATTAGTGCCCTTATAATATGCTTGCTTGCTCTCTCTCTCTCTCTTCACCTTGTGAGAATACAGCAAAAAGATGGCCAGGAAGAGAGCTTTCACTAGAACCCTAGCATGCTGGCACCCCAATCTTGGACTTCCAACCTCTAGAACTGAGAACTAAATGTTCGTTATTGAGGCTACCCAGTGTATGATATTTCGTTATAGCAGCCCAAGCTGACTAAGATAGAGGTGGAGTAGGCCCCAATTAAAGACTGCACTATGTGTTTTTGCAAACATTTGTATTTCTAGCACCAAGCACAGTGCCTGGCATGTAGTGGTTACTTGATAAATGTTTGTTCAGTGAATGAATGATTGAAGCATGTTTTCTCTTAAAGACCTATTCTTTTGTGTTGGATAATTGGCCTGAGGGACAGAAAAAGCAAATCCGGAGGATGTGTAGAATGAGAAGAAAATGGCAGAAGGATGTGGGGGTGATGTCTGAGGGTGCAACTTAAGGGACCTGGATGGATGGATGCCTAAATGATAGACTTAGTGTAGTTTATTATTTTGCTGAAGACAAGCTTCGTGCTGCATTTTCTGTAAAATGAGATGATGTCTCTTTGTGAGCATCCTTTGAAGTTTGGAGTGTCAATGTAAATATGAATTATCGTCATTGTGCACCTTAATTGAGTCAAGATATGTTTGTTCTTCCTTATCCGTTCCCTTGGGGATTTTGTGGGTACATAATGTGTGTGGGATATACACAGATTGTATAAATATGAATGTATTTCTTCTCTTTCCCCATTTGAAAAGGGCTAATGTCTTCACATTTCTTGTTAGGCTCATATGTCACTACTTGTATTCACATAAAAAGGGAGGCTTTAATGCCCTTAAGATCAAAGAGTACAAGTAGAGTCACCGAATTATCATGCCACAGTATTTATTGGCCATGAAAATTCAAAAGCACCCACGGAGTGTTCATAAAAGAGTCCCTCACCCCCTCAATTGTTAGTTTCTCTGTGTTTTCATGGCAAATTGCAGATTGACCTCAAATTTAGGCTCATAGGAGCTACTTAAACGAATGAATGGATGAACTCAGAGGTAATTATCTTGTATAGTAAAGGAGATGATTAGATTTCTCACTGGTACCCATTAAAGAAAGAAAATGAGTATCATAACTTTCTTCCAGTCAACTTCTTATAACCCTAGCTGTTGGGTTATATATATATATATAATGTCCTTGACATTTGACAGAATAGACGGTTTGAAAATGAATCATTACAAAGCATTAATATTTGAAAAATCCAAATTTCTGCTGCTTGGATTACTGGTCCTTAGTTTAACCTGCTGTGTCTGGGTTTGAAGCTTGCCTTCCTCACTTATTTGCTGTTAACTTTGTGGAAGTTAATTAGTTTTTAAGGTCTCAGTTTCCTGCTCTGTAAAATTATGATAATAATAGTGTCTATTCTGTACAGTTATTTATTATGAGGTACATATGTTATTAAATGTACATTTTTTTTTCTGACATGGAGTCTTGCTCTGTCCCCCAGGCTGGAGTTCATTGGGATGATCTTGGCCCAGTGCAACCTCCACCTCCTGGGTTCAAGTGATTCTCCCGCCTCAGCCTCCTGGGTAGCTGGGACTACAGGTGCACACCACCACGCCCGGCTAATTTTTGTATTTTTAGGAGAGACGGGGTTTCGCCATGTTGGCCAGGCTGGTCTCAAACTCCCGACCTCAGGTGATCCGCCCGCCTCGGCCTCCCAAAGTGCTGGGATTACAGGCATGAGCCATCGTGCCTGGCCTAAATGTAAATCATTTTATCATAGTGCTTGGCACATAAAAAATGCCCAATAAGTGTTTTTCATTATTATTATTTAAATTTTTTTTTTATCAGCAGATAGATGGAAGTCTGGAAAAAGAGCTGCTGATTTTCTAAGAAAGATGATGAGTGTGTTTTTGGCAGATTGAGTTTAATGTGCAGATATAACATTCTGTGTTGCTCTTCAGCAATTTGTTTTAAATGTACAATGGTTTCCTTTCCTTCCTTTCCTTCCCTTCCTTCCTTTCCTTCCCTTCCTTCCTTTCCTTCCCTTCCTTCCCTTCCTTTCTCTTTCTTTCTCCTTCCTTCCTTCCTTCCTTTCTTCCTTCCTTTTTCTTTCTTCCTTTCTTTCTTTTTCTTTCTTGAGTTTTGCTCTTGTTGCCCAGGCTGGAGTGCAATGGCGTGATCTCCACTCACTGCAACCTCTGCCTCCCAGGTTTAAGCGATTCTCCTGCCTCAGGCTCCTGAGTAGCTGGGATTGCAGGCGTGCACCACCACGCCTGGCTAATTTTGTATTTTTAGTAGAGACGGGGTTTCACCATGTTGGCCAGGCTGGTCTCGAACTCCTGACTTCAGGTGATCCACCTGCCTCGGCCTCCCAAAGTGCTGGGATTATAGGTGAGCCACCGCGCCCGGCCTAGAGTGATTTCTTAAGATAGTAATTGAGTTGTAGAGAAAGAGATTGAGGAGAAAACTGTACAGAGGTGAAAGCTGAAGCTAAAAGATAAATGAGGGCACCTTGGGAGAGACTATAGAAAGAGAAAAGGACAGCAGGCCTGAACCTTAGAGACAATCCACATTTATAGAGTCAAAGGAGAAGCTAGCAAAGCCAGTAGAGGAGAGTTCAGAAAAATAGAACTAGAATACATCCACAAATGATAGGGAGAAGATGGCACTTTTTAATTTAATTTAAATTTTTTTGAGACAGAGTCTTGGTCTGTTCCCCGGGCTGGAATGCAGTGGTGCAATCTTGGCTCACTGCAGCCTCAACCTCCTGGACTCAAGCAATCCTCCCACCTTGGCCTACAGAGTACCTGGGACTACAGGTATGCACCGCCAAGCCTGTCTAATGTAATTTTTTTTTTTTTTTGGTAGAGATGAGATATGGTAAGTGGGAGCTAAATAATGAGAATACATGGACACATAGAGGGGAACAACACACACTGGGGCCTACCAGAGGGTGGACAGTGGGAGGAGGGAGAGGATCAGGAAAAATAACTAATGGGTACTAGGCTTAATACCTGGGAGATGAAATAATCTGTACAACAAACCCCCATGACACAAGTTTACCAATGTAACAAACCTGCACTTGTATTCCTGAACTTAAAAGTTACAAAAAAAAAAAAAACCTAAAAAAAAAATTCTGATTTAGGATAGGAGGGTGTGGTTAAGGTGATGTTTGGAGATAGAAAGGAGAGGACATGGGACAGCACACTTCAGGTGGTCCAAGTCTCTTCTGTGTCTGGAGAGGATGAGAGTGTTGCTGTGGGTGGGGCTGGGGAATTGAACAGGAACGACTGGGAACAACGCTGCAGAATGTTCTTTCTTTGATCTGTGGGGAGGAGGTGTTGGCCAATTGAAGCTACTTGCATTCTGAAGTTATTTCTTAAGAATATTTTGTTTCCTTTCCTTTTTTTTCTCTTTCTTTCCCTTCCTTCCTTCCTTTCTTTTCATTTTTTTTTTTTTGAGACAGGGTCTCATTCTGTTACCCAGGCTGGTGTGCAGTGGCACGATCTCAGCTCACTGCAACCTCCGCCTCCTGGGTTCAAGTGATTCTTGTGTTTTAGCCTCTGGAGTAGCTGGGATTATAGGCATGCACCACCACACCCGGCTAATGTTTGTATTTTTAGTAGAGAGTGGGTTTCACCATGTTGGCCAGGCTTGTCTCAAACTCCTGGCCTCAAGTGACCCACAGCCTCTGCCTCCCAAAGAGCTGGGATTACAGGTGTGAGCCACTGCACCTGGCCTATTTTGTAAACTTTTAATAAGTTTAAGTCATTAATACTTAAAGCTGGAGGAAGTGTAGATAAGTCTTTTAAGAACCAAGCAGCACTTTTTTAAAAAAAAAGTAGTGTAAAAAGTTGAGTTCTAAGAATATTCCTTATCAGTAGTCATTTTGGAAGAGCGTAGTTAATTTTATTTCATTATACTTTCTCAACTCTAAGACAATAGAATTTGAAACCTAGGAAAAGAGATGAATTAGTGTTTTCATGACTATAATTCAAATGCCTAAATTACTGTTTTATAGACACACACCTTGCAAATGTCAGTATCACATTTGTAGCCCTGCGGATTCCAGGTTTTGAATTTAATCAGACTTTGTTAAACAGTTAACGTTTGTTAGCTTTTTCGTCTTTGGTGGGGTTTTTTTTTTCTCATTATTTTTTTCGTTGGAAGAGAAGAACTCATTATGTATCTACATGAGAATAACTGGACTGAATCTGAGCCAAAAGCTTCAGCTTGATTTGGCCAAGTTTCCTTAGAGTTTTGAGATTCTTCTAAGAAGAAGCTAAGCTGATTTCAGCAATAGAACACTACTATAGCTAAGAACTGCACAACCATGAATCTCCATTTTTTTCTAGCATACAAATAAATGGCTCCTAAAAACATATATACTCATCCCACCCGACTAATATAATCTTGTAACCAGGAAGGGTGTATTTGTCAGGGGCCAGGTTCATGGGGAGGTGGGGTGGTGCATCGTTGGAGGAGTATCCTAAGTACTCTAGCATGAGGATGTTTCTGCTAGAAGAGGTTGCTTAGAATTTCCCTGTTATCCTACTTCAGCAGTTGTAGTAGTCACCTAAGAAATATTACTTTTTTTTTTCTTTGTGGCATTGAAGTTTCCTCAGGAAGTATAATAGGAAGTTAAATGGCTTTAACACCTAGATTTCATCCACAGGATCCCTTTCCGTTGCTTCAGTGGAGCAATTATTGTGAGTCCTGCCATTTTAGGTCTGAATCAAAATTAATATTTGGTGCTTTCTTCAGTTCTGGGATAGCTTGTAGCTTTTGTCTTGGCCAATTTATAGAAAAGCTGATTTTTTCCTGCAGTTTCTTGTGACTTTTCTCCTTGCATTCTGCTCTTGGGCAATAAAAATATTCTTTAAGAACTTCAATATGTGATCTAAAATCTGAATTTCAATTGCTGAGAGTTTCAGGGTTTTTGCTTCTTGTTTTTGTGAGGCAGATATTTTGATTTTTTTCTCTCTCTTTTTTGAGACAGAGTCTTGCTCTGTTGCCCAGGCTGGAGTGCAGTGGCATGATCTCTGCTCACCGCAACCTCTGCCTCCTAGGTTCAAGTGATTCTCCTGCCTCAGCCTCCCAAGTAGCTGGGAATACAGGTGCATGCCACTACGCCCGGCTAATTTTTGTATTTTTTTTTTTTTTGAGATGGAGTCTCCCTCTGTCACCCAGGCTGGAGTGCAGTGGTGTGATCTCGGCTCACTGCAAGCTCTGCCTCCCAGGTTCACGCCATTCTCCTGCCTCAGCCTCCCGAGTAGCTGGGACTACAGGAGCCCACTACCACCCCCAGCTTTTTTTTTTTTTTAATTTTTAGTAGAGATGGGGTTTCACTGTGTTAGCCAGGATGGTCTCGATCTTCTGACCTCGTGATCCGCCTGCCTTGGCCTCCCAGAGTGCTGGGATTACAGGCGTGAGCCACTGCACCTGGCCTAATTTTTGTACTTTTAGTAGAGACAGGGTTTCACCATGTTGGCCAGGCTGGTCTCGAACCCCTGACCTTGTGATCCACCCGCCTCGGCCTCCCAAAGTGCTGGGATTACAGGCCTGAGCCACTGTGCCCAGCCCGATTTTTCTTTTTTTTTTTTTCTACTGCAGGTTTGAATGCAAGAATGTTTTGATTTAAGAATTCATTCATCAACTGATCAAGCTTATTTTGAATTTGAAATTACTTTTTAAGATCTTTTTCTTTTCTGTTCAGTGCTTTTAGAATGGACACTATTATTATGACCTTTTGGGTATAAGTACCTGAGGCTCAGATACTGCCACATTTTATGCCTTAATGTAAAAAGACACAACTTTAACTTTCAGGCACATAAGTGCAAAGGCTGTATTCCAATAATTATTTCCTGCCCTCAGTAAATTTTATAACTGATCAGGTTTTCTTCTTCATTTTGGCCAGTAGATAGCTTCAAATCAAATTAGAAGCCCACTTTCAGTAACTTAATGCAATCACAGCTATGCATTTCTAGTCACTAATCTTCCACCGATTTTATTATTTTTCACTTACCTTGTTCTTTAAACTATTTATCTTTTCTTCTTTTATACATGCTTATAACCTCAAGTACTTTGTTGGAGGAGGTAGCTGACAAGTAAATATATGTAAGTGGTGCCTATGGTATGGATTTCCTGTAACTTTCTGTTTTCTGAAGGACACTTTAGGAAATTTGTTATCACCGCAAATGACCAGTACTTCTAAGGATACAAATGTTTTCCTAGTCACTTCCTAAGAGGTTTCTGTACCACCTCTTACCTTTACAAGTGCAGACATCTCTGTGGAGTAGTCATGCTGCATCTACCTAAGGAAGCTTTCCAGCCACCTCAACTCTGTTATTTTACTCCTGAGGGTCAATAAGCTTGGAGAGTGGTCCTTGGAAACAAATGTGTGGAAAATGTCTTAAGTTAGGGGCATGCCATCTTACACTCATGGACACTGTTTCCTACTGCTGCAAGTATTGCAGTGTTCAGAGCTAACCTGCTGTTAACTCTCCGACTATGCTACAAGTTCTGTCTTTTGTTTTCTTGAAGCATAAATGCTTACTTTAACTAAGATAATGAGAGATTATGTGATCCTGCTCTGACATTTTAAGAATAAACTTTGAATGGCAAACTCTCTAAGAATGGTACCCCCTCTTTGAGAGGAATTACCACTCCATGACCTTGAGTCAGCAAAAACAGCATTAATATCCTCCGAAGCCAGAATGGGGGTTGGTGTGTCTGAAGTGACCTGTAGAATTTTGGGGCCAGGCGCCACGTGTGTTCTGTTGACTCATTTGGTCATATTTTGGGCAGGATTAATATTGGTAACTGCTCTTTTGATTTAGAAGACATTCAGCAATGCTGTTTTACCATCTAGGACCTTTCTCTGTTTTAACATCTAGGACCATTTTTTTGACACTAAAAATGTAAAATAGAATCCAGTCAAGAGCTTTATCGTGCCCTCCATATACAAGGTGATTCTGCAGCATATTATCTAAGAAATCATCAACCAATATTGAGCTTGATGGTGCAACTTGGAGTTGTAAGCAGAGAGCTGTTGATTAGGATTTTGATACTTAGATCTCTGAACTCAAGGCAGAAATGTGCTTTTTAAGTTTTTGACAATTTTACCCAATATATTGATCTCAGGTGAACTTAATAAGGTGAGAGATGTTCAAGTGGCATATATTTGGGACCCGTAAATGGTCAGGAACATTGTATGAGTCTGCCCAGCATTAAAAAAAAAATCAATTTCAAGGTGAAATGGAATCTCTTGGTACACTTGACCTTATTGAGCATGCAAAGAAACAACAATAACATAGCAGCAGAATGCCTTCCCCACACCTGCTCCCCACATTATTCAAAACATTGCCTTGCTTATTGGTAGAGTAAAATTCAGTAGGCCCTGAAGGGCACAAGCTGAAGCTTTTAATTAAGCCAGCAGTCTACATTTCAGATGTTATTAAGGCCCAAGTGGAGGAGTAGGCTGATGGGGCAACAAGTGATTGACCCGGCCTATGTTGATTAAGAGTGGGTGCTGGGGCCTGGTGCGATGGCTCACACCTGTAATCCCAGCACTTTGGGAGGCCGAGGCGGGTGGATCACGAGGTCAGGAGTTCGAGACCAGCCTGGCCAACGTGGTGAAATCCTGTCTCTACTAAAAATTCAAAAATTAGCCGGGCGTGGTGGCATGCGCCTGTAATCCCAGCTACTCAGGAGGCTGAGGCAGGAGAATTGCTTGAACCCAGGAGGCAGAGGTTGGAGTGAGCAGAGATCGCGCCACTGACTCCAGCCTGGGCTACAGAGATAGACTCCATCTCAAAACAAAACAAAAACAAAACAAAACAAAACAAACAAAGAGTGGGTGCTGGGGGTGGGGGTCAGCAAAGTCTGAACTTTCTGCCGGGAACAGGGTGGGCCTCAGAGTAGTCTATCCTGTTTTAGGCTATGTTTAGGCTATGCTTCTGACCTCTCTTGTTCCCTCTCTCTGTCTCTCTCTCTCTGAGTGTGTGTGTGTGTGTGTGTGTGTGACAGAGTCTCTCTCTGCCACGCAGGTGTGTGTGTGGTGACAGAGTCTCGCTCTGCTGCCCAGGCTGGAGTGTAGTGGTGTGATCTTGGCTCACTGCAACCTCTGCCTCCTGGGCTGAAGCCATCCTCTTGCCCCAGCCTCCTGTAGCTAGCACTACAGGTGCATTTCACCACGCCTGGCTAGTTTTTGTATTTTTGATAGAGAGGGGGTTTTGCCACGTTGCCCAGGCTTGTCTCGAACTCCTGAGCTCAGGTGATCCACCTGCCTCAGTCTCCCAAAGTTCTGAGATTACAGGTGTGAGCCACTGTGCCAGGCCTCTTGTTCTTGACCTTTAAATAACAATTTTACTCTGACTTCCTGTGTGCCTAACATTTTCATCTCTGGAAAACCACAACTCTATACCCCAATATCCATTTTAAAACCCAGGCATTATCCAACAATGTCATACAGACACTCCCACCTGCACTTTTTTTCCCTGAATGTTTCACTTCTCTGCTTTATCCTTGACCACTGCTAAACTCAGATATACCTAGTCACTGTTACTCAGAAGGAAGGGTCTGGGTCCTAAACACTCTATGAACACATGTTTAAAGTTTAAAGGAGTACATAATTCTCTGTGCTATGGCATTCTGTTGCTAAGAGAGATCTCCAAAATATTTAACAACCAGAGTGCAACCAGCACCAACAGTCAAAGGTGACTTTGCAAGCCCTAAAACTTGTAAGGCTATAACTGCATTATCAGCTGAATCTCAGCACTAGATGTAACATTTCTGCCAGATGAATACTAAAGCATTTTATTAATACAAACATAAGGTCAGTCTTCTATTCTTCCATTTGTTCAACAAATCTTTATTGCAAACCTACTATGTCCCATACCCTGTGTAAAGTACTGTTTATATAAGGCCTATGACCTAAAGGAATTCAAAATCTAGTCCTAGAATTATAAAATATTTGGAAACTACCTTCAATATTCTCTTAAATCTGGAAAGATAAATACTCTGGGCTGATGGAAAACTCTCATCTTAATAGTTTTGACAATCTAAAAATGATAAGCACTGGGTTTTCCTTTGTACAAGATCATTACAAGATGTATTTGAGTGTTTTTTTTTGCAATTCTGGAGCTCCAAAGAGCTGGACAAGAAGAACCGAGTTAACTAAACCCTTAAGAGTAATGCCTAGGAAGGAGAGAGAATATCATCTGCATCACCACAAGGCAAAGAAATTTTCCTATCACCTTTGGATTTTTGTGCATTTCTTAAAGAGCATTTATTTCAAAGAGGATTGTTCTAAAATTATTTGGTAGTTGGGGAGCAGCTGAAACTACGAACAGTAGATGAGAAAGAAAGGAGAACAAATATTCAAGGTGAGCACTGAGGAGGTTTGCATGCTTAATGATCAGGAATTATCCAGAAATCTTGTTTGTGTGTGTTGGGAGGGTGGCTCCCACCAGGCTGCAGCCAATTACCCAGATGTTGTGGCTGGACTGAATGATGTGGGAGGGTTTGCTCTGCAGGAAATGAGCTTGATGAATGTTCCTTTTCTTCAACATGTGGCACACTGAGCACATATTTGTCTTAGGATTTTATTTTTACAGCAAAGCCAAAAAGAGATATGAGTCTAATTTTTTCCTTTAAAGTGTCATTTACTTGGATGCCTTCTGATTAAGCGAGACATGAACAAAAATATCAGGCACTAGGAAACTCCTGGGAAAGAAATATCTCTAAGAACTTTCTGGTTGTCATAAGGGCTTTGAATCTCTTAGAAAACCTAAAATTTTCTGGATACTGATTTGTCTTTATTATTTTTTTAATTTTCATTTATTATTATTATTATTTTTTAGTTTTCAGTTTTCTTTTTCTCTTTTTTGGTCTACTGTGCTTTGGTGAGCCACGTTTTAGAATCTGTATGATCTAATTTCCCCCATCGGTCCACTGAGCTGGCTGGCCCAGCCGCCATCTGTTTAAGGTGTCACTTCACCCTAGACCACAGCGGCTGGGCACACGCTCTGCAGGAAGAACAACAGGAACTTACCGGGGTTTTTAGGAAACGGTGCAAACTGATTTGTCTTTAAAACATCTCAAAATCCAAATTAAAAATGGTAGCTAAATAGTAAGCTGCTCAATAGATAATGCTGGCTGCACGAGTGGATACATTGATGCGTTGAGGGGATGCATAAACACATGGGAGTAGATAAGGATGGTGCAACCTTATTTTTTTTTCTTGAAGACAGAACATTTGAGAACTGCTATCTTTAATAGAATGTTCTCCATAGACATCAACATCTGTGAAGTTTTCATACTTTTTTTAATGAAGAGTGATCAATTGTTTATTGAAGGCAGGAGCAATTTTGATCATTTCCTCTTATCAGAAAATTTTCCTTTTCCATAAGTTCTCTTCCCCAGTGATGAAGGAAAGTATATGAATTACTTTGTCTGATTTTCCTCCTGGGAAGACACCACATATACCGGCAGTAACCCCACTGAAGGCTTGGTTAGGGCAGTAGAGAAGAAATAAACAACTCCACTAATGCAAAATGAAGATAACTTAATCATTGTTTAGGCTTCTTTAGCTGTCTTGACCATTCCTTTAAAAGCTTATCCATGGAGGAAATTAGACTTCTAGGTGTGGCAGTGGTCCCAGAAGTCAGCTACCAAAGTACTTTGCTTTAATAGTTTCCTCCATAATGGGTAAAATGCCTCCACAAAGAGGAAAGTTTTAAGCAAATATGGTAATCATGGGTCTCTGTACTAAATGTGCTGATGGAAAAGTCTTTTCAGATATTTCACCAAGAATAATAAAATAAATTCAAACATATTTCATTTAAAAACACATTAATACATTTGTTGTACTTTAGGAATGATACTAAATAATTTACTTTAATCATAGTACATCTAAATACCATAAATTTGTAAAGACCTGACTGTACTGAAAAAGAAAGGAAGTTATAAATTTTAGGATCTTTCCAACTGAGATCATATCTGTACGATGTTAATCTTAATTAAGAGATTAGATGTTTTTGTCCCAGACAAATCTATCTGAGGAAACTAAAGGGTATTTTATTCTATATACCCAAACTGTCATGTTCTTCAGAAATCACTGATTTCGTCCTTATAGGTTGCAGCATCCACAAAATCCTCACAATGACTTCATCTCAGGAAAGAGCCTAGCTACCAAATTCTGTTTTCTCTGTTGAACAGGCACCCAGTGGTAACTGCTTTGGAACTTTTTTTTTTTTTTTTTTTTTTTTTTGAGATGGAGTCTCACTCTGTCTCCCAGGCTGGAGTGCAGTGGCACGATCTCGGCTCACTGCAACCTCCACCTCCCAGGTTCAAGTGATTCTCCTGCCTCAGCCTCCCGAGTAGCTGGGACTACAGGCATGTGCCACCATGCCCGGCTAATTTTTGTATTTTGAGTAGAGACAGGGTTTCATTATGTTGACCAGGCTGGTCTTGAACTCCTGACCTCAGGTGTTCCACCCGCCTCAGCCTCCCAAAGTGCTGGCATTACAGGCGTGAGCCACCACGCCCAGCTGGAATTTATTTTTAATGCTTGAGATATCCAAGTGTATAAACTTTCTTGATTGTGAATCTTCATGGAGGAGGTTCAAATAAATTTAATCATTCTTTGAGCACCAACTAAATGCTCAGCACTATGCTAGGTACTGCATCTGGGAGGAAAGATAAATGAAATCGAATGCTGCCCTGTTTATTTAGAGCACACATATTTGGCACCTGCAAATGTCTAGAATATTTGCTAACTGAAGTAAATAAGGAAGCCTCCAAGTGCAACCATTCTTTCCCAAAGTAGCTGAGAAGATGCAATGTATTTGGCTAATTTTCCAAGCAGAATAAAGGAGTGTTCTGTTTCACTGGTGATGTCTATACACGTCAAACCCTGATAGTATTCCAATTTTCATAAAATGGAAACAAAAATTATGACAATAAAGTTTATTTTCACCAAAGTGTACCCAAACTCAGGCAAAATTTATAGTTTTGTACTATTTTTAGAATAAGATGTTTGAAAGGCTCAAAAAGTCAAGGACTTTATTATAATTTTCCCAAGGACTTCTCTTAATCCTTTGACATCCAAATCATTTTCTTTTGATGTATACTCCTTGTTAATTTTATCTTCTGGTATCATTCTTGTTAACTTTATTTTCTTCATTTGTTAACTGGTCTTACTGTACTAGATCATCAGTTGTTGCAGTGTTGCATGTGATAGGAGTAGTTCTTCAGCATCACTGAATGTTTTTGCAAGATTTGCAATTTGTTTGCATTGTATTGTCTGGCAGTATCAGAAAATCATCCAGAGACTGATCAACATAGGCTCATATTAAACAGGAAGAGGTGCTTTAGTAGAGGCTAATTTTAAAGGGGGTCAGTTCGTTAGTGAATAATTTGTGTTCTGATAAGTTGTGCTTCCCTTCACATCATCTTAATTTCTCAGACATGGATCGTGGATACTTGGATAATGAGGACTGCCTGTCCTTGTGTTTTCTACAAGACATAGCAAATCTAGAACCTTTAAATGAGATCAGTATTACTAAAGTGTCCTAAATGCAAACATTTTCTGTATTATTTTATTATTAAAAATGTACTTATTTCTTAAATTTAAGCCTTGGGTAAATATTTCTATTGTTCTAATTGTTAAACGTGAATAAGTTCTGTCCTCTAAAGGATTATGGGCTTCCTGAAGGCAGGATGTCTAGTAGCAAAACATAGAAAATATCCAGCATGATAGGGGAATATGTTTTGAGGTAGCACTCAGCCTAGAAGTTATTCTTTTCCTTGTCAAAATCCCAAGGCACCCTGTAACAGTGTCTCCCAAACTATATCCTTTCTTCAACTATATTCTGGTTTACCATGAAATGTTAATACATGTTCCAAGAGAAAAAGCTTCCATGTTCAAAATTAATTTAGGAAAGGAATCTATATGGCTCAGCCCCTGTGGGAAACAGTATGGAGTTTCTGCAAAAAAAATTAAAAATATAATTACCACATGAACCAGCAGTCCCACTTCTAGATACATATCCAAAAGAATTGAAATCAGGATCTCAAAGAGATTTTAACACACTCATGTTCATTACAGCATAATTCACAATAGCCAAGAGGTAGAAGAAACATAAATGTTCATCTATGGATGAATGGATAAAGGAAATGTGGTATATACATACAATGGAATATTATTCAGTCTTAAAAAAGAAGAAAATCAGGTCATATGTCACAACATGGATAAACCTTGAGGACATTATATTAAGTGAAATAATCCAGTCACAAAAAGACAAATACTGCATAATTCCACCTACATGAGGCATCTAAAGTAGTCAAATTCTTAGAAACAGAAAGTAGAATGATGGTTGCCAGGGGCTATAGAGAGGGGGAAATAAGGAATTGTTCAGTGGGTATAGATTTTCTGTCATGGAAGATGAACAGGTTCTAGAGCTCCGTTGAACAACAATGTGCATATAGTTAACATTGATATACTTTACTCTTAAAAATAGTTAATATGGTACATTTTATGTTGTATGTTTTTTTTTTTTTACCAGAATAAAAATGTTTATTTAGGAAACACTGTACTTTGAATCTTTTGGGGGGCATTCATCCGGAATATTTGCATAATATTAGCACTGAGAATCATTCCAATTAAGAATTTTGTTCACCTTTCTTTAGCCCACCATTTCTCAAACTCATTTGACCACAGAACATTTTTTTTTAGTTGTTAATGAAGGACTCTTACTAACATTATGGAGGATATCAGTGTTATGGGGACTGCAGTTTGGAAAATACTGTCCCCAGAGTTCTTCCCACTATAGCATAGAGAGGAGGAAGTATTTCTAGGCAGCTTCAGTTTTGGAGATCACATATTAAACAAAGCACATGCTGGAAGAGTCACACCACTTTTAGTTCTTTGAACATTTATGAAAATAATTGCAGTACTTTGGGAGGCCGAGGCAGCAGATCACCTGAGGTCAGGAGTTTGAGACCAGCCTGGCCAACATGGTGAAACCCCGTCTCTACTAAAAATACAAAAAAATTAGCTGGGCGTGGTGGTGAGTGCCTGTAATCCCAGCTACTCAGGAGGCTGAGGCAAGATAATCGCTTGAACCTGGGAAGCAGAGGTTGCAGTGAGCTGAGATCATGCCACTGCACTCCAACCTGCGCAACAAGAGCAAAACTCTGTCTCAAAAAATAATAATAGTAATAATTGTAGTAGTAAATACAAAGCAAGAGCTATGGAAATATATTTGATAAAATCTGTACTTAGATCAGTGGTTCTCAAACCTGGCTGAGTCTCCTGGGTTGCTTTAAAAAACATAGCTCAGGCCTTGCTATGCAGAGTTTCTGATTTAATACATTTGAAGATCAGCCAAATTTGGGAGCCATTGCTTTAGAAGATGGAATTTTGAATAATTGCATACAAATAGATTCAGAATTGTTTGAAATTTGCATATTAGCCCTAATATAATGAAATGAGGGCACAGATCATGTATGAAAACAGGATAATAAAGATAAAAACAACCTGGAGTGGAACCAGGACAAGAGTTTCATGGCTGAGGGTTTCACAAAGGGATGGGAAGTAAGTCAAACCCAAATCCCTGTTAATGATGCTTGAACTTATTTGTATATTGGTGTATATATATTCATGTTAAAGTTAACTGTTTAAGAAATTACACACATAATTCATTCCATAATATTGACATTATTACTCTCAATCTGTAGGTCTTTATTTAAGAATCTTTTCCATTATTACTGATGTATTTAAACTGGATGTTCTCCTTTGAGAATTGTAATAATAATTCTTGTCCACAGAGTGGGCAGACAAGCTAAAGAGTATTCCTTGCACAGTGGCAGTGTAGAAAAACCTATTTCTGTCTGGGTTACATTGTCTACATGTGAGAACAAATTTTAGGAAAGAAACTCAAGGAATCAAGTTAGAAAAAGAAACTCAAGAGGAATATAAACATAAAAATATGAGAATATGGCATAAAAATAACATAAGACTGCAAACTCTCTTGTTAAATCAGCATGAACTTATACCCAGTCAACACATAAACCATTTAATAGGTCATAGGAGAAGATGGATCACAGCAACACCAATCAAATTAACATGATTGATTTCAAGAGCCAAATGATCTTTTTGAAAAATATAACTCAACCAAAACTGAAATGGTGGTCTCAGTCTGGAGATTTTGAGTTAATACACACTCAGTCTGGACAGAAAGGTGCTAGAATACCAAGCCAATTATATCCCGTATCTGATACTTGAAATTCAACCTAAAGGATTTCATTTCTTTATTCTAAGGTTTTATCTCTGACATTAAAAGAAAGCAAAACAAATGTATGAAGGGGTAGCACAGGACAGTGGGTAAGCTAAGAGGAGCTCCAGATGGAATGCTTGGGTTCATATGTAAGCCCTGCCGCTTACTGAATGATATTGGATAAGTTGCTTTGCTCTCCCAGCCTTTCTTTCCTTAACTGTAATAATGGGAGATAATAATTACACCTATCTCATAGGCTTTTTGAGTATTAAATAAGATAATGTAAGTAAAGCACTCAGAATAATACCTGGCATATGAAAAGCAGTCAAGAAATGGTAGCTGTTATTATTATCAGACATTGATATCTCATTGTGGACATGTTTCAGACTCTGTCTTGAGCCAGAATTACTAAGGAAAGAGTAGGGCAGTGTGGGTAGAGAGTGGAGTTTGGGATTAGAGAATGGCAAGTCACAAATTTACTTGCTGAGGCTGAGATGTCTCTCATGGCATTCCAATTTAATTCTAACTTTTCCTTTTCCAGAGTTCGTATAAGTCTCATTCCAGATGATGTTTATTTTTTTATATCTATATGTTATTTTATATTTAAAAATTAACTTTCTTGACTACATTGGGGGAAAAAATGACCTGGATATGCGAATTCTAATTTTTATGCAAGTAATGGCTCCTGATAAGTTATTCTGTCTCTTAGACCAGAGCACTCAATATGGCAACTGTAAAAGAACACTTTTAAGGTGTGAGAGCTCATTTTCCAAGAAATTGTTATCAGAAAAGAAGCAATCGCTTAACACAGAGAAAGCCTTTCTTAAGGCAGACATATTTCTTGTCTTTGGGAAAAGTCATTAGGGTGGGGGTTTGGGGCTGAAAGGCAGAATTAGTCACTTTCCAAGTGCTGAGTTATTTGTTTAATGTTGTCTGTGATATTTGGGCTTCTAAGGCCACCCAGCAATGCTTCTGACCCATGGCTTTCTTAATTTATTTTGTCACCTGAGTGTACACTTGAAATACTATAGGCCACCATGCCAAATCCCCTGTTTGATTTTATTATGATTGTAGGGTTGAGAAAGTAAGCAAGGGTTAAGATGAAATGCAAATTTCTCAAGGGACAGGCTCAATCCTCCATCCTCTGCCTGTGACCAACATTAGCTCCTACCACTCCCCATCCTATGTAGTCTTTTCCATGTTGCTTATCTGTCCAAGATGTTCCATGCCTTTTTGTCTCTGTGTTTTTGCTCATTTATTAAGTCATTTCATAAAAATGTATTGAGTGGCAGCTATGTGCTGTCAACTGTGCTAAGAATTGGAATTACAGCAGTGAATATGACAAACACGGCCCTGGCTTCAAATACTCTTCCTCTTCATCTCTATATTTAGAAATGCCCATCATCCTTTAAGACCCAGCTTCAAGTAGTCTTATTTTATGTCCCTCTCTTTGACAAACTCAACCAAGAGAACCTCTTCTTGCTCTCAGGCAGCACTTAATTTGTACACCATTCATTTGACTCATATGGTATATTTTATTTTGTTGTAGTTGTTTAAAAATTCTTCTGACTGCAAATATTAGAATACCTAACTAACAGCAGCTGAATCACAGAACAATGAAGAAGGAAGGGCCCAGGGTTGATCTGGTGTTTCAACAATGTCCTTAAGGAGGCAGGTTGCTGTGATGCCTTCCACCCTCCCTTCTTCAGTGAGCCCATGATGTCTTTCCTCGTGATTTGATAATGGCTGCTGTAGCTCCACATATCACATCATCATACTACCGTGTCCAAAGCAGGACCGAAGAGGGCATCAGTGGCACCAAAAGAGCCTTTTATTCCTATGCCTTTCTCAGATGCCCCAGCTGATTTTCAGTCACTGTCAAAGGGGTACAGCATTGCCATTGCGGGCTTAAATGATTTATGATACATCCTCTAGGCCTGAACAGATTGCTGCTAGAATAACATTGGGATCTGTTAGGAAAGAAAGAGTGAGAAATGACTTTTGGCTCAGATGCCAACCATACATGCCAGAGTACTCATGATTTAATGTGCATATTTATTAGCTACGCTACTTTGGACAAATTATCTAACCTTTCAAATTCTCAGTTAATGCATCTACAAAATTAGGTATAATAATGCCTATCTCGGCTGGGCACGGTGGCTCACGCCTGTAATCCCAGCACTTTGGGAGGCCGAGGCGGGCAGATCATGAGGTCAGAAGATCGAGACCATCCTGGCTAACATGTGAAACCCCGTCTCTACTAAAAATACAAAAAATTAGCCGGGTGTGGTGGCGGGCGCCTGTAGTCCCAGCTACTCGGGAGGATGAGGGAGGAGAATGGCATGAACCCGGGAGGCGGAGCTTGCAGAGAGCAGAGATTGCGCCACTGCACTCCAGCCTGGGTGAAAGAGCGAGACTCCATCCCAAAAATAAATAATAATAATAAAAAATAATGCCTATCTCACAGTGTGGCTGTGAGCATTAAGGGAAACGCTGCATGTAAGAATGCCTCAGATATAGAAGACGCTCAATAAATGTTTCCTATATAAACACACTAGGCATGGCTCTAGAATAACAGACTTCTAACTATGTTTCCAGATTTTGATCTGTAGTATTTGTCCCAGCTTATACAAATAGCTACAGTGAAGCTTTTTCAGTGTTGGTTCTGTGCATAGGCTGAGTAAGTGATTGCCTATGAATGTAATACAAGGAGTGTTAAAGGAGACTGGTAAGTCTAAAAAATGCCTTCTTCACAATTCCTATGGTTCATGCCTCCTGTTGTAATTCAATGACCCTAAGAAGGAAAACATAGTAAACTGTTTATCAGGCAGTAATATCTTAGTGTTAATTTTATAATCAGATATTCCAATGATAGTTAGCTTAGAGTAGGTTAAGGGAGGAGAGAATATGTCTAGAATACCAAGCAGAATATGATTAACTCATTTTTCCATCAGGTTTCAGGGCTCAGGATATAACAAATTATCAGTTCATACTAAGATGTTAATATCTAGCTCCAATATAATGTGCTAAATAGTCTAGCCATATATATAGTTTCACATCTTGGTTGGGCTCTGAAATCAGAAAGATCTGATTTTGAATTTCATCCCCCACTTAAATGTGTGATCTTGAGCTAGTCACCTATCCTCTCTGAACTAGGTTATCTACCTGTAAACTAATAGAAAATAGTAGCAATAATCTCATACAGCTGAAAACATTAAATGAGTCTATGAAAGGGCTTAGCACACATCTAGTACATGGTGTGTCCAAATGTTCACTATAATTATTGTCATTTATTAGTTTACATCTTATTATCAAAATCATCTTGTGGTGGCCCAGTGCGGTGGCTCACGCCTGTAATCCCAGCACTTTGGGAGGCTGAGGTGGGTGGATCACGAGGTCAGGAGATCGAGACCATCCTGGCTAACATGGTGAAACCCCGTCTCTACTAAAAAATGCAAACAATTAGCTGGGCGTGGTGGTGGGCGCCTGTAGTCCCAGCTACTGGGGAGGCTGAGGCAGGAGAATGGTGTGAACCCAGGAGGCAGAGGTTGCAGTGAGCCGAGATCGCACCACTGCACTCCAGCCTGGGCAACAGAGGGAGACTCTGTCTCAAAAAAAAAAAAAAAAAAAAAACATCTTGTGGTATAGAAATAGCAGAGAAGATAATCCTCATGTTGCCTTTCAAGAAATGGGTACATAGGCCAGGCGTGGTGGCTCACGCCTGTAATCCCAGTACTTTGGGAGGCCAAGAGGCCAAGGCAGGTGGATCACCTGAGGTCAGGAGTTCAAGACCAGCCTGGGCAACGTGGTGAAACCCCGTCTCTACTAAAAACACACACACAAAAAATTAGCTGGGAGCGGTGGTGCGTGCCTGTAATCCCAGCTACTCAGGAGGCTGAGGCAGGAGAATTGCTTGAGCCTGGGAGGCAGAGGTTGCAGCGAGCCGAGATTGCACCATTGCACTCCAGCCTGGGGACAGAGCAAGAGTCTGTCAAAGAAAAAAAAGAAGGAAGGAAGGAAGAAAGAAAGGAAAGGAAAGAAAGGAAAGAAAGAAAGGAAAGGAAGGAAGGAAGGAAGAAAGGAAGGAAGGAAGAAAGAAAGAAATGGGTACGTAGAGTTTAACTGATTTGTTTTATATTTCACAGGAAGTTATAGCCTGGACTAGAATCTAGACCCCCAGCACATAGCCGGAGGTTCTTCTGCCTAGAGTAAAGAGTTTCTCAAGGACCTCCATGCTCTCCCTGATCAAGGCTGATTCCTCCTGACATAGCCAATTTGTGGCATCTATTTTGATAAAACAACTGGGTTGAAAAACATGGCTTTTATTAAAAAATGATGTATGCCACAGACGTTCCTGGCAGTTGTTTCATCCTCCCTCTCATCCTTCTGAACCAGGCTCAGCAAGTATCAAGTTTACACATGGATTGGAAATGATAGATGGGGCAAGATGGTCTGTGGTGGGACACAACCTTGTTCGTCGTCTTCACTATTAAATGCCCAGCACTTAGCTCAGAGCCTATCACATGGTAGGTAGTTAATCGATACTTGCAAAATGAATACATTATTTGGTAGTTTTTTATTTGTTTGTTTGTTTGTTTTTGAGATGGAGTCTTGCTGTGTTGCCCAGGCTGGAGTGCAGTGGCACGATCTCGGCTCACTGCAAGCTCCGCCTCCCGGGTTCACGCCATTCTCAGCCTCCTGAGTAGCTGGGACTACAGGCGCCCGCCACCGCGCCCGGCTAATTTTTTGTATTTTTAGTAGAGACGGGGTTTCACCGTGTTAGCCAGGATGGTCACGATCTCCTGACCTCTTGATCCGCCCGCCTCGGCCTCCCAAAGTGCTGGGATTACAGGCGTGAGCCACCATGCCCGGCCATTTTTTTTTTTTTTTTTTTTGAGATGGAGTGTCACTCTGTCGCCCAAGCTGAAGTGCAGTGGTGCGATCTTGGCTCACTGCAACCTCTGCCTCCCGAGTTCAAGTGATTCTCCTGCTTCAGCCTCCCGAGAAGCTGGGATTACAAGCACTGGCCACCATGCCCGGCTATTATTTTATTTTTTGAGATGGAGTCTTGCTCTGTCATCCAGGCTGGAGTGCAATGGCACGATCTCGGTTCACCACAACCTCTGCCTCCCAGGTTCAAGTGATTCTCCTGCCTCAGCCTCCTGAGTAGCTGGGATTACAGGTGTTCACCACCATGCCTGGCGAATTTTTGTATTTTTAGTAGAGATGGGGTTTCACTATGTTGGCCAGGCTGGTCTTGAACTCCTGACTTCAGGTGATACACCAGCCTCAGCCTCCTAAAGTGCTGGGATTACAGGCATGAGCCACTGTGCCCAGCCCTACCCCTTCAATATTCTTCTTCGGATGAATGTTGGACAACAGGAATCACTTGAGTAGAAAAAGAGCTTGGTTTGGCATTGGGAATGAAGAAGGGCTTCCTTTGAAAGACACCATTTCTACTAGGAGCTTCTACAAAGACTGAACAGAATATACTATTAACCATTCTTAGGGTCTCATTTTCACTATAGGATTACAATAGTTTTTTTTTGTTTGTTTGTTTGTTTTGACAGATTCTCTCCCTGCCGTCCAGGCTGGAGTGCAGTGGTGTCATCTTGGCTCACTCCAACCTCCGCCTCCCGGGTTCAAGCAATTCTCCTGCCTCAGCCTCCCGTGTAGCTGGGATTACAGACGTGCACCACCATGCCCAGCTAATTTGTTGTATCTTTAGTAAAGATGAGGTTTCACCGTGTTGGCCAGGCTGGTCTTGAACTCCTGACCTCGTGATCCGCCCACCTCGGCTTCCCAAAGTGCTGAGATTATAGGTGTGAGCCACTGCACCCGGCCTACAATAGTTTTTTTTGTTTTTTTTTTTTTAAGTGATGACTCTCTGAGGCCACCTATTCCATCTTAATTGGGGGACCTAGCTAAGTCAAAAGTAAGAAAAGAAAAGTTGTATTTTCAATCCAGTAAATAGAGATAAGTGCTACAACGTTTCTTACTGCAGTTGGGTTTTAACAGATAGAAATTAAAGCGCATTCTATATGCAAGTTCTAGTTTTGCCTTACCTTTTTGATTTTTGGTGAATTCTGTTCTGTGACTTTTGTCTTAAGTCAAACACATTGGGAAGTGGATGAAGAAGTTATTTCCTGAGACAGTTATTCTCAAAGTGTGGTCCTGGGAGTAGGTGGAGCTGCATCACTTGGGAACTTGTTAGAAATGCAAATTCTTAGGCTGGAGCCTGAGAATTGTACAGGTATCAAAAGAAATGGTCAAATAGTGCTAGGATTACAGGCTAATTTTTTTATTTTTAGCAGAGACAGGTTTTCACCATGTTGGCCAGGCTGGTCTTGAACTCCTGACCTCAGGTGACCCGCCTGCCTCGGCCTCCCAAAGTACTGGGATTACAGGCACGAGCCACAGCTCCTGGCCTTAAGAGCTGAAAAATTAATGGATTGGATTTTTTTGTTGTTGTTTGTGTAAAAATATCATGCACCTATTATAATTGGATCATTTGCACAGCACACATCTTGTTCTAAAGACAGAACATAAGAATGAATCAGCCAGGCTGGGTTTTTAATTTCCCCAATACAGACCTGGACTTTGGACAAGTTTTCATTTTATAAAATGTTGGACTTTAATGTGTCTTCTGTGAGACTGCTCACAAATCACTTCCTACAGTGAGGGCTAATTTCCTAAAGGGGTAAAAAAGCCTAATCTGTGGAGGCAAACTGAGCTAGCTCTTTCTGGATTCTTTAGAAATGAAACATTTTGACAGTGGTTTTACTTTTTTCTTAAACAAAATAGGACAGATGTATCTTGCAAAGTAAATAGATGAAGCAGCCCTGAATCAGGAATAGATGACAATCTCTTTAACAGTGGGCTTTCTATAGTTAGGACTATCATTATTCTCTCATACCTCTTCTGGGGCTCTGATAGCACTTTTGTTTCCCTTTTATTCCCTATTCCTAAGAAAAAGTTTCTTCTCAGTCCTTTAGATCTCATGGTAGATATGAATTTTCTCATTCACTAATTTGTTCCTTTGTCATTTTGTTTACTGAGTATTTGTTTTCTGCCAGGCACTTGTAAAAAGTCTTAGGAGTCAGAATTGAGTGTGGCATGGTCACTGCCCTCAAGGAATTCACAGCCTTGTGGGGGCAGACAGACAAGCAAACAGATAAATTATAAAGCAACATAGTTAAGTGCTATTACTGAGATATGAGACAAATGCTGTGGGAGTCCAATTCTCTCTCTCAAGAGTATCTGATTTATCATCTTTATCTCTAATTCTGAAAGAGAATGCAAAGTCCTCATTAAATGATTTTAAGCCTCAGAGAACAGGCTGGAGCGATATTTTTGGCAAAGGGCGCCTTCCCATTGTCACTGAAATAACACTAACAGGCTGCCTACCCCATCTTTGTGTAAGGCCAGTCTTGCTAATAATAGTATATCTTCCAACAAATTAACAATACAGCATCTGGCTCAGAAGGAAGTGCTCCCATCAGTTAGCTGAAAGAAAGACATGTAACATGTCTGGTGGGAGTGGTCTGAAGCAGTTCTGGAGGGGAAGATAGCTTGACAAAGAGGGTGACCTATTTTCTGAGACTGCCTCTAAAGCAATCATCTCGCCTGGTGTGGCAAGTTTAATTGAAACTAAGCAACTAAAACAATAGAAAGCAAAACAGTTACTATAAGCACTCAGACCTAAGAAGCTATTGGGTCTTCTACCAGTCCCAATGAGTCCATTCAGAAATAGCATTTTTCATTTTGCAAAGGGGAGATAGATTTGAACAAGAGCAAAGCCTAACTGAAGCTCTAACTGTTCAACAGTGGGGAAAGGCCCCTGAGATTAGGCCCCCTGCCTCTAGGTCTGGGAGGTTTCACACATGACTTGCTTAGCAATGGAAAAACTTTAGCAATGTTGTCTTCAAAAAAGTATCAATAGGGAAAATGTATTGGGGAATCTATACATAATGGTTGCTGAATTTGTCATGGAATTGTAGAATGTTTTACATACTGTTTCATTTTGTCCTTCTGAATGCTGAAATTAGTGATGACATTGTTTGCTTGTGAATGTTGATATCATGTGTGGATACAGCCTTTGCAAAACCATCACTCTCTGAAAGAAGAGTGTGAAAATATGGTAGTATATTTGATATGGTTTGAATGTGGCCCCAAAAAGTTTATGTGTTGGAAAATTAATTCCTTTGCCCCCATGAGAGGACTAATGAGGTCTCTGCTTCATGAATGGATTAATGTTGCCATCACAGGAGTGGATTGTTCTTTTGTGAGTGGCTTTGTTATAAAAGTGCGTTCTCTCTGGCTCTCTTGCTCTTACCCTCTTGCCATATGTTGCCCTCTGCCATGTATAACCCAGCAAAGAGGCTTTCATCAGATACCAGCACCATGCTCTTCCAGACTCCATAACTGTGAACTAAATAAACGTATCTTCTTTATGAATAACTTAATCCGTAGTATTCTTGTTACAGAGACAGAAAACAGTGCTCTATAGATTTGAACATCATTTATCTTAAGGTCTATTTATAAGTGTGATGAAAAATTCAGGACTTCCGATTTCTAGTCCAGCATGTAAGGAGCTTCACGCTTCCACTTCATCCTAACAAAAAGTAAAAGGTGAACAAACCGAAAAATCAGCAACTCTTCTTAGATCTATCAGAGAAGTGAGGTCACAAGGCAAAGTGCTGCTTCCAAAATTGTAGAGACAGATGGGAGAATATAGAGAATCACAAGTTACCAGAGCAGAAATCCATAAAATAACCAGAAGTACCAGTCATGAGGTTGGGGGATTAGGGTTAGGGTTACACTTTGTGAGTTTTACCTCCAGGAATACAATTGCATTCTCACAGTGAAGATGAAAGAGAAATCCCTTTGTGCTTCCACAGGGAAAGGGAAAAAGGTAATCATTTTGAGATAACACCAGAGCATTCTATTCTTGTTAACAAGGCCTGTCTTCAAGAGAAATTATTTTACCAGACCCTAAAGTATTGGGTTTTTTTCAGAACCTGACTGACCTGGGGTAAGGAAGTACTCAATTCCTGCCCCGTCTAGCCTTTCACATAGAAGAAGAGAAATACACAACTCCAGCCCAGTCTAGCCATTGTGTCCCATCTAAGGCATGAAAAAAATTGAAACGCATTTTTGACGTTCACAGTCCAGAGGTACAAGCTCATTAAATGCCTGAGACCATATTATAGGAGCATAGAATGTTTCTTCTCTTTTCCTGCTGCACTTTACCACCACATCACTAAAGGCCTAATTACAGAAGTTCCTTTTAGCATGTACATCATATCTACCCTTCAACAAAAAATCACAAGGCACATGTAAAGGCAAAAAACACAGTTTGAAGAGACAGAGCAAGCATCTGAATCAGACTCAGATATGGCAAGTATTTTGGAATTCTTAGACCATGAATTTAAAACATATCCATATTAATGGATAAAGTGGAAAACATGCAATAACAGATAGGCAATGTAAGCAGAGAGATGGAAATTCTAAGAAAGAACAGAAAAAAAGTGCTAGAAATAAAACAACACTGTAAAAAAAGAAATGGAAATTGTCTTCGATGGGCTTACTAGTAGAATGAACACATCTGAGGAAAGAATTGCTAAGCTTAGGAATATTATAAAAGAAACTTCCAAACTGAAAAACACAGATTAAAAAGACTAAAAAAAAAAAAAAGCATAGAATATTCTAGAACTGTGGAAAAACTACAAAAGGTGTAACATACACATAATGAGAATACCAGAAAGGGAAGAAAGAGAAAAGAATAGAGGAAATATTTGAATCAATAATGACTGAGCACATCTCCAGATTAACCACAAATCCAGTAATCTCAGACAACAGCAAGCAGGATAAATTCTCAAAATAGTACACTTAGGTATAGTATATTTTAATTGAAGAAAATTAAAGATAAAGAAAAAATTATAAAAGATGCTAGAGTAGAAAAAATACCTTACCTATAGAGGAACAAAGATAAGAATTATATCTGACTTCTCAGAAACCTTGCATGCAAGCAGGAAGAGATTAGAGTTAAATACTGAAAGTATTGAGAGAAAAAAGTCTTTGTCAGACAAACAAAAATGGAGGGAGATTGGTGCCAGTAGATTTGCCTTGTAAGAAATGTTAAAAGAAATTATTTAGAGCAAAGAAAAATTACATAGGTCAGACACTTGGATCTACATAAAGAAAGGAAGAGTATTGGAGAAGGAATAAATGAAGGTAAAATAAGGTATTTTTCTTATTCCTAACTGGTCCAGATGATAGTTTGTTCAAAATAGTAATAGCAACAATATGTTCAATTATGTATGTATTTGCCTATGTATAAGTGATATGAATGACAGCAATGACAAGGGACAGGAGACAGGAATTAGGATTATTTTGTTATTATAAGGTATTTAAACTACCCATGAAACTATATAGTATTATTTCAAAGCTGGCTTGTATTAGTGGTAAATTTATATTACAAACACCACAGGAAAGTAGAAACAAACACCACACTAAAAATTAGAAAAAAGTATTAATAGAAGGATAACTGATATGCTAAGAAAAGAGACAATGGCATTTTAAAACGCTCAAAGCCACAAAAGGCAGAAAAAAGGTGGAAGACAAAGATAGGAAAAAAGAACAAAGACAGCAAATAGAAAACAGCAACAAATGTGGTAGATATTAATCCAACTATATCAATAATCATAAGACAAGCCACAGAGTGGGAGAAATTACTTGTAAAAGACATGTCACATAAAGAACTGTTATCCGGCGGGGCATGGTGGCTCACGCCTGTAATCCCAGCACTTTGGGAGGCTGAGGCAGGCAGATCACTCGAGGCCATGAGTTCGAGATCAGCCTGGCCAATATAGTGAAACCCCATCTCTACTAAAAATACAAAAATTAGCTGGGTATGGTGGCGCATGCTTGTAATCTCAGCTACTCAGGAGGCTGAGGCAGAAGAATCGCTTGAACCCGGGAGGCGGAGGTTGCAGTGAGCTGAGATCGTGCCACTGCACTCCAGCCTGGGTGACAGAGTGAGACTCTGTCTAAAAAAAAAAAAAAGAACTGTTATTCAAAATATATAAAGAACTCTTAGAACAGTAAGGAAAAAAAAAAAAACCTGATTAAAAATTGGCCAAAGGCCGGGTGCTGGGGCTCACGCATGTAATCCCAGCACTTTGGGAGGCCGAGACAGGTAGATCACTCAAGGCCATGAGTTCAAGACCAGCCTGGCCAACATGGCAAAACCCAGTCTCTACTAAAAATACAAAAATTAGCCAGGTGTGTTGGCATATCCCTGTAATCCCAGCTACTGGGGAGTCTGAGGTGGGAGAGTCGCTTGAACCTGGGGATGTGGAGGTTGCAGTGAGCTGAGATTGCATCACTGCACTCCGGCATGGGTGACAGAGCAAGACTCTGTCTCAAAAAAAAAAAAAATTGGCCAAAGACCTTAACTGACATCTTACCAAAGATATACAGATTGCAAATAAGAATCTGACATATATCATTAGAGAATTACAAATGAAAACCATAATGAGCTATCACTATACAGCTACTAGAATTCCAAAATCGAGAATACTGACAACAGCAAATGCTGGTGAGGATAATAAAGCAACAGCAATTCTCATTCATTGCTGTGGGAATGCAAAATGGTGCAGCATTTTTGGAAGACATCCTCTGACCATATAATCCAGCAATTATGCTTCTTAGGGTTTACCTAAAGGAGCTGAAAACTTATGTCCACACAAAAGCTTGCACACGAATGTTTGTAGAGCCTTTATTCAGAATTGCCAAAAGTTGGAAGGAACCAGACCTAGACGCTGAATGGATTAAATAAATAGGTCCCTAAGAGAGCCATTATGAATTCACAGAGAATCACAGTGCTATGATTCCACTTGGTATGTATTTAGAAGAATTCCTGAGATGTAGATAATCGTGGAAGTTAATAGTATGTTTCAATATAGAAACTTTGGAAAAAGAGTAGTGCTATTGTTAATTTTTGTGGTTGTACTTAAAAAATATCTGAATTGATCTAATCAGCCAAATTGTGTTGTGATATAAATATATGGTTAATAAACTCAAAAACCGTCTGTTCAGCTTTATGACAGGCACAGTGGGGAATCCAGAGAAGTAGGAATCATGGTTCTTGTCCTCAGAGAGCTTCCAATCTAGTTGTGGAACTAAGACTCATAATATAGCTGGAGAACAATGTAAGACAGCATACTATCGAGTGTTAGGTTGTGTGGTGCGACAGTTGATGCCAAGACCTTCCTGCTCCCTCTTCTATGACAGCTATAAGTATTATTTTTAAAACTTTTGCTGTTAAGCTGACGACACTATCCAATCAGATCTTGTTTAGGCTCAGAATAACTTTTTTAAAAAGTAAAATAAAAAGTGCCACCATGCCCGGCCAGACCTAGAATAATTTAAAAAAAAATTGAGACAATAGGGAAATTTGAATACATATTAGATGATATTAATAACGTAATTTTTATTTTGTTAGGTATGGTAACAGTATTATGCTTTGTTTTAAAAGTCCTTATCTATTAGAGAAATTTACTGAAATATTTCCAGTTGAAATAATGTTATGTGCCTGGCACCGTAGCTCACACCTGTAATCCCAGCACTTTGGGAGGCCGAGGCAGGCAAATCACTTGAGTCCAGGAGTTTGAGACCAGCTTGGCCAAAATGGCGAAACCCTATCTCTACTAAAAAATACAAAAATTAGCTGGGTATGGTGGCGTGCACCTGTAATCTCAGCTACTCAGGAGGCTGAGGCACGAGAATTGCTTGAACCTGGGAGGCAGACGTTGCAGAGAGCCGAGATCATGCCACTGCACTCAGCCTGGGTGACAGAGCAAGACTGTCTAGAAAGAAAGAGAGAAAGAGAGGAGAGGGAGAGAGGGAGAGAGGAAGGAAGGTAGGTAACATTACATGTGGAATTTTATTTAAGATGTCCTGCCCCCTCAAAAAATAGAAAAAACCGTTACTGAGGATAGAAAATATATGAAGTAAGATTGGCAAAATATTTATAATTGTTGAAGCCCAGTTATGAGAACATGAGGATTTATATTATTTTCTCTAGTTCTATGAATGTTTGAAAATTTTCACAGCATTTCTTAAAAATATCCATTTTAGGTGCTAACTGAAGAAACATCTATCTGAGTGCACAAACACAAAGTTTGGATCACGTTTACTACTAGCAATTTAGCTATTGGTCAGTCAATTAGAGTTTTTGAATCTACTGTGTACAGATCTCTGTACTGAGTACTACAGACACATATCAGGAAAAACTAAGTTTTCCCTCAAGAAGATTTTTATCCAGAGAGGATGACAGAATGCGAACTCATTTATTCACTCAACAAACATTTATTCTCTATTGGGCACTGTAAGGAGTTACAGAGGAAGATTTTTAGAAAGCACCACATAGACAAACTGAATGGGGTGAAGCAGAAGTCAAATCCAGTGAAGCTGATCATCACAAGCTTCCTAGAGTTAGCTGGAATGTTTGAAGTCATCCAGCGAGCCAAATAGACTTTACCTGGTAGCTGTTACCTGTAGAGTCTAGTGATAGAAACTGCAGGAGGTGCAAAAGTGTGCGCTGGAGGCCTTATTTTCAAGGTGGTTATCCCCATGAGAATAGTAAGGGACCAACTGTGTAATAATGACAAACAGTGTAGTGGGAATTAGGGAAGGGAAAACTTGGTGTGGATGGAAGTAATTGAGGAAGAGTTAACAGAGATGGAGACAGAGTTGGGCCTTAAAGGATATATATAGTAGTTGCTGATTCATGGAATACAAACAAAACAAAACAAACAAACAAACAAAAAAACCAACAAAAAGACAAAGATATGGTAGAAACTAAATAGAGATGAGAAGGATGTTTTCTCTAGATAAATGATATGGAGGGAGAAAATAAGTAGAGTTTTTCTCTGACTTGAAAAAGGAGGAAATCTACCTTTCCAACCAATCTCACCTTCCAGTTATGACCCTTGTGTCTTGTTTTTGTTTTTGTTTGAGACGGAGTTTCACTCTTGTTGCCCAGCTGGAGTGCAATGGTGTGATCTCGGCTCACTGCAACCTCCGCCTCCCAGGTTTGAGTGATTCTCCTGCCTCAGCCTCCTGAGTAACTGGGATTACAGATTACAGGTGACTGCCACCATGCCCGGCTTGTATTTTTAGTAGAGATGGGGTTTCACCATGTTTGCCAGGTTGGTCTCGAACTCCTGACCTCAGGTGATCCACCCGCCTCGGCCTCCCAGAGTGCTGGGATTTACAGGTGTGAGCCACAGCGCCCAGCTGAACCTTGTATCTTTCTTTTTATTCAAAACCAAACTTCTTGAAAGAATAGTCTACACCAGTCATTCAGGAAACAATTTCAAGCACCAACTCCATGAGATACTTTTTAATCCTATTTTATTTGTTTATCCTTAATCCATAGTTCACGGATCATTGAAATCCTCTTCTTCCTTGCTTTCCATATTGCTATTACAATTATCCCACCTCTCTGGCCATTCCTAGCCCTTCCATTCTTTAATAAACTCTTTATTATTTTATAGTAGTTTTAGATTTAGAGAAAAATTGTAAATTTAGTACGAGTTCCTATATGCCCCACATCCAGTTTTCCCTATTATTAAGATCTTACAACAGTATGGTACATTTGTTACAATTAATGAAACCATATTGGTCCATTATAACAAACTAAAGCCCATATTTTATTAAGATTTTCTTAGTTTTTTACCTAATGTCTTTATCCTGTTCCAGAACCCATCTAGGATACTATATTACAATTGGCTGTCATGTATCCTTAGATTTTTCTTGGCTGTGACAGGTTCTCAGACTTTCCTTGTTTTTGATGACCTTGAAAGTGTTGAGAAGTACTGGTCAGGTATTTTGCAGAATGTCCCTCTATTGATATTTGTCTGATGTTTTCTTCCTAAGTAGACTGGGGTTCTGGGTTTTGAGGAGGAAGACCACAGAGGTAAATTGTCATTCTTTTCAGTTATATCAAGGGTCCTTAACACCAAATTGATTTATCACAATTGTTGACCTTGATCACCTGGTTAAAGTAGTGTTTTTTCCCCCACTTTCCATACTGTTCTTTTGGAAGGATGCTACTCTGCAGAGCCCATATCACAAATAAGGAGTGAGTAGTTGTGCTCTGCCTTTCCTTTTGGGTGGAATACCTAAAGTATTTGCAATTCTTTTTCACTGGAGATTTGGTTCTTCTTCCTCATTTATTTATTCAATCATTCATTTATATCAGTATAGACTCATGGATGTCTATTTAATTCTTGGATGACCATCCAATGCAATGTATTTGTTTTGTCGCTCAAGTTGTTCCAGTTGGCCATTGGGAGCTCTTTCAGTTGGCTTCCTTGTCCCTTTGACATACTCCATCAACGTGTGTGTGTGTTAGCACTTAATTACTTTCTGACACCACATGATGCACCAAGTTCATTTGTACATTCTCTGCACCAGTCCCTAGAAGCAACCACTTCTTTTAAGAATTACTGCGTACTTTTATTAGGAATGGTATTAGAGCTCAAGGTCTAGGCACTGGGTGTGTTCCTTGGGTCTTATTTTATTTCTCTTTTTGTTTTTCTCTTTCTTCTAAATCAGTTTCTTACCCTCTGCACTACTGGCATATTGAACTGGAAATTTTTTTTTGTTGTGGGGGGCTAGACTGTGCATTGTCTGATGTTTAGTAGCATTCCTAGCCTCTACCCACTAGATGCCAGTAGCACTCTTCCAGTTGTGATAGCCAAAAATGTCTTCAAACATTTCCAAATGTCCCTAGGGAGGCAAGATCACCCCAAGTTCAGAAACACTACTCTAAATGTACAAGTTTCCCAGGATCTCACATCCCTGGTTCTCTCCTTTTCTCATTATTCATATTATCCTTGGGCAAACTTAGCCAACCTTTTTGTCTTAATTATCACCTACAATCTAATGCCTTTCAAATATATCTTTATTTCTGATATCTTTCCTTAGGGTGGGCATGCCTATCTCCATTTCTATGTCTATAGTCCTATGGGTACCTCAAATTAAGCATGTTAAAAATGTATCCCATTGTTGGCAAAGAATCCCAATCTGACAGAGAATAGGAAGGAATAACAAAACTCCAAAAGAGATTACTAAGCAAGCAGTTTGTCTTGCCACAGTGCCATATGAGTCAAAAGTAGGCAACTTGAATCAGTTTTATAGAGAAGAGGTTAGCAAACTACATCCGCTGGCAAAATCCAGTCCACCAACTGTCTTTGTATGTTAAGAACTGTTTTTATAGTTAATTTTAATTTTTTTTTTTTCATTTAGAGACTGGGTCTTGCTATGTTGTCCAGGCTGGTCTTGAACTTCTGGGCTCAAGCAATCGACCTGCCTCAGCCTCCCAAAGTGCTAGGATTACAGGTGTGAGCCACCACACCCAGCCTATGTTTTTATATTTTAATGTTTAAAAAAGTCAAAAGAAGGATAATGTTTTATGACACATGAAGATTATATGATAGGCAACTTTCAGTGTCCATAATAAAATGTTAATGTAACACATCCACACTCATTTGTTTACATATTGTTTGTGGCTGCTTTCATGCTACAATGACAATAATTGAGTAATTCTTACAGCTGGCTTAGAAAACCTAAAATATTTACTATCTGGCCCACTGCAGGAACAGTTTTCTGACCCCTGAATCAGAACAAGACAATACTCAAAGCACGGTAAACGGATTAAGGAGCATTCTATGTGAACGTTATAGTTTGAGCTTACAGTAAACAGGAAGAGCATTCACATGGTAGTGCTTGTTCCCCATGGTACCACATGGACGTATGGCCCTGGTTGGTAGCTCCACATGGAGTAAGTTGCACTGCAACCTGAGGAATCCAGGACTAAAGGCTCAGCACCTTTTGTAGCAAGCAGTAAACAAGCCAGTGCATTCTCCAGGGAGAAAATAGTTGCACAGTAGTTGCATGGTAGTTATACCTGACCTACTTCATTGTTTATGTGACTAGCTGCAGAAAAGGCTCACAGTCAGAGGATGATTAGGACTTACAGTTTGGCATACTCGGCAGTGACCTGCAGGGTGGCTTGAGAATATGGCATACTGTCTTCAAATCCCAACATTTTGCTTCTATTCCTACTCTCCATAATCTTTGCTTCTTTTTCATGTTGGTTAATCATATCACCAATCCCCTTAGCTATCCATGCTAGGAAACTAGTAGTCATCTTAAATTCTTCCTTTTTCCTGATATCTAATCTATCCCCAAATCTGTTTGGTTTTATCTCCAAAATCTCTCATATTAATCTCATATTCCTATCTTCATCGCAATCATTTAGTCCAAGCCACCATCATCTCTCCCCTTGATTATTGTAATAGTCTCCAGTGTAGGTTCTCATTTTCATCTTTGTGTACACATGGTTCACTCTCTGTATAGCAGTCACACAGATCATATGATATGTAAATTGGATCATGTAATATTCAACCTAAAAAAAATTTTAAAGGTACATTGTTAGTTATGTTTGTGTTGAAAGAAAGATAGATATATAGCCAGAAACCCAATTCTGTATTCCAATTATTTAGTAGGCATTAGCAGTTTTAGTAGTAATAGCTATTTATTGAATATTTATTATATGCCAGATACTGTGCTAAGTGATTTACATGCATTGTATTATACTATTGAATCTGTATAACTTTCAAATAGGGGTTATTATTATACCCATTTTATTGGTAAGAAAACTGAAGGTACAGAGGTCAGGTGACACAGGTAGGAAGTGTGAAGTTGGGATTGGAGCCAAGTACTCTTTACTCCTTCATTATTCTTTCTTTTTTATTTATTTATTTTTGAGACAGAGTCTCATTCTGTTGGCCAGGCTGGGGTGCAGGGGCACCATCTCTGCTCACTGCAACCTCTGCCTCTTGAGTTCAAGCGATTCTCGTGCCTCAACCTCCCGAGTAGCTGGGACCACAGGTGCACGCCACCATACTGGCTAATTTTCATATTTTTAGTAGAGACAGGATTTCGCCATGCTGCCCAGGCTGGTCTCAAACTCCTGATCTCAGGTGTTCCACCCACCTTGGCCTCCCAAAGTGCTGGGATTACAGGTGTGAGCCACTGTGCCCAGCCCTACCCCTTCAATATTCTTCTTCGGATGAATGTTGGACAACAGGAATCACTTGAGTAGAAAAGAGCTTGGTTTGGCATTGGGAATGAAGAAGGGCTTCCTTTGAAAGACTCCATTTCTACTAGGAGCTTCTACGAAGACTGAACAGAAATATGCTATTAACCATTCTTAGGGTCTCATTTTTCACTCTAGGATTACAATAGCTTTTTTTATTTTTTAAGTGATGATGCTCTGAGGCCACGTATTCCATCTTAATTGGGGGACCTAGCTAAGTTGAAAGTAAGAAGACCTGGGGGAAAAGAAAAGTTATATTTTCAATCCAGTAAATAGAGATAAGCGCTTCAACATTTCTTACTGCAGTTTGGTTTTGACAGATAGCAATTAACTAGCATTCTATATGCAAGTTCTAGTTTCGGCCTACTTTTTTGACTTTTGGTGAATTCTGTTCTGTGACTTTTGTTTGTCTTAAGTCAGACACATTGGGAAGTGGATGAAGAGGTTGATTATTTTCTGTGAGACAGTTATTCTCAAAGAGTAGTCCTGGGAGCAGGTGGAGCTGCATCACTTGGGAACTTGTTAGAAATGCAAATTCTCAGGCTGGAGCCTGAGAATCAGAAATTCTGGTTGTGGGACCCAGTGGTCTGTATTTTAACAAGCCTCCTGGTCATTTTTAGTGTGTACTACAGTTTGAGAATGACTGGTCTGAGCTATGCTGGGGACAAGGGCCTGTGTGTTTTCTCCCTGTTTTACTTCTGAGGACAACTGTGTTGTGTTGTGTTAGTGAATTGCTAATAGGCATTTTATTGTGGGTAATTGGGAGATAGAGTGGTCTTCAGAAGAGAAAGAGTCTATTCTCTCAGTTTCAAAGCCTTGCTCATAAGAAACCTATAAATCATCCCTGCAGGACTGAGTGGGAAGGCAATTATGTGGTACAACCTTGATAGATGCTAAAATTTGAGAATTACTACTTTAAGACATTAGCCAATAATTCCATTAGCTGCCACAAGGTGGATGATGTTAAATTAGGTTTACTGGTTTGGTACAATTGTGAAGTTTATCCAGACAGGGCCAACTTAAAACAGAAAAAAAAAAAAGTAGTAAGTTAGATTCCTCTGCTTTTTTTTTTTTTTACAAAAATATTACTATTACCAAAATTGCTGTGTAGATATGGAAAGATATCAATTACATTGTGAATAAAAGCAAGTTGTAAGAAATCTGTATAGTGTATGTAATCACATTTAAAGAACAAACAAATCTTTGTATTTGTGTGTTTGCATATGCATAGAAATATATAGCAAATCATTTTTTTAACCATTCAAGTATAGTCATTTATTATCTTTGTCAGTATTATGTACTGTACATAATTGTATGTGGTATACTTTTTTCTTTTTTTATTATATTTTAAGTTGTAGGGTACGTGTGCACAATGTGCAGGTTTGTTACAGGTGTATACATGTGCCATGTTGGTTTGCTGCACCCATTAACTCGTCATTTACATTAGGTATTTCTCCTAATGCTATCCCTCCCCCTTCCTCCACCCCATGACAGGCCCCAGTGTGTGATGTTCCCCACTCTGTGTCCAGGTGCTCTCATTGTTCAATTCCCACCTATGAGTAAGAACATGCGGTGTTTGGTTTTCTGTCCTTGCGATAGTTTGCTCAGAATCATGGTTTCCAGCTTCACCCATATCGCTACAAAGGACATGAACTCATCCTTTCTTATGGCTACATAGTATTCCATGGTGTATATATGCCACATTTTCTTAATCCAGTCTATCATTGATCGACATTTGGGTTGGTTCCAAGTCTTTGCTATTGTGAATAGTGCCACAATAAACATACGTGTGCATGTGTCTTTATAGTAGCATGATTTATAATCCTTTGGGTATATATCCAGTAATGGGATGTCTGGGTCAAATGGTATTTCTAGTTCTATATCTTTGAGGAATCGCCACACTGTCTTCCACAATGGTTGAACTAGTTTACACTCCCACCAACAGTGTAGAAGCATTCCTATTTCTCCACATCCTCTCCAGCACCTGTTGTTTCCTGACTTTTTAATGATCGCCATTCTAACTGGTGTGAGATGGTATCTCATTGTGGTTTTGATTTGCATTTCTCTGATGACCAGTGATGATGAGCATTTTTTCATTTGTCTGTTGGCTGCATAAATGTCTTCTTTTGAAAAGTGTCTGTTCATATTTTTTGCCCACTTTTTGATGGGGTTGTTTGATTTTTTTCCTGTAAATTTGTTTAAGTTCTTTGTAGATTCTGGATATTAGCCCTTTGTCAGATGGGTAGATTGCAAAAATTTTCTCCCATTCTGTAGGTTGCCTGCTCACTCTGATGGTAGTTTCTTTTGCTGTGCAGAAGCTCTTTAATTTAATTACATCCCATTTGTCAACTTTGGCTTTTGTTGCCATTGCTTTTGGTGTTTTAGTCATGAAGTCCTTGCCCATGCCTATGTCCTGAATGGTATTGCCTAGGTTTTCTTCTAGGGTTTTTATGGTTTTAGGTCTAACATTTAAGTCTTTAATCCATCTTGAATGAATTTTTGTATAAGGTGTAAGGAAGGGATCCAGTTTCAGCTTTCTACATATGGCTAGCCAGTTTTCCCAGCACCATTTATTAAATAGGGAATCGTTTCCCCATTTCTTGTTTTTGTCAGGTTTGTAAAAGATCAGATGGTTGTAGATGTGTGATGTTACTTCTGAGGCCTCTGTTCTGTTCCATTGGTCTATATCTCTGTTTTGGTACCAGTACCATGCTGTTTTGGTTACTGTAGCCTTGTAGTATAGTTTGAAGTCAGGTAGCGTGATGCCTCCAGCTATGTTCTTTTTGCTTAAGATTGTTTTGGCAATGCAGGCTCTTTTTTGGTTCCATATGAACTTTAAAGTAGTTTTTTCCAATTCTGTGAAGAAAGTCATTGGTAGCTTGATGGGGATGTCATTGAATCTATAAATTACCTTGGGCAGTATGGCCATTTTCATGATATTGATTCTTCCTATCCTTGAGCATGGAATGTTCTTCCATTTGTTTGTGTCCTCTCTTATTTCCTTGAGCAGTGGTTTGTAGTTCTCCTTGAAGAGGTCCTTCACATCCCTTGTAAGTTGGATTCCTAGGTATTTTATTCTCTTTGTAGCAATTGTGAATGGGAATTCACTCATGATTTGGCTCTCTGTTTGTCTGTTATTGGTGTATAGGAATGCTTGTGATTTTTGCACATTGATTTTGTATCCTGAGACTTTGCTGAAGTTGCTTATCAGCTTAAGATTTTGGGCTGAGACGATGGAGTTTTCTAGATACACAATCATGTCATCTGCAAACAGGGACAATTTGACTTCCTCTTTTCCTAATTGAATGCCCTTTATTTCTTTCTTTTGCCTGATTGCTCTGGCCAGAACTTCCAACACTATGTTGAATGGGAGTGGTGAGAGAGGGCATCCCTGCCTTGTGCCAGTTTTCAAAGGGAATGCTTCCAGTTTTTGCCCATTCAGTATGATATTGGCTGTGGGTTTGTCATAAATAGCTCTTATTATTTTGAGATATGTTCCATCAATCTCTAGTTATTGAGAGTTTTTAGCATGAAGGGCTGTTGAATTTTGTTGAAGGCCTTTTCTGCATCTATTGAGATAATCATGTGGTTTTTGTCTTTGGTTGTGTTTATGTGATGGATTACATTTATTGATTTGCATATGTTGAACCAGCCTTCCATCCCAGGGATGAAGCCAACTCGATCGTGGTGGATAAGCTTTCTGATGTGCTGCTGGATTCGGTTTTCCTGTATTTTATTGAGGATTTTCGCATTGATGTTCATCAGGAATATTGGTCTGAAATTATCTTTTTTTGTTGTGTCTCTGCCAGGCTTTGATATCAGCATGATGCTGGCTTCACAAAATGAGTTAGGGAGGATTCCCTCTTTTTCTGTTGATTGGAATAGTTTCAGAAGGAATGGTACCAGCTCCTCTTTGTACCTCTGGTAGAATTTGGCTGTGAATGCATCTGGTCCTGGACTTATTTTGGTTTGTAGGTTATTAATTATTGCCTCAATTTCAGAGCCTGTTATTGGTCTATTCAGAGATTCAACTTCTTCCTGGTTTAGTCTTGGGAGGGTGTATGTGTCAAGGAATTTATCCATTTCTTCTAGATTTTCTAGTTTATTTGTGTAGAGGTGTTTATAGTATTCTCTGATGGTAGTTTGTATTTCTGTGGGATCGGTGGTGATATCCCCTTTATCATTTTTTATTGTGTCTATTTGATTCTTCTCTCTTTTCTTCTTTATTAGTCTTGCTAGCGGTCTATCAATTTTGTTGATCTTTTCAAAATACCAGCTCCTGGATTCATTGATTTTTTGAAGGTTTTTTTTGTGTCTCTATCTCCTTCAGTTCTGCTCTGATCTTAGTTATTTCTTGCCTTCTGCTAGCTTTTGAATTTGTTTGCTCTGAAATATACAGCAAATCCTTAACAGTGGCTACGTGGGAGTAATGAGGTTGGATGTAGTAGCTACTTTCAAATTTCAATTTATGCACTTTTCTGTTTTTGAACTTTTTACAGGGAATATGTATTATTTATAAATTGTTTTATCTTCCCCAATTTAAATCTTTTAATTTAAAAGTAAACTTTACTGTTAAAAATGCAAACTTGGGGAGGGCAAAAAGATCACACACAAGGCTGCCACTTCACTCCTGGAGGGTTGCATGGCGGCCCAGCCAAGGTACTCCACACTTCCCAGACGGTGCAGCGGCTGGGCATAGGCGCTTATAAAATATTTTTAATGGATCATATTTTTTTGAAAAAGTAATATCCACATGGTAATTCAGGTAGTAGAATAGTGTAAGCAATGTCAATATAGATTATTAAACTTTTAGATTTAAACATGTAGAAATGCTTATTTATTTTACAAGCAATAATAGTTCATATATAGAGTGTGAAATATAATGCTTCCAAATACCAAAATATGTTATGGAAATTATATCTTAAATTAGAATGAATAAAGACCTTGTATACTAGAGGAAAAAAAAAACCTGTGTAAACATTTAGCATTCACTATATCAAGTAGATATTTACCTAGATATATAATATGTACAAAATACAAAGAAATATTACCACCTACTTAGGTTGGCCTCCTTTTTCATCAAGCTCACCTGTTATTAATCACCTTAAATAAAGCTTGGTGTTTCCTCGGGTAAGAAAACGTTTACTGTTCTCAGCTACACTGCTTCCATGCATTGAAAAGATGTCTGGTCTCTATTTTCACAGGATCTTGACAAGGGCTGGCAGTTTTCTTCAGTTACTACATTAACTAACAATTCTTAATGGTCAAATCCCTGAGCTCCCCCTCCCTCTCTTTCCTACAGGTGTCAAAAGCCGTTAACTATCTCTTCTCCCCTTTCTGGGAAAAACTCCCTTTTTTATTATTGCTAATTAGATTTGGAGGACAATAGCATTTCTTTGCCTACTTTTAATATTTAGAGCAAAAAAGGCTTTTGGGTTGTCTCCCAAAATAAACATTTTCTTCCTAAATGCCTGGCCTCTAATCGGAGAAAAGCTCTGTGTGGAAACAAAGTTACCAACTTACTCAATCGATTTCCCTTTTTCTAGATGAATAGCTTATATCCGTAGAGAAAGGATTCATTACCATAATGCTTTAGGTTGAATATTGTACAACCTGCTACAGACCTCTATGAGCCCTACTTTTAATGCCAACTGCTTTTAAAACATGTTTTGACCTTTACCCTCAAAATATTTTAAAAGACATTTAAATATGACAGGCTATTATTATTATTATTATTATTATTACTATTATTTTTAGATGGAGTCTTGCTCTGTTTCCCAGGCTGGAGTGCAGTGGCCTGATCTCGGCTCACTGCAACCTCTGCCTCCTGGGTTCAGTGATTCTCCTACCTCAGCCTCCCAAGTAGCTGGGATTACAGGCCCGGGCTACTACACCCAGCTTTTATTATTATTATTATTATTTTTGGTAGAGACGGCATTTCACCATGTTGGCCAGGCTGGTTTTGAACTCCTGACCTCAAATGATCCACCCGCCTCGGCCTCCCAAAGTGTTGGGATTACAGGCATGAGCCACCGCACCTGGCAACAGGTTAATTTTATTTAAAGAGTAATGCAGTCCTTTCTTCTGCAGCATGTGTGTTAAATTTGGAAAAATATAGAGAAGATTGGAAGAGCAAGGATGATATGTCAATTCATAAAGAATATCATATATTCTTTTTTCCTTGTTGGGATAGAAAATGTCTATCCGAAATCCATCAGCTAGCATCATTTGCAATGGTAAGACACTATAGATGTAACCCCATTAAAATCAGTAACAAGCTAAGAAGATCTGCTATCACCATTATAATTTAATTTTTAAAATTCCCTAGCCAGTGCAATAAAGCAGGAAACAGAAATAAGAGCCATCACTAATAGAAATCAGGAGGCACAATTAATATCTTCAAATGAAATGATTTTCTAACCCACGGAGTCTAAATGAAAACCATTTAGAATGAGATTTTAAAGGTTTGTTAGTTGTCCTAAACATTTCAGTAACCAGTTAGAAAACACAGTGGAGAGCTTATTTGCTGTAACACCAGAATGTAGAAAATACCTAGAAATAACCTCAACAAGAAATGTGCAAGATCTGTATGAAGAAAATGGTGAAACTTTACCAAAAAAACCTCCTGAAACATGAATGAGAGGACAAACATTTTTAACTTGTTAATTCCTCTGAAATAGTTTTAATAAAATTTACAATAAAAGTACCAGAGAGTATTCTTGTACCTTGGTAAAGTAATTTTAAACTCCATCCTGAAGAATATATATCCAAGAATAGCAAATATTTTCTGAAAAAGAAGACCAATGAGGAGGACTTTAACAAATGATAAAACCTGGTTCAAAAATTGCAGTTATTAAAACAGCATGGTACGGGTACATGCATTTTTTTTTTTTTTTTTTTTTTTTTGAGAGGGAGTATAGAGTCTCGCTCTGTCCCCCAGGCTGGGGCGCAGTGGCGTGATCTCGGCTCACTGCAAGCTCTGCCTCCCGGGTTCACGTCATTCTCCTGCCTCAGCCTCCCGAGTAGCTGGGACTACAGGCGCCCGCCACCACGCCCGGCTAATTTTTTGTATTTTTAGTGGAGACGGGGTTTCACCGTGGTCTCGATCTCCTGACCTCATGATCCACCCGCCTCGGCCTCCCAAAGTGCTGGGATTACAGGCGTGAGCCACTGCGCCCGGCCGGATTTTTAAAAAACAAACATAAATGTCACAAATTCTAGAGCCTCAGAATAGTGAAATGGAGCTTAGTGTTTCCCCACGAGCTCAGGCATATGCCATTTTGGACCCGTGTTAGCACAATGATAAAAGGATTTGTGTCGTGGCAGCTCCTTCTGGGCTCCTGGATTATTTTGAAGGGGACACTACCAGTAAGTCAGAGTCCTTGACAGTCCAGAAGCTCATAGGGAGAGTTAATGGCATAGTTTTCATGGACCAATCATTTATTCTAATGCTTCTTTCTTCTTCTATAGTAAAAGTATATGCAACAAGGGTTGAATTGCTTATTTTGGCAGATGGCCCTAAATATGTAGAAAGTTAGTACTACCTCTGGATTTTCCTTTTGTAGGTGTCAGGTTAAAAGAGAGGTATTTTACAATTCCTACCCTCTGATCTAAGGAACCTTTTAAAATGTAATTTCAAAAATTCGATTTTCTTGAGGTGGTTACCTCAATTAGCATATCTATTAATGTAGCATCATAGTCATCTTTTGGCAGGCTTCATTTTAAAAGCAAAGGAGACAAATTGATTCCAATTGCAGGAATTTGCTTTATTCTATAGTAAAGTCCTTTGCATTATTCTACAATGTGTATGGTACCAAGTGTGCGCCTTTCTTTTTAAAAATTGCGTTACAATATATGAAATTATATCTGTATCTGAGCATCTATAAAAACAATTATTCTCGTCCAATAAGTACTAAATTGAAGCGAAAGCATTTTTAAAAGCTTTAAATTATATTTCTTTTTGGAAATCAAATATACCAAGAAATATTTGGTGCTGATGCCATCTAAAATTATATTTGTTTTTTCAAAAACATTCTAGAGTTGCACTCAAGTTTATAATGATGAATGAAAGCAGATCCTTACTTTAGGGTGGCTAATTTTGTTTTATTTTCCCTATTTAAATAAAACTATTTTGGCAACAAATTTCCCATTTATCATTCATCATTCAGTTAATGGAGAAATATTTATTGATTGTTTACTATGTGCTAGGTTCTATACTAGGTATTACATTGTTATAATAAAATGAATGTACTCTCTGTCCTCATGAAACTTTTAGTTTAGTGGGGAGGCAGACATTAGACACTTAAATGGCCAAATAGATACATAATTAGAAATGTCGATAAGTTCTATGAAAGAAACAGAGGACACAAAGAGAAAACAACTGGAGTTACACACTTTAATTTGCTTGTTTAGCTTGGGTGAATAAGAAGCCCTCTCTGGGGAAGCAATATTTAAGCTGAGATCTGAAGAATGAGAAGGAGCCAGCCACGCAAAAGATGGGTGGAAGAATGTTCAAGAAGGAAAGAACACCTTTTATGAAGATGTAAAACATGCTCAAGTAGCTAAAGGCCAGCGTGGCTAAAGACTGGAGAGATAGCTGGACACTAGCATGAGACGAGGTGGTGAAGGTAGGCAGGGATCAGATTATGCAGGATGTTGATGCCTGTGTTAAAGAATTGCATTTTAAATTAGTTGGATGCTGTGGGGTGCACCTGCAGTCCCAGCTACTCAGGAGGCTGAGGTGGAAGGATTGCTTACAGGAGTTTGAGGCTGCAGGGAGCTATGATCTAGCCACTGCCCTTCAGCCTGGACAACAGAGCAAGACCTTGTCTTCAGAAAAAAAAAAAAAAAGAATTTATATTTTATTGAAACTGCAAAGGAAAGTCATTAAAGGGTCTTCAGCAGAGGAGTAATATGATCATATTTACATTTTTAAAATTCTGATTTTGGCTTAAGAGTAGACAATGCATGGAGGTAGAGACGAATGGATATTATCAGATTTTGGGTAATAATTTCTGGCTGCTAAGAGGCATGCCCAAATGACCAAATGAATACTTAAAAGGCAAAAACTTCTGATCTCAAACTACAGTGTTTGTTGTACTCACACTACACCCATAGTAGTTCTCTTTTAAAAATTATGCATACATTTTTTATGGTGTTACACAAACTAAACAACTGTTGAAACATGCTTCTTTATCTTTGTTTATGAAATATGTTAAATGTAATACTCTAATGAGAGTTGCATTTGTTACCTATCTAGCTTCTATTTTGAAGGCCAAGTTTGCATATTATTTATATTTTGGTTCAAAAGAAGAGGCAAGCAGTTTCTGATAATTTGAGGGAACTAATATGACTAGAACAATAACAGAAGAAATTAAATTGGTCGATGAGTCTGTCTGAAATGAACAGAACAAGAGCAAGAGAAATGAGTCAGAGGACTATGGTCACAGAAATCTCTGAGATCTGTAAGAGAGGTAACTGAAAGATTGATAATTGATAGCTCGCAACTGAAGAAATATTTAAGACCTGATATGAATTCACCTTCTGTAATAGTCTGTTCTCACATTGCTATAAAGAAATACCTGAGACTGGATAATTTTTAAAGAAAAGAGGTTTAATTGGCTTATGGTTCTGCAGGGTGTCCAGGAAAGCATAGGGACTTCTGCTTCTGGGGAGGCCTCAGGAAGCGTCCAATCATGGCAGAAGGCAAAGGGGGAGCCTGCCCATTTTACAGGGCCAGAGCAGGAGGAAGAAAGATGGTGAGGGAGGTGCTACACACTTTTTTATTTTTATTTTTTATTTTTCCAATGAATGAAATCTATCTATCTTATTTATATATATATATTTTTTTAAATTATACTTTAAGTTCTAGGGTACATGTGCACAACGTGCAGCTGTGTTACATATGTATACATGTGCCATGTTGGTGTGCTGCACCCATTAACTTGTCATTTACATTAGGTATATCTACTAATGCTATCCCTCCCCGCTTCCCCCACCCCACAACAGGCCCCAGTGTGTGATGTTCCCCTTCCTGTGTCCAAGTGTTCTCATTGTTCAGTTCCCACCTATGAGTGAGAACATGCGGTGTTTGGTTTTTTGTCCTTGCGATAGTTTGCTCAGAATGATGGCTTCCAGCTTCATCCATGTCCCTACAAAGGACATGAACTCATCATTTTTTATGGCTGCATAGTATTCCATGGTGTATATGTGCCACATTTTCTTAATCCAGTCTATCGTTGTTGGACATTTGGGTTGGTTCCAAGTCTTTGCTATTGTGAATAGTGCTGCAATAAATATACGTGTGCATGTGTCTTTATAGCAGCAGGATTTATAATCCTTTGGGTATATACCCAGTGATGGGATGGCTGGGTCAAATGGTATTTCTAGTTCTAGATCCCTGAGGAATAGCCACACTGTCTTCCACAACGGTTGAACTAGTTTACAGTCCCACCAACAGTGTAAAAGTGTTCCTATTTCTCCACATCCTCTCCAGCACCTGTTGATTCCTGACTTTTTAATGATTGCCATTCTAACTGGTGTGAGATGGTATCTCATTGTGGTTTTGATTTGCATTTCTCTGATGGCCAGTGATGATGAGCATTTTTTCATGTGTCTGTTGGCTGCATAAGTGTCTTCTTTTGAGAAGTGTCTGTTCATATCCTTCACCCACTTTTTGATGGGGTTGTCTGTTTTTTTCTTGTAAATTTGTTTCAGTTCATTGTAGATTCTGGATATTAGCCCTTTGTCAGATGAGTAGATTGCAAAAGTTTTCTCCCATTGTGTAGGTTGCCTGTTCACTCTGATGGTAGTTTCTTTTGCTGTGCAGAAGCTCTTTAGTTTAATTAGATCCTATTTGTCAATTTTGGCTTTTGTTGCCATTGCTTTTGGTGTTTTAGACATGAAGTCCTTGCCCATGCCTATGTTCTGAATGGTATTGCCTAGGTTTTCTTCTAGGGTTTTTATGGTTTTAGGTCTAACATTTAAGTCTTTAATCCATCTTGAATTAATTTTTGTATAAGGTGTAAGGAAGGGATCCAGTTTCAGCTTTCTACATATGGCTAGCCAGTTTTCCCAGCACCATTTGTTAAATAGGGAATCGTTTCCCCATTTCTTGTTTTTGTCAGGTTTGTCAAAGATCAGATAGTTGTAGATGTGTGGTATTATTTCTGAGGCCTCTGTTCTGTTCCATTGGTCTATATCTCTGTTTTGGTACCAGTACCATGCTGTTTTGGTTACTGTAGCCTTGTAGTATAGTTTGAAGTCAGGTAGTGTGATGCCTCCAGCTTTGTTCTTTTGGCTTAGGATTGACTTGGCAATGTGGGCTTTTTTCTGCTTCCATATAAACTTTAAAGTAGTTTTTTCCAATTCTGTGAAGAAAGTCATTGGTAGCTTGATGGGGATGTCATTGAATCTATAAATTACCTTGGGAAGGCCATTTTCATGATATTGATTCTTCCTATCCATGAGCATGCAATGTTCTTCCATTTGTTTGTATCCTCTTTTATTTTGTTGAGCAGTGGTTTGTACTTCTTGAAGAGGTCCTTCACGTCCCTTGTAAGTTGGATTCCTAGGTATTTTATTCTCTTTGTAGCAATTGTGAATGGGAATTCACTCATGATTTGGCTCTCTGTTTGTCTGTTATTGGTGTATAGGAATGCTTGTGATTTTTGTACATTGATTTTGTACCCTGAGACTTTGCTGACGTTGCTTATCAGCTTAAGGAGTTTTTGGGCTGAGACGATGGGGTTTTCTAGATACAAAATCATGTCATCTGCAAACAGGGACAATTTGACTTCCTCTTTTCCTAATTGAATACCCTTTATTTCTTTCTCCTGCCTGATTGCCTGGGCCAGAACTTCCAACACTATGTTGAATAGGAGTGGTGAGAGAGGGCATCCCTGTCTTGTGCCAGTTTTCAAAGGGAATGCTTCCAGTTTTTGCCCATTCAGTATGATATTGGCTGTGGGTTTGTCATAAATAGCTCTTGTTATTTTGAGATATGTTCCATCAATACCTAATTTGTTGAGAGTTTTTAGCATGAAGGGCTGTTGAATTTTGTCAAAGGCCTTTTCTGCATCTATTAAGATAATCATGTGGTTTCTGTTGTTGGTTCTGTTTATATGCTGGATTATGTTTATTGATTTGCATATGTTGAACCAGCCTTGCATCCCAGGGATAAAGCCCACTTGATCATGGTGGATAAGCTTTTAGATGTGCTGCTGGATTCAGTTTGCTAGTATTTTATTGAGGATTTTCGCATCGATGTTCATCAGGGATATTGGTCTAAAATTTTCTTTTTTTGTTGTGTCTCTGCCAGGCTTTGGTATCAGGATGATGCTGACCTCGTAAAATGAGTTAGGGAGGATTCCCTCTTTTTCTGTTGATTGAAATAGTTTCAGAAGGAATGGTACCAGCTCCTCTTTGTACCTCTGGTAGAATTCGGCTGTGAATCTGTCTGATCCTGGACTTTTTTTGGTTGGTAAGCTATTAATTATTGCCTCAATTTCAGATCCTGTTATTGGTCTATTCAGAGATTCAACTTCTTCCTGGTTTAGTCTTGGGAGGGTGTATGTGTCAAGGAATTTATCCATTTCTTCTAGATTTTCTAGTTTATTTGTGTAGAGGTGTTTATAGTATTCTCTGATGGTAGTTTGAATTTCCGTGGGATCGGTGGTGATATCCCCTTTATCATTTTTTATTGCGTCTATTTGATTCTTCTCTCTTTACTCCTTTATTAGTCTTGCTAGTGGTCTATCAATTTTGTTGATCTTTTCAAAAAACCAGCTCCTGGATTCATTGATTTTTTGAAGGGATTTTTTGTTTCTATCTCCTTGAGTTCTGCTCTGATCTTAATTATTTCTTGCCTTCTGCTAGCTTTTGAAAGTGTTTGCTCTTGCTTCCCTAGTTCTTTTAATTGTGATGTTAGGGTGTCAATTTTAGATCTTTCCTGCTTTCTCTTGTGGGCATTTAGTGCTATAAATTTCCCTCGACACACTGCTTTGAACGTGTCCCAGAGATTCTGGTATGTTGTGTCTTTGTTCTCGTTGGTTTCAAAGAACATCTTTATTTCTGCCTTCATTTCGTTATGTACCCAGTAGTCATTCAGGAGCAGGTTGTTCGGTTTCCATGTAGTTGAGCGGTTTTGAGTGAGTTTCTTAATCCTGAGTTCTAGTTAAAAGGACCAGATCTCATGAGAACTCACTATCATCAGGACAATACCAAGGGACATGGTGCTGCCAAACCATTCATGAAAAATCCACCCCCATGATCCAGCCGCCTCTCACCAGGCCCCAACTACAACATTGGGAACTACAATTCAACATGAGATTTGGTGGGAACACAGACCCAAACCATATCACCTTCTTTTCAAAGGTTCAATGATGCCAAGAACTGAATAAGGCTTGAGTGAGGTTGGACTCAAGAGTTAGAGCATCTGCCTAGTGGAAGTCTAGAACAACCAAGGGTTAGAGGATGAGATGGAGGACTTGTGTCCAAAAAGGAACAGGGAGTAAATTCTAAAAGAAAGCAGAGATCCTGGTCATCCAAAAGTGGTGTCATCTCAAATTGAAGTGGGTTTCATACCAGGGATGCAAAGATGGTTTAATATACACAAGTCAATAAATGTGATACAACACATAAACAGAATTAAAAAGAAAAGTCACATGATTATTTCAATAGATACAGAAAAAGCATTTGATAAAACTAGCATCCCTTTATGATTAAAACTCTCAGCAAAATTGGCATACAAGGGACATATCTCAATGTAATAAAAACCATCTATGACAAACCCACAGCCAACGTAATACTGAATGGGGAAAAGTTGAAAGCATTCTCTTTGAGACCTTGAACAAGACAAGGATGCCAACTCTCACCATTCCTCTTCAACATAGTACTGGAAGTCCTAGCCAGAGCGACCAGTCAAGAGAAAGAAATAAAGGGCATCCAAATTGTAAAGAGGAAGTCATACTGTCGCTGTTTGCTGATGATATGATTGTTTACTTAGAAAACCCTAAAGACTCCTCCAGAAAGCTCCTAGAACTGATAAAATAATTCAGCAAAGTTTCTGGATACAAAATTAATATACAAAAATCAGTAGCTCTTCTATACACCAACAGCGACCAAGCTGAGAATCAGATCAAGAATTCAACCCCTTTTACAATAGCCGTAAATAAACAAACAAATAAATAAATAAATAAATAAGATACTTAGGAGTATACCTAACCTAGGAGGCAAAAGACCTTTACAAGGAAATCTACAAAACACTGCTGAAAGAAATCATAGATGACGCAAACAAATGGAAACACATCCCATGGTTATGGATGAGTGGAATCAATATTGTGAAAATGACCATAGTGCCGAAAGCAATCTACAAATTCAACACAATCCCCATAAAAAATACCACCATCATTCTTCACAGAACTAGAAAAAACAATCCTAAAATTCATATGGAACCAAAAAAGAGCCTGCAAAGCCAAAGTAAGACTAAGCAAAAAGAACAAATCCGGAGGCATCACATTAACTGATTTCAAAATATAGTATAAGGCCATGGTCACCAAAACAGCATGGTACTGGTATACAAATAAGCACATAGACAATTGAACAGAATAGACAACCCAGAAATAAACCCAAATATTTTCAGCCAATTGATCTTTGACAAAGGAAACAAAAACATAAAGTGGGGAAAGGACATCTTATTCAACAAATGGTGCTGGGATAATTGGTAAGCCACATGTAAGAGAATGAAACTGGATCCTCATCTTTCACCTTATACAAAAATCAACTCAAGATGGATCAAGGACTTAAATCTAAGACCTGAAACTATAGAAATTATGGAAGATAACATTGGAAAAACCCTTCTAGACATTGGCTTAGTCAAAGGTTTCATGACAAAGAACCCAAAAGCAAATGCAATAAAAACAAAGATAAATTGCTGGGACTTAATTAAATTTGAGAGATTTGGCACGGCAAAAGGAACAGTCAGCAGAATAAACAGACAACCCACAGACTGGGAGAAAATCTTCACAACCTATACATCTGACAAAGGACTAATATCCAGAATCTACAATGAACTCAAACAAATTAGCAAGATAAAAACAAACATTCCCATCAAAAAGTGGGCTAAGGACATGAATAGAAAATTCTCAAAAGAAGATATACCAGTGGCCAACAAACGTGAAAAAATGCTCAACATCACCAATGATCAGGGAAATGCAACTCAAAACCACAATGCAATACCACTGCACTCCAGCAAGAATGGCCATAATAAAAAAATTAAAAAATAATAGATGTTGACAGGGATGTGGTGAGCAGGGAACACTTCTACACTGCTGGTGGGAATGTAAACTAGTACAGCCACTATGGAAAACAGTGTGGAGATTCCTTGATGAACTAAAAGTAGAACTAACATTTGATCCAGCAGTCCCACTGTTGGATATCTACCCAGAGGAAAAGGAGTCATTATACGAAAAAGACACTTGCACACGCATGTTTATAGCAGCACAATTCACAATTGCAACAATGTGGAACCAACCCAAATGCCCATCAATCAACGAGTGAAATATATATATATATATGTATAAAATATGTAATATATATAATATGTAATATATTATGTATATATATACACACACACACACACACAATGGAATACTACTCAGCCATAAAAAGGAATGAATTGATGATATTCACAGCAACCTGGATGAGCGTGGAGACTATTATTCTAAGTGAAGTAACTCAGGAATAGAAAACAAAACATCATATGTTCTGACTGATAAGTGGGAGCTAAGCTATAAGGATTCAAAGGCATAAGAATGACACAATAAGCAGGGCATGGTGGCTCACGTCTGTAATCCCAGCACTTTGGGAGGCCGAGGCAGGTGGATCACGAGGTCAGGAGTTCGAGACCAGCCTGACCAACATGGTGAAACCCTGTCTCTACTAAAAATAGAAAAATTAGCCGCACATGGTGGCATGCACCTGTAATCCCAGCTATTCGGGAGGCTGAGGCAGGAGAATCACTTGAACCCAGGAGGCAGAGGTTGCAGTGAGCCAAGACTGCACCACTGCACTCCAGCTTGGGTGACAGAGTGAGGCTCCGTCTCAAAAAAAAAAAAAAAAGAATGACACAATGGACTTTGGGGACTCAGGTGGAAAGGGTGGGAAGGGGGTGAGGGATAAAAGACTACAAATAGTGTGCAGTGTATACTGCTCGGGTGATAGGTGCACCAAAATCTCACAAATCACCACTAAAGAACCTACTCATGTAACCAAACACCACCTGTTCCCCAGTAACCTATGGAAATAAAAATAAATAAATAAATAAATTTCACTTATGCTCTATAAAAAAGACTGTTTATAATGTGTCAACCTTCTCTTGACTGAATCCACAGCAAAAAGGACTTTCCAGACATCAGTCAGGATAGATGGGAAGAGACCTTAGTACCCCACATGGCCTGTATAAGTGGCAGAAGCCATTCCGAATAGGGTAGTGGAGCTGGGTAGATGAAGTTCATAGAGATCTTCAGACAGCAGTTGATATGCATGCCTTCCCTCCTTGGGCATTTTCTCACCTTGCTTCAAAACCAAGCAGAACTAAAGCAGAAAATCAAAGCTGCCTTACAAAATGAGAGAAAAAAAGCCCAGAGCGGAAGGGCCACAAACCTCTCTCAGCCTGCTTAAAAACAAATCCCAAACAAAGAAATTTCAGCTTCCAGTGAAAAGTAATTTCTGTGACTGTGAAACTCCTGACCATAGGCCAAGCAAGGTCATTCAGAAGGAACACATGAGAGTAGAGGCAAAAGCAAAATCAGTCAAATTGATTCTATGTCTTAAGATACCATTATTTCATGGTCATGGCAAGGGAAAAATATGATCTCTATGGATTTGATCTATTGCTACCTTATATGAACAGTCTGAAATGAAACAATGAGATTGTTTTCGTCCGTTAAGATGCCCCAAGGCAAAGCCTATTCAACTTTTTCCCCTCTTGAAACAAAGGTACTTAAATATTTGCAAGACTGGGGCTAACTGCAAAAAATGACTATAAACTTTACAGCTAGTCACATATGTTTCCACATAATTCACAGCTTGGTATACCCAAATATGCAGCAAATATCTTGGTAATAGTTTTTCTATAAGGACAATCAAGTTCCTAACAAATATCTATTTTACTCATATCTAAAAAGCAGTATTTTAATTTGCACATCATGCATCCTTTCTGAAAATGCCACAGAATGCCAACCTATACGCTAATCAAAAAAGTGCATACATATTTTGTTCTTCGAGTGCTTGAATTGGGTCAGATACTTAATTTTGCCAGGATATAAGAACATACTGTAGCAAATGTCTTACACTAAGACTGACCATCGTTGGTTTTGTTTTTGTGTATAATCTCTATTCCTAAAGATCATATTTTCAGTAAAACCTTTTTTGACTTGCTGGATCTGCTCAGTGCATCAGTGATAACAATATCATGGACTCATGTGAGGAAAGTAAGGAGGGCCACTTGACATAGGATGACAATGTATTGCTTGGAATTGTGCACAGGCTTGGAAGTCAGGAGACTTGAGAAAATTTTCTGGATTGATACTAATTCACCACGTGCGAACTTCAGCAGAGTAATTTTGGGCTTAGATATGCTATTTTCCAAGGGCATGGTGAAGATCTCTGGAATTCCTTGGAGGCATTTTAGAGATGACAGACAGTTAAGAGGGAATGAGAGGGAAGTCCTATATGGCCCTCTCAATCAAAATAGTTCTTCTTGATTTGTTTAACAGACTGAACTTCTGTGTAAGATTTAATTTAAAGCTAGGCTTCCATGAGCCCTGCTCTGATTATCTGAATATTTATGTCCCCTAAAAAATTTGTATGTTGAAATCATATCCCCCAAGATGCTGGTACTTAGAGGTAGGACCTTTGGGAGATGGTTAGGTCATGGGGGCAAAGCCCTCGTGAATGAGATCAGTGACCTTATAAAAGAGACCCCATAGAGACCCCTCACTACTTCCGCCATTTGAGGACACAGCAGAGAAGGAGTTATATATGAATGAGGAAACGGGTCCTCACCAGACATCGAATCTGACGTCACTTCAACCTTAGACTTCCCAGGCTCCAGAACTGTGAGAAATAGATGTCGATTCTTTGTAAGCCTCACAGTCTATGGTATTTTGTTATAGCAGCCTGAATGGACTGACAGGTCCTTCCACTAAATCACTAGATGAAGTGCCCCTCCCGCCAAGATCCCTTCAGGCTCCATCACTTTTTGACATTCTAATTCAACTTGATCTCATACCATCATTTTTGAATTCCAATCATTTGAATATTGTGGCTTCCCCTTTCCCTGAGGCCAGTGGAATATTTTCCCTCTCAGCCCTTTACGCCAGGAATATGTCAGCAATCTATGTGACAATGGGCAGTTCAGGTGCTTCTTTCTTGTTCACCTTGCAGTGATTTAACTCCTACCATCTTCTTTCTTGTTCACCATGTAGTGATTTAACTCCTACCATCTTCTTCACTACCATCATCTTTCCCTCTCTCCTTTCCTGTCACTGTGAGTGACACACCAGCTGATAGTGTTATGAATAGGAAGGTTTGGGCAGAGTGACTGTCAGAAATATTTTTACCGTGTGAAAGGACATTTGTGGAATGTTATGGCATCGTTGCCTCCTGCCCCTCAGAGAATGTGGCATTGAGTATTGGGCTCTTGCCACTGTATCCAGCATACCAAAGCGAGCTCCTGGCCTCATTGTACATTACAGAGTACTTAAATAATATCCTCATCTTATATATACACATGTATTTATTTTCATGTTCTTTCATATGCCCTACCTTAGATTTTACATTGTGACTTAAGTATGATTTAGCTGAAGTCCTCAGAATACTTCAGTAAAGCTATTACCAGAATTAGAACATTCCCCTGAGTTGCAGTGAGATTTGTGCTAAAGTTCACAATGCGAATTTGATAGCTCTAAACATGAGATATGTACTTGCTGCATTTACTGAAATCCCTGAGTCCCCTATCACTTTCCTTAGATTTCAAAGTTATGGGATTGTCCAGTATGTTTGCTAAGAATGACCTGATGTGACTCAAGTGTTATTCTGGGCACGATTCTGTTGCCAATTACATTGGTACACATGTTTTAATGTGATTCGGATTACTGATATAAATGCATATGATTACTTTGTGTTTTCTATTATATAACATTATATTTCCTTTAGACATTTCATTGTCTCAGGTTATAATATGACATCCTTATATAAAGCAGTTTTAAGGGGGAATTTATCTTCTCTCAGTGCTTTAACTTACCTACCAGATTTTATATTTGAGGCATCTTTTAGTGCCAAATTCATTAACCTGCAACATGTCTTGAATCATGTTTAAAATTATTTTAAGACATCCCCTACCCCACGCCAGAATAACCATGTGATAACCTTGAAAAATGTTTCTACTTTTTTGATTGATGGATTGATTTCAGGTGACAATTTATGGCTCATCACGACTATGTTAATAATTAGGTCCCAGATAATACATTGACATGGTTTCAGATATAAGTTTCCAACTAGTTTTGCTCAGAAGCGAAGTAGGTGGTTGCATATGTTGTGCGATCTGATGACCCTACATTTGAAAAGTATTCACCTCACAAGCTCATTTGAAATTGGAAGGTTGATCCCTACAGTCTTTGGTCTTCATGGGTAGTCTGTTGAAATGTAAATACCTCTAGATGGGCAGCCCATCAGCCTGCTGTCATTATCATTTTAATCTGGATTTATTTAGCAGATCTCTGAAAATTGGCTGAAATAGACTGGCAAGACAAAGATTTGATATCGGTTAAGGTGGATGACAAGTTTACAAGATTTGATATTGGTTTAAATGAAGAAAAGGTCTGTTTAAAGTCTTAGTAAGCCTAGTTTTGACTAGGCAAGGGAAGCATGCTAGCATACGGCATGTGAGTGCAGGCAGAGAAAGAGAAGTAACAGAATGGGTACACCAACTTTACCTAACCTCCATCTTTCTGGAAGTCAGCCCTTGTCTGTGACTTGTAGGGAACATTGTACTGCCTGCTTGTCACTCTGCCAACCATCCACCAAAGTAACTTTCAAGACTATCTTAGGGTCTGGGATTCTCTATGGGGGTGGTGAAAATAAAATTCTGTAACATCTTCCTTCTTTCTCTACTTTCTTAGCTGTCTTCTTGCCATTTTTGGAAAAGCTTTCCTTGAAAAATTTCTTGCTGCCTAATATTCTTGGTGCTTTAATCAAGGCAACACTATACAATCTTTACCACCAAATTTTCTCTTTAAAACAGATTTTATTTGATTGACCCACAGATAGGAGGGAGCCTAATACAGGCTCTACTGTTTCTTGGGGAAAGCCCTGAAAACCCTTGTCAATACTATTTTCCACATATTCTTTTGCTGTTGTTGCTACTCCTTTATCTTGATTGAACACAACCTCCAAGATTTTCTGTGCAAGGTTACTTGAGAGAGAAAATGTTAATTGACATTTTTCATATGTGAAAATCCCTTTATTCTACCATTATTAAGTTTGGCTGGTTATGGACTTCTAGGTTAGAAATAGCTTTTCCTTAAACTTTTGAAAACGTTGGCTCCTTGCTTTTGAGCTTCCAGTGTTGCCATTGAGTCAATATTATTACTTTGATTCCATGGTATTTTGAAACTTCACTATGGTATGTCTTTGTGTGATCTTTTTTTTTTTTTTTTTTTTTTTTTTTTTTTTGAGACGGAGTCTCGCTCTGCCGCCCAGGCTGAAGTGCAGGAGCGCGATCTCGGCTCACTGCAAGCACCGCCTCCCGGGTTCACGCCATTCTCCTGCCTCAGCCTCTGAAGTAGCTGGGACTACAGGCGCCCGCCACCACGCCCGGCTAATTTTTTTGTATTTTTAGTAGAGATGGGGTTTCACCGTGTTAGCCAGGATGGTCTCGATCTCCTGACCTCGTGATCTGCCCACCTGGGCCTCTCAAAGTGCTGGGATTACAGGCATGAGCCACCACGCCCGGCTGTGTGATCTATTTTTATTCATTATACTAGGCACTTGGTGGGCCCTTTCAGTTAGGAAACCTGTGTCCTTCAACTCTGAAAATTCTTCTTGCATTATTACTTGGATAATATCCTTTTACTCTTTCATTTCTCTTTTTTTCTCTGTAGATGTTATCAGCCAGATGTTGAACATCCGAGATTGATCCCCAAGTCATCTCTTCTGCTTATTTTCCATCTTTTTGTCTTTTTATTTTGATTTTCAGGAGGTCTCCTCCAACTTATATTCCAACACTTCTATTTTTATCTTATTTTTAATTTCCAAAAGTTTTATCTTATTCTCTGTATGTTCTTTTTTTAAGCCAATTTTTAATGAATGCTGTATATTCTCATCTCTCTAAAAGTTAGTTCTTAAAGTTTTCTTCTGTTCCCTGTATTGTCTCTGTTTCTGTCAAATTCACTTTCTTTGTTCTGTCGTTTTTATCTCTAGCCTCGATGTCTTATCACTCTTGATGGCCCATTTATATATAACAATAAGACACCAAGAAGCTGATTAGAAGTTCTGTGTACATGAGTAGGCACTGTTATATGGTGAAGTGTCCTTTAAGTTGGGAAGGCTACAACTCAGCTTTTTCACTGAGATTCTCAACAATATCAGTATATTTCAGTCCTTTTTATTAGACAATTATTTTCCACAGAAAGAAATAGTCCAATTTCCTATAGGTAATTATAAACCTGCCTGCAAGTATTCTGGGATATATGACAGGAATAAGGTAGGGACTGAAGATTGAACCTCTTGACATGCAGGTTTTCCAGATGAGAACATATCTTGGAAAGAGAAAAAAGAAAAAAGGAAAGAAAAATATGCATGTTTTGTATCCTCATTTTCGGTGTGGCAACTCACCCCACTTCTTATTCATATAAACTTTTTCCAGCAAGAAAAAAACCCTCCTGTCTTCTACATGCATTGGCAAAGGGAAATTACTCCATGGAGTACATGAGTGAACTTAGAAGGAAGGACTATATACTCCTTATACCAACTGATAATCTACTCTTCTGTTTTCAGTCCCACTCACACCCCTGCCCCTAGAGATTCTTGGTGCCTGCAAATCCTAAGACTTTCTGAGGTTCTGCAGCATGAATTGCCTCGCCTTTTGTTGGCTTCTACCCAGTTTCAGGCTTAAGTTTCAGTATTATCTATCTACACTGCTAAGTCATTTACCACCTGTCCATTTATTTTCTAGCTTACAAAATGTGTGTTGGTATTTCTCTTCTACTGTCATCTCCTCTCATGTTCTCTTTGTACTTTAGGATCTTTTATTACTTTTTAAAATTCTTGGCCTGGCTTGCTGGGTTATGCCTTTAATCTCAGCACTTTGGGAGGCCGAGGCAGGTGGATCACCTGAGGTCAGGAGTTCAAGACCAGCCTGGCCAACATGGTGAAACCCTGTCTATACTAAAAATACAAAAATTAGCCAGGCATGGTGGTGCACGCCTGTAATCTCAGCTACTTGGGAGGCTGAGGCAGGAGAATCGCTTGAACCTGGGAGGCGGAGATTGCAGTGAACCGAGATTGTGCCATTGTACTCCAGTCTGGGCAACAGAGCGAGACTCTGTCTCAAAATAAATAAATAAATAAATTTATTTGCTGCCATTTTAGTGAGGTTTCAGGAGTGAGTGGAGATACATATATTTGTTCAATCTTCTATGCTTACCTAGAGGTCTCCTCATTCATTTTACTAGCTGTATGGTATTCCATAGTTTATGTGGACCAAGCAGTGATACATAAAATATTAGATATGTATTAAGACCTGGGTCTCAAGCAATCAGAATGAGCACCAGTTATAGTGGTAACATATGGTCCTAAAGCCCCCTGCTGTGCAAGTGTTAAGACTTTAGTTGTTAGATTGTGTCGGGGTTCAAGGTATCCTGGGGAAAGAACCAAGATGACCAGAGTGCTGGAGGGGTGCACTCAGTGTATGGAATCAAGACAGAAACTATTAAGCTTATTTCAGCATTTTACCAACTATTTTATCTGCATTTGTGCATGCTTGCAAAATATCAATCAGGAATATGCCAGAATCCATTTATTCAATCCTTTACTAATGGACATTTATATTATTTCTAGCTTTTGTTTAAGTTTACAACAATGTGTGTGTGACAATCTCAAACACATCTCTTTTTGTACCTTTGGGAATATTACTGTAGCATTGCTTCTTAGTAGTACATTTCTTTCACTGGTTACCTTGGAAGCAACTAGTGGAAACAAAACAATTAGCTAATGATTTTTTTTTTTTTAAAGACAGGGTTTTATTCTGTTGCCCAGGTTGGAGTGCAGTGATGCAAACATAGTTCATTGCAGCCTTGAACTCCTGGGCTCAAGCAATCCTCCCACTTCAGCCTCTTGAGTAGCTAGGACTATAAGTGCATGCCACCATGCCTGGCTAATTTTTTAACTTATTATTATTATTATTATTGTTGTAGAGATGAGGCCTCATTATGTTGCCCAGGCTGATCTTGAATAACTGGCCTCCAGTGATCCTCCCACTTCAGCCTCCCAAAGTGCTGGGATTATAGGAGTCAGCCATTATGTCTGGCTCTGATTTACAAATATATATATATATATATATATATATATATATATATATCCTGTAGGCTGGGAACAGTGGCTCACGCCTGTAATCCCAGCATTTTGGGAGGTTGAGGTGGGCAGATCACTTGGGGTCAGGAGTTCAAGACCAGCCTGGCCAGCATGGCAAAATCCCGTTTCTACTAAAAATAAAAAAATTAGCTGGGCATAGTGGTGCATACCTGTGATCCCAGCTACTCAGGAGGCTGAGATGGGAGTATAGCTTGAACCTGGGAGGCGGAGGTTCTAGTGAGCTGAGATAGCGCCACTGCACTTCAGCCTGGGTGACAAAGTGAGATTCTCTCTCTCTTTCTCTATGTACATAACCTATAATTTAAGTTAATTCAACCTATTCTTTTTAAAAGTTGGTTCCGCGAATTCTGTTACAGGGACAATAGAATAGACGTACTTCTCCTTATTCTTTCTGCTGAGCACAACAAAAGGCTCTGCAAATCATATATAAAACAAAAGTAAGAAGTCTCTGAGAGGTAGATAAAAGAAAGAAGACTAGCTAGACCCAAGTAATTACATGATAACATGTCAGGGAACATGAAGACAAGTTCCCTGGGTAGATTTGTTTTTGTTTTTGTTTTTGTTTTTGTTTTTGCCTCACACATCCTAGATTTAGAACTGAAGACTGCAACCTGGAAATACTAAGAAGTACACACAAAAAAGCCACAACAAAAGCCTACTCTCTCTAACCAAAGGAAGAAGAAAGGAGCAGCCTAGAAAGGCAGGAAACTTTTAGACAATGTCTCTACAGGAGCCAAATGCCACCAATTAAAAATTGTGGCCCCAGTTGGTTGCAGTGGCTTATACCTGTAATTCCAGCACTTTGAAAGGCCAAGGCAGGAGGGTCACTTGAGCCCAGGAATTTGAGACCAGACTGAGCAACATGGTGAAACCCCACCTCTAAAATATATATATATATGTGTGTGTATATATATATATATGTGTGTGTGTATATATATATGTGTGTGTGTATATATGTGTGTGTGTGTGTGTGTGTGTGTGTATATATATATGTATATATGTATATATATATTTAGCCGGGCATGGTGGTGTTCATATGTAGTCCCAGCTACATGGGAATTGGAGGTGGGAGGATTGCTTGAGCCCAGGAGTTCAAAGTTACAATGAGGGAAGGGGAACATCACACACTGGGGCCTGTCGAAGGGTGGGGGTCTAGGGGAGGGAGAGCATTAGGACAAATACCTAATGCATACGGGGCCTAAAACCTAGACGATGGGTTGATAGGTGCAGCAACCCACCATGGCACATGTATACCTATGTAACAAACCTGCACATTCTGCACATGTATCCCAGAACTTAAAATAAAAAAAGTAATCCCATTTACAATAGCTACACATAAAATTAAATACCTAGGAATTAACCAAAGAAGTGAAATATCTCTATAATGAAAACTGTAAAACATGGGTAAAATAAATGGAAGAGGACACCAAAAAATGCAAAAATATTCCATGTTCATGGATTGGAAGAATCAATGTTGTTAAAAATGTCCATACTGTTAATTGCAATCCACAGATTCAATGCAATTACTATCAAAATACCAATTACATTCTTCACAGAAATACAAAAACAATCCTATAATTTATATGGAAGTATGAAAGACCCAGAATAGCCAAAGCTATCCTAAGGCAAAACACACACACACACAAACACACACACACACACACACACACACAAAACAAAAAACAAAAAACAAAAAACAAAAAAAAAACTAAACTAAAGGAATCACATTACCTGACTTCCAATTGTACTACAGAGGTATAGTAACCAAGACAGCATGGTATTGGCATAAAAAGAGACACCTAGACCAATGGAACAAAATAGACAACCTAGGAACAAATCCGTACACCTTCAGTGAACTCATTTTTGACAAAGGTGCCAAGAACATAAACTAGGGAAAAGAAAGTCTCTTCAATAAATGGTGCTATGAAAACTGGATATCCATATGCAGAAGAATGAAACTAGACCCCTATTTCTTGCCAGATACAAATATCAAATCAAAATGGATTAAAGACATAAATCTAAGACCTCAAACTATGAAACTGTTACAAGAAAACATTGGAGAAAAGCTCCAGGACATTGGTCTGGGCAAAGATTTTTTGAGCAATATCCCACAAGCACAAGCAACCAAAGCAAACATGGACAAATGGGATCACATGAAGTTAAAAAACTTCTGCACAGCAAATGATACAATGAAGAAAGTGAAGAGACAACCCACAGAATGGGAGATAATATTTGCAAACTACCCATCTGACAAGGGATTAATAATCATAATATATAAGGAACTCAAATAACTCTATAGGAAAAAGTCTAGTAATCCAATAAAAAATGAGCAGAAGATTTGAATAGAGATTTCTGAGAAGACGACATACAAATGGCAAACAGGCATATGAAAAGATGCCCAACATCAGTGATCATCAGAAATGCAAATCAAAGCTACAATGAGATATCATCTCACCCCAGTTAAAATGGCTTATATGCTGGCAAGGATGTGGTGAAAATGGAACCCTTGTATACTGTTGGTGGGAATGTAAATTAGTACAACCACTATGGGAACGATTTGGACGTTCCTCAAAAAACTAAAAGTTGAACTACCATATGATCCAGCAATCCCACTGCTGGGAATATACCCAAAAGAAAGTATATCAAAGAGATACCTGCACTCCTATGTTTGTTGCAGCACTGTTCATAATAGCTAAGATTTGGAATCAAACTAATGTCCATCAACAGATGAATGGATAAAGAAAATGTGGAGCATATACACAATGGAGTGCTATTCAGCCATAAAAAAAATGAGATCCATTCATTTGCAACAATATGGATAGAACTGGAGATCATTATGTTAAGTGAAATAAGCCTTGCACAGAAAAAGAAACTGCATGTTCTTACTTATTTGTGGGATCTAAAAATCAAACAATTGAACTCACGGACATAGAGAGTAGACGGATGGTTGTCAGAGGTTGGGGAGGGTAGTAGGGGGCTGGGGGTGATGTGCGGATGGTTAATGGGTACAAAAAATAGAAAGAAGGAATAAGACCTACTATTTGACAGAACATCAGGGTGACTATCGTCAATAATGACTTAATTGTCCATTTTAAAATAAAGAGTGTAATTGGATTGTTTGTAACTCAAAGGGTAAGTGCCTGAGGGGAAGGATACCTGATTCTACATGATGTGATTATTTCATATTGCATGCCTGTATCAAAACATCTCATGTACCCCATGAATATATACCTACTATGTAGTCATAAAAATTAAAAAAGAAAAAAAATTTAAAAAGCACTAAATTTCTGTGTACTCCAAATTGTCTACAATAACAATGTATGACTTCTATAAATTGCAAATAAAAACCTATTTAAAGTTAAAAACCTAACCTGCGTTAAAAGAGCTGTAGCCTTCTATGTAATTAAAGCCTTTAATAAATCAGTTATTCTTTCTGATATTGATTCTGAATAACCGATTCTGAATAATTTCATATTGTTGAAAAATAAACAGAATCCCTTGTAATTGTTGTCAAAGTAGAAATAATACACAATTAAAGTATTGTCATAGCCTGGTATGTCTTAGAATGAACAGGATTCTAATTTATTTGTAACTCTATAAATAATTTATAAATTTCATAAATAAAGCTATTTATTTATAAATACATATTCATGTAGTTGTATATAAATATGTCAGTTTCTGTGAAACACAAACATAAGTAAAATCGATGTCTTTTCTCAGCTTCATGGCAATGTATTCATTTTGACAAGAAGCAGCAAAGAGCAACAAGCATGAACTTTTAGAGCAAGAAGCCCTGGCTTCCAGTCAGTCCCTGGGTCATCACCTATTAGTAGTGTGACTCAGGTCAATTATTTTCTGTGACCTCTCATTTTCTCTTCCATAAAATGGAGAAATTAATAATTTCTTTCTTAAGGGTTCTCATGCAGATCAAATTAAATAGTGCACAAGAAAGCACTCTGCAAACAGTTAATTGCTATATTCACTGTTCTTTATTATTTTATTCTAGATGAGACAAACGGCACCCTTTGCTTTTCTTGGTAAATTCATGGATGCTTGCTAACTAGAATTCTGCAATCAGACAATATGCATGTAGGGAGAATTTTGTAGAATGTTATTATGCTTCAATTATATAAATGTCCTATTGTAGCCTCTCCTTTCTTTCCATTAAAAAAGTATTCTTTTAAAACAATTTGTCAGAAAGCTACTGGTGTGATGACACTGGTTTATTTAAACACTACCACGTTCCCTCCTTTCTATGAGGATCATTTGCAGTTTCACAGACAGAATTGCCTTTTTGAGGGTTTCCAAATTTAGGTTCAGTGTTTTTTTTCTCATCAATGTTGAGTTCCAACTTAGAATCTCATTCTAACCTGACTGATGACCTCTCCAAGTGGCCTTCCCGTCTGTGGAATAATCAGTTAAGAAAACAACCACAGTTATTATTTTTTTTTACAGGACTATTGAATTGAGTTGTGTTATAATGCTAAGAAAGGACCTCAAATAGATCTAGCAATGAATACAATTTTCGTGGGTTTCGTTGGGTGACAGTGAAACTGTTGCCTAATATAAAAATAGAAACATAGGAAAGAAATTTGTAAGACTTCCAAAATATCAGCCATTTCACATGATAGTTTATAGTGCCTGGCTCTCTTGGGCATTGTAGTATTTATGTGTGTTTTGTTTGTTTGTTTCATTTTCTATTTGGAGCTAAAAAGACCTCGTGTTCATGTTGATGTAATGACAGACAAGGCTTTTTACTCTCCAAGTGCTCCAGAGCATACTCTGGGGTGTAGAGGATGTGAAATGCATAAACAGAATGGCTCCATAGCAAGTGCCAAACACAGGGTTACCTTCCTTTTGTTGCCCTCAGGTACATTCATTCATATTCATATCATCATCCTATGTACTAGTGCCCTCTTGTGAAAGATGTTGTTATGGGTGCACATTTTGTAGACATTTTGCCTATTTCTTCTCAAAAAACAAAAGTTAATGTATACCAACAGTGATTGGCTGGGCGCCATGGCTCACGCCTGTAATCCTAGTACTTTGGGAGGCCAAGACTGCCAGATCGCTTGACTTGAGCTCAGGAGTTCAAGATCAGCCTGGGCAACATGCTGAAACTCTGTCTCTAAAAAAAAAAAAAAAAAAAATAGAAAAACTAGCCTGGCATTGGGGGCACATGCCTGTAGTCCCCACTACTCAGAAGGCTGAGGTAGGAGGATCAACTGAGCCCAGGAGTTCGAGGCTGCAGTGAGCTGAGATCATGCCACTGCACTCTACCCTGGGTGACAGAGCCAGAGCCTGTCTCAAAACAACAACAACAACAACAACAAAACAGTGACTGAAGCATCTTTGTCCATCCCTTTCTCCTTCCTCCTTTTCCTTTTTGTTTTTTATATGTTCTCCCCTTCCATTTCCTCTCTTTATGCATTTTCTTTGCTTCGAATCATTCTCACCCTTCTTTATGTTATTAAGTATTTAGAAACATGAAGTTGATCATGAAGGATTTGAAAATTCTTCCCCATCTCCCACTGAGAATACAGAGGTATTGGAAAACATAGAATCATTGGACTCTTTAGGCCTTTTTTTTCAGATTCATCTCCATGGCCTGAAGTTATGGTGAACTGAGAGGAAGGGGTATTATTCTGGGGACCAAAATAATTACTGTCAACCTTTAACTTCAAGGTTTATTACAAGTTGCTGAGCCAAAAGTAAATCTGTAGAAATGTCCCACATGCAATATTTTTCTTAACAGAATGGGCCTCAGTTTCTTTGTCTGTAAAATGGGGTTGAAGATACTAACACATAATTAATAGTAATTATGGGAGAAAGGAACCAGATTGTCACAGGGCTTTAACTATCTTAAATTACAAGACAAGAAATGTGGACTTGGCTGTTACACAACAGGAAATCATCAAACTTTATTTTTAGCAGGTTAATTTTTAGAAAATTTATATCATGGCAGTGTGTGGCAGGGATTAGGATCAGGAGAGACTAAAGGTGGGCAGGTTATTTGACATGTCTAAGTAATGTGTAATGATAATAATTGCTAACATTTATGGAGTGTTTACCATATCCCGGGCATTTTGCTAATCTTTTATCTGCCTTATCTCATTTTATTCCTTCAGCCACCCTATGAGATAGGCAACATTTGTTATCTACATTTTACAGATGAGGAAACTGAGCTACAGAACAATGAAGAAATGTACCCAAGCTGTTACTTAGTATGAGGTCACCAAAGACGAGATCAGTAAGTGGTAGAACTAGAATTTGGCCATAGGCTGTCTGGCTTAACTACTGTGATGTACTGTCTCTAATGCATCAGTCAATATTTCCCCAAAGTGCCATCCGTATTCACTCATTAGCATTACTTCAAAGAGTATTTAATGATTTTGGAATTTTCTATGTAGAATGATTTTTTTAAGTAGTCTTACATGATGTGGGTATTATGTGTCTTGAATTTGTGATTTTTTTTTTTCAGAGAACGGAAGCTTTATCCCTCAAGCATAAAAAAAGATTGTTTATGGTGAAAATTATATTAAAATATACTTTAAGCTTCACTGCCTTTGTAAAGGGTTTTCTTGAATATGATTGATTCAAGGTTTTTATAAATTCTTTTACTGTTATGGCAAACCTTTGGAAACTATTAGGGTTTGGAATATTGTATGAACCTAAAGTGACTAACTTCAGATTAATTGCTTCTTTCTTCTTTTCTTTTCTTTTTTTTTTTAATTTCTGACTCTCTAACTCAGTGATTCTCTCCATTGTTAGGGAGGATTTAGTTTCTTCTTTGGCTATAAGCCCTCAGACCGGTAACTAATAGATGCTTCTTGTTTCCTTCCTTGTGCTCTGCTGTCTCTGATCACTGACGTCAGGGCATCTGCTGCTTGCTATCCTTCTTGTATTTTATAACAATGATTCCCTTTCCCTCTGCTTCTCTCTCTTTCATTCTCTTTCTCTGATCTCTCTCCTTTTCTTCCTATTCTTCTCAGTTTTGTTGCTAATGGGTCTGGATTTGGCTATCCAGGCTAATCCATCGGATATTCCCTCTTTCTAGGAAAAAGAGGGGTGAGGTGGTTTGTGTGAAATTTGGCTCATTACCTCTGGCCAGTGAAATACCATAAACACAAGACCTATAAACTATGCACCTTTAATTAACTCTTGGCTATTTTCATGATTTCCCTTATTTGGCGGGTTCTAGGTTGCTTTGAATAGCTGAGGTTACTAGACATCTGAATCTGAAAAATCATAGCTCTATGTTATTTCTTTCTTTCTTTCTTTCTTTCTTTCTTTCTTTCTTTCTTTCTTTCTTTCCTTCCTTCCTTCCTTCCTTCCTTCCTTCCTTCCTTCCTTCCTTCCTTCCTTCCTTCCTTCCTTCTTTCTTTTCTTTCTTTCTTTCTTTCTTTCTTTCTTTCCTTTTTTTTTTGATATGGAGTCTCGCTCTGTCGCCCAGGCTGGAGTGCAGTGGCGCGATCTCCGCTCACTGCAAGCTCCGCCTCGCGGGTTCACGCCATTCTCCTGCCTCAGCCTCCCGAGTAGCTGGGACTACAGGCGCCTGCCACCACGCCCGGCTTATTTTTTGCATTTTTAGTAGAGACGGGGTTTCACCGTGTTAGCCAGGATGGTCTCGATCTCCTGACCTCGTGATCCGCCCACCTTGGCCTCCCAAAGTGCTGGGATTACAGGCGTGAGCCACCGCGCCCGACCACTCTATTTTATTTCTGAAATATAAAGTTGAATTCTGGCATTTAACTTTGAAGACTCTAAGCTGTGTTACCTTTAGGTTTAATTATTTCAGTATTAGTATAATAGCAATGTAGCTGATGTATTCCAAATATTTGTATGTGAAATAATTATTAGTCTTTTAAATATTTTCCATTTTTAAAATATATCAGTTCCTGATTATAAGATGACATTATTTTTTGTTAGTCACTCCAGAAATTTTTAAAAAGCACTCAAAGCTCCCAGTGGTTCTAATATAATTGTATGGGCTCAATTAATGTTTGCTAAAATTGCTTAGAAAATATCTGAATCAGCCTGGCGCGGTGACTCACGCCTGTAATCCCAGCACTTTGGGAGGCCAAGGCGGGTGGATCACGAGGTCAGGAGATCGAGACCATCCTGGCTAACACGGTGAAACCCCGTCTCTACTAAAAAATACAAAAAATTAGCTGGGCGTGGTGGCGGGTGCCTGTAGTCCCAGCTACTCCGGAGGCTGAGGCAGGAGAATGGCGTGAACCCGGGAGGTGGAGCTTGCAGTGAGCCGAGATGGCACCACTGCACTCCAGCCTGGGCAACAAAGCGAGACTCCGTCTCAAAAACAAAAAAAAAAAAAAAAAAGAAAATATCTGAATCATACTTAGCATATTACTGCATTAAATTTTTAAGGACCATTAACTTTTAAAGGGAGTTTTGTAGCACTCAGATCTATTTGTGAAGTAGTAAGGTTTAGTTTAAAAGCAAAGCAACAAAATGAAACTAATTCTGATTCTTTGAAACAAAAGACTTTTTCCCATAAATCAAAACTGCATACATTTATAGATACAAATACTTCTTAATAAAATAACTTCCCTTTAAAACTGGCTTTCAAATATTACAATTCCTCATCTTTGTTCTTCTATATATATAAAACAAGCTTGATCATACTTGTCAGTTTAAAACTAAACCAAAAATAGGTCTTCAGAAAGGCATCATATATGATGTTTAGTTTTAAACTGACAAGTATTATCAAGCTTCATCTAAATTAAAGGTAGGAAAAATGGAGACTTTCTGTGCCTTAAACTTGTTCGAAAACATAAAGCTATTTTATCACTAATGGATTTCTTCAGCACAACCATGCAAAATGGCCCTATCACTGCTTTATTTAACAAGCTGTTTTTATTTGTACTAGAATCCTCAAATGAGAAAGGGAGTATATTCCATTCTGTTTACATTGGTTGTAAATCAGGCCAGAAGACCAGAAGCGAATCTTCACCTTCAAAGGAAGAGTTCTCTTTGATAGGAGGAAATCTTTTTAAGTAAAGCAAACCTTTTGATTTATACATTCAATTGGAAAGGTGCCCTTGCGACTAGCCTCTGGAACTATTTTACCTGAAGAATTACCAAGAAGATAATAACTTTTTCAAGAATGATTTTTCCAGGAAATTGGATCACTTTCGAAAAATGAAAAATATTATAAATGGTGTGTGGAATGGTCCTGCAGAATTAAAACCTAAGATTATATCTACTGTGGCTGGGTCAGCGGGGCAGTGGTGCTGGCTGAGTGTTACATTACCTTGAGGTCATCGTTACGGGTCATGAGGGGTTAACAACAAAATGCAAGGCAGAAGCATGGTTGGGTAGGCTGTGTCAATCACTGTGAATCTGTGTAGCAGGCTTACAGGAGTAAAATGATTTTGTTCTTAATCCTAGGGCTCCAGGTGGTATTTTTGGACTATAGAGAGGCATCGAGGATTGAGGTCGTAAAATCAACACAGAAAAAGTTCACTGAGGCCTTGAGATGTCTGGGGCTGCAGTTGCTCTAACAACTAGTTGCAACCTAGATGGAAAATATACTTAAATCTCTTTTGCTAGTCTTCATCTACTAATTAGTAGTGGATGTCCAGAGCTTTGTGATGAGAAGGATTTCCAGGCTTATTGGGAAAGAGAGTTGAGATTAGGTAACAATGCATGACACAAACCTAAAAGTAGGAAGCCAGTGCAAATTTGCCAAGTGGCCATCATTCCTGAACTGGGAGTTGCTGCTGTCTCTTAGGCTCAGTGCTGTGTTGCCTGGCCAGCTCTTCACTGATGTCCAGTCAGGTTCACTTATCTTCACTAAGCTGTGAACAGGCTGATTTTTCTCCATGAAAAATAAGGAGGCTCTGAAGGGAATCTGACCACCATAGGGCTTTAGAGACCCATGCACGTACTTTTCTGTTTGTTGATGGGCTCACTCTTTGAAGGTTAGACAGGAAGGGTGGTCATATTATCCTTTAAAAAAAAAAAAAGATGATCCATGTATTGTGAGACTGGCTTCTGACACCATGGTGCCATACCCTTTAATGAACCAGGTGGATAGCTGGTTTCTGCCTTTAACTGCCTCTAACTTCTATTTTTGCGGGGGGACAGAGTCTCATTCTGTTGCCTGGGCTGGAGGGCAGTGATGTGATCTCGGCTCACTGCAACCTCTGCCACCCGGGCTCAAGCAATTCTTGTGCTTCAGCCTCCCAAGGGATTACAGGCACGAGGCCACCACAATTGGCTAATTTTTGTATTTTTTGTAGAGACGGGGTTTCACCATGTTGGCCAAGCTGGTATCAAGCTCCTGGCCTCAAGTGTTTCCCCCGCCTCGGCCTCCCAAACTGCTAGGATTACAGGAATGAGCCACCGTGCTTGACCAAACTGACAGTAACTTTTAACTCCCCAGATTAGTCAGATGGCTTCACTCCTCTACTTTGCCACATGTGCTCTTCAATGATTATTTTCCTAGCAGCAAGTGTTTGCGTGGATCAGAATCAAGATTTATTTGATAGCCAAAAACTCACATCCATTCTCCTGTCCACGTTGTCCTCTGCTTTTGATTCTAGGGGATCTCTTGGGCCCTAACCACTAGCCAAGGGCTTTACCAGCCATCTGTTATTTGGAATATGACCACTTCAGGTTCTTTTCTGCTTGCTCAGACTTTGACTATCTATTTTCTTTCCTTAACCATTGGTATATATATATTCCAGGTTTTAATTTCCATGCCTGCCTAGTTTCTGGCCCACAGTTTTCCATGATATCCCTGGTAACTATGAATCTTTCACTTGTAACTCATTGCCTCCTGTAATCTTTAATTTATCAGTTCTTTTAGACTGTGAATTTCACATCTTACGAATACCCTTAGTTCCAATTCCCTACTCTCTTGCCATAATGCACAGTCTCCTAATGTTGACAACAAAAACCCAGTCAGGTGAATTAGAAAGTTAGCATGGGATCAGGTGAATGTTGAATGTGGACTGTGCCATATGATCAGCACAGTGGCATGTACAGAGGAAATGAGGGTCTTCAGATTCCAGTCCGGGGCATTTAAACCAGAGTACCAAGGCTACAAGCTCCAGCAATGCCCTTTTAGCACACTGAGAATATTATATTTGAATTCGAATCACATGTTGAAGAGAAACATGCATTCAACCAGAAAGACAGAAGGATGGAAGAGTGAGAATAGGCTTATAGATTTGGACCTAGAGTGAGTCAGTAATTCTTTAAAATGTGGGGTTCTGTACTATGGTGAAACCACTTTATTTCTATGCTTGTGTGTCCAAAACATAATTTAAGAGTGAAAGAGACTTTAAGGATCATATAGCCAAATCTCCTAATTTTACAGATGAAGAAACCAAAGCCTGGGGAGGTTAAGTGGCTTGTCCAAGGTCACATAGTTGGCTGGTGGTACAGCTAGGACTAGAAAGAACCCAGGTCATCTTACATGCATTCCTTTGTAGGCACTACTCTGTCTCTCCACAGTTGCATTGTTTTCAAATTATGAGTGATTCAGCTCACTTCAAAGGGCAAAGAACTAATTTCCTTCTCATTGAAATGAAGCAGTCACAGGGTTTCACACAAGAAAATTGAAAAATGATATATGTGGCTTATTTCTTTGTTTCTTTCTGTTTTTGTCTCTGGATCAAGAAGGAAAGGAAGCTAGCAAAACAGTTGGAAGCAAGACAAGGCAATCGGACGGCTGCCATAGAGCAGAGGGCATATACATCAGGGAAAGCAAGCAAACATCTGCTCACTTCTGGACTGTAAACAAAAAGTTGCATCTGTCTCTCTCAGTGGAGAGATGGACCAAGGCTGCAGCTGCCAGGATCTCTGCTTCTAAATTGCTTAGAACCTAGATGTGGGTGCTGATATTTAAGGGAGTGGATCACTTCTTATTTAGTGCACCAACTTTGGTAGTGAGGGAGAAGGACAACTTGGAAGAGGTCCAAATCTAGTTGGAAAATGTGGTTCTTCTTTTAACAAAGGGAAAATGTGGTGTCCTGGTTGACCAGAGCTTTCCCTGATTTATTGTGAAACTGTTTATCTCGGAGCTTTACTTAGGATCACATGCAGTCTGTCTACCTATTACTACATTGGACCTACTGACCTCATTTTTTCATTTCGTTGTCATTGTTTTTGCTGTTTGTTCATTCATTTATTGTTTCAGCATTTATAAGTGCTTGCTACAGTCTAACAACTATTCTAGATGTTAGAGATGCAATGTGAAAATGAGTCCCAGTTCTTATTTTGGAGAGGTTGTTGTCAAGTAGGTGAGAGAGAGATGAGCAAACAATACAGCCTGATTGAGGATGTGATCAAGATATACTCAAGGTAGTAAGGAATAGCAGAGGCAAGGCAGCTACCTATCTGAGGTGGACAAGAAAGACTTTCTGGAGAGGTTAGTTGGGCTTGACTTAATCTTGAAAAAAAATAGGAGCTGGGCAGCAGGTGAAGAAAGAAATCAAAGAGAAGAATTCACAAAGCAAAGAGGCTGACACCCTGGAGCATTTTGGGAATCTACAAGGTATTCAGTGTGGCTGGCCAGTAGAGTTTGATGGGTGGGGTAATGAAAGGCGAATCTGGAGAAGTAAGGAGGGGCAAGGGCTTTGTATGCTGAAGATGTTTGAAAGTCAGTGAAGATTACTAAATATTAGGCCTTCTAAACATTCCTAAACTCCACACTTATTGTAGGGGCAGTATTCTGTTAGTGGAAAGATTATGGCCTTTGGAGTCAGAGAGATGATCCATGTTTAACCGTTATTTAACTGTGGGCCTTGGCCAAGTTACTTCACTACTTTATTCATGCTACTTTGTCTCTAAAAATGAGGACAATTATTTCTGCTTCACTTGTGGGGAAGAGTTAATAATATATGTGAAATCACCAAGCATAGAACTAATAGATAATCAATGCATATTCATCTTACACTCTCCTTCCTCTTCTTCCTTACTTTCTTCTATTTGCATCCTTTCTAGTCTTTTCTTTCTTCCTTCTCTCCCTCTCAAGATTCACTCTGTTTACAGAAATGGTGAGTGTTCTGCATGTCTTGACATTCTTGTTTATTAAATGGATGACATTTAGAAAGCAATTTTGTGCGATTTCTATCCTCGTAATAGTAAATGTACCAGACCACTGCAATGTCCACAACTGAGTGAATCTGCTTGCTGTTGCTGGATGACATATTTCAATGATCTTGTCATGGAAATGAGGCATTTTTACAATTTAAAATCAGAACTTTACCTGCCAAAAATTGTTGCAGCTGTGGTAGGATTGAATTCATCTTAGTACTCTCCCTGTCTCCAAACCTATCAAATTATCAGCAGCCATGCCTTTTGGAAAAAAAAACTAGATATTTTTTGCTTAATTTTGTTTCCAATGTTACCATATGCAATTCTTTTGTTTGTGATATGAAGATATCTGAATATTTTTATGATTAAATGTAAAGGTCATTTCCAATATACTGTGTATGGATAAAAAATTTTAAGAAGCTAAAATAATGAATAGGTTTAAGGTTAATTAGTTTCCATAATATACTAAACTTGAGTGACTAAAAGATTCTCAGTGGCTTCTAAATAGGTTGAGTATGGAGTTCACATAGATGACTTTGGAGCACTTTTCTTTACAATTACCTAATTTGTTTGGTTCCTAGACTCAGAGACTCTTGGTTTTGGTGTAGGAAGGAACTTTCACCGTTATCTAGTTTCCGGCCTCCTGTCTGATGCTTGTGCCTCCTCTAAAGCATCACTGCCAATTGATTATGGAGCCTCAGCTTTACCAGAGTTAGTGAGAAGATGGACACTCTAGTGCTTAAGGCAGGCCATTGTATCTTTGGGCTGCTTTTATTATTTAGAAGGTGTTTCTTGACATTGAAGTAAAATGTGTTTTTATAACATTTGATCCTAGATTTATGACTTATAACCATGTAGAATAAATCTTTTTTTTCCACTTAACATTTGACAAGGTTTCTTCTCCACGTGAATCGTCTTTACTCTCAGCTCAATATTTCCATTTCAACCAATGGTTACTGCAAGACTTGATTTCATGTTTCTCTACTATCCCTGTGAAGTGCTTATGAATATATTTACCCGTACACTTCTGAAAGGGTAGCACCTACAATACTGTATATACTCACAGTAGGCTGCAGTCACTGCAAAGTACTATCATGTGCTTTGTTCTATGCTTGCAGCCTAACATCAAATTAGCTGCTTTTGGTGACATGGTCACAATGTTATCTTAAGTCAAGCTTACTATTGACTGAAACCCTAATTTAAATCTTCTATTAGATACTATTCATTACAAACAGCTCCTCATGCTCTTTTGAAAACTTTAGTTATGATTTCTAATATATCTTATAGCTCTCTCATCTTCTGCCATGTCCAAACATGACAAGTCAGTCTTCTCTTTCTTTATCTAGAGAATTGGTAAAATTATTGAACATAAAAGAACCATAAAATTTCCCATTGGAAATATTTTAGCGCATTAGATCTTAACTGGGATCCATGAGTATAATCTCAGATTCTATAGAAGCTTGATGAATTTTCTGCAAAATATGTACATATTTTTTTTCTGGAAGAAAGCTCCATAGCTTTCATCATATTCTTAAAGGTATGCATGAGCTAAATAATATAGAGACTCCTACTGTAACAGGACATCAAAACACTCTGGCTATGGTCATTTATTCACTTAAAAAATCTATTTAAATAGTTTCCAGTCAATGTCTCTCCATCTTGAATGAATGGCTGTCATAGAAAACCTGGTAAAACACCTGCGAGTGTGTGCACATTACATTATCTAGTGCCTGGGATAATATATGCAAAGCTAGTAAAGAGCTTGGTGTGTCATAAAGGCTCAATACATTTAAATCGGCTTCTTTTTCCAATGTTTTTATGCTGCCCTAACCTTGTGTTATCTGTAGGAAAAACAAGAACTCTTCCTGGAGCATAATACTCAGAACAGGACCTCTCTCCTAGTCTGGTCTTCTGGATAGCTAGGCTGCCCCTCTCAAGTCAGTAGCCTAATGTCCATTCTTTGGCAGTTCTTGGCACTTTGCTGCCTTTGAACAGCCACTGTTTACACCGAATTCCATGATACTTGGCATGTTCCCATTGTGATGCCATCTTGAGCTAGATTCAAATCATAATTGATGTCACGATCTATTTGGTTTTCAGGGAACTAATAGATATTCCATGCAAACTATTTCTACCTATATCATTCAATATTAGTGAATCTAAGTCTGTTAGTTTGATCTGTTTCCTTCCCTTACTTTAGTTTGTCCTAAATTAGCCTTAGTTATCTCATTGGTAAAATGGGGATGACTATAGTACCTTACTCACAGGGTACTGGTGGGATTAAATGAGATATTTCATGTAAAGTGCTTAGCACAGTGCCTGACACATAGTAAGCACTCAGTAAATAAAATGGTAGATACATGGACACACATAAATAGGAATGCATAATAATGGACTTCTGAATCCTGTGAATAGGATCCTGAGTTCAATTCCCATTGCTTCTGCTTATTAGTTACCAGTGATTCCCATCTCTTCTTATTGCCATTGAAAATTTATTGCTCTTATATTCTTTCCATTCAAATCCTTGTTTCCCACTTATATAACTGTTTTTATAACCACACATATTAAAATAGAGAAATAGCTATTTGTCTCTCTCTGCCTTTTGATGGGTAAGTCCCCTCACCAATCCCTATGAAACAGGAACATTTATTATTATCTTTTTACACATGAGGAAAAGTGAAGCTCTGAGAGGCATCTCTAACATCATCTGGTATACTGTTTGAATTACAATCTCCCCTGGTCATCAAACTGAGCCTCTGTCTCAAGGCACACCAATATCTTACTAATCTTGGGTCTCTGCTTCCCACCCAAACTATATTAACCTGAGTCTTTGACAACTCTGCATGGCTACAGTTAGTCCCTGTCAGTCTCTTCCCACAAAGCAACATATTTTATTCCTTGGACCCAACATTTGTTGGCTCAAGAGGTCTCTGAATGAATCACTTACTTTAAACTATGATGTTTCTCCCTTTCTGGCTTCAGGTGTTGCCTGCTTGGGACTTCCTGTTGCTATGTGCCACAGGGAAGATTTACTCTGTGAGCTAATGGAGCTAATGAGGCCAATTGGAGCCAAGTATGAGGTACCCACAGCCTGCCTTGGTGTTTATTCCTCATCCTCCCCTCGGGCCCACACTGCTACAATCCCATCGGAACTTATACCTAAACTCACAGGGAATGAGAAAAGGATAACTTCAGACTGTGTAGATGAACTTTCTTTGGATAAGGCCCTTCCTTGAGGCTTTTAAATTTCACTTTACATTTCTCTACTTATTAACTCAATTATGCAACCTAGAAAAGCATTATACAGAGCTTTTTAAATTATTTGCCAAAGTGGAATAATGCTTTTGCCCAAATTAGTTATAATTTTGTGATGCAATTTTTTTCTTCAAAATTCTTCAATAAAGAAATTAATATGATCACTTCAGTACAGATTTTAGGAAAAAAAGAAATGAATATGTTAAATCTATAGCCACCTTCCTTTATAGACTTGCACCTATTTAGAGTAGGGACTTAAAAATGAAACCAAAGCTTACAGCTATTGTAATGATCAATTGTATGCCTTCTTATTCTTATAAGCATCTTCTTATAAAAAATAGATTTTACCAATCTTTTCTGTAATTGTGGTCTTTGTGATGAAAACAAGCTTGCCTAATGTGAAAAATACTGTCAGATGTTGACATTCTAGGAAATCTCGCTTTACGTATTGAGAGTTCCAAAACTGAAGGGAATCCCAGTTTTGAGGAGAAAACTGAGAGGGAAGATCAACACCGAAGAAAGAGTGAAGCCACCTTTCCACCTTTGCATATGATGGAATTGAAATAACTTCTAACTTTAAGGATTTCTGAGACAGTTTTTGCCATGGCAACTAACACCATAGAATTTATATAGTTGATGAAAGAAGAGAATAAACTTTTATGTTCTGATCTATTAAATTGATCTAGATTTTGTCAAGATATATATCAAAGAATCAAGATAGTGAGGTTCACAGCTTCTTGATAGGTTTTATGTATAGTTTGAAGTTTATTTTGGTACTGAAAAGAGGTTAAATTCAAAGAACTTTTTTTTTTTAATCTCAAAATCTTAACGGAGATGAATTGCTTTAGTTTTGTGAAACCCTACTCTTGTGGGAGTTGGTAATTTATTGTAAACTGTTGGAACTAAGGTGATTAAAGGTCTAGAGGTTAGTGATCAGTCATTTTACAAGTGATTATGTGTCTTTAATGTGCCCAGCACTGTGCTTGCAGTCATGCTAAGTAAAATTTGCAGTTTATTTAGGGAAAGATTGAGATAGATGCCATTTTACATCTCCTATTACATATTCTTCTATATATGTTTTCAGAGTTTCTGCTTGAAGTTGAACCTAAAGCAAGTGAATAAAAGCAAGTTTGAAAGTAAGATAGGAATTTGGTTAATTTGAAATAACATAAGGTTTACTTTCATGACTTAGAAATAGTCAGGAAAGCCAAGGATGGAAAAAATAATCAAGGCAGGGATCAAACATCCTCCTATTTACACCTATACTCCAGTATTAGTTTTTGCTATCGTTGTCTCAGTCAAGAGAGGAAAGGGATTAGAAACGATTATGGGAATCAGAATAGAGACATGCCTTGCTTTGTCTTTTCTTTTCCTTTCTTTCCTTCCTTCCTTCCTTCCTGCCTGCCTTTCTTTCTTTCTTTCTTTCTTTCTTTCTTTCTTTCTTTCTTTTCTTTCTTTCTTTCTTTCTTTCTCTTTCTTTCTTTCTCTCTCTTTCTTTCTCTCTCTCTCTTTCTTTCTTTCTTCTTTCTTCTCTCTCTCTTTTCCCTCCCTTCCTTCCTTCCTTCTTTCCCTCCTGCCCTCCCTCACTCCTTCCTTCCTTTCTTCCCTTTTTCCTTTCTTCCTTCCTTCTTTCAGCTGTTGTTTTTTCCTATGTATCTGAGAGACTCTCACATTTAAGGCCGAGCTATAGTCCTAGTGCATTCTTGTCACCGTGAACTCCTGTTCTTCTAAACTCTTGATGGCATAGATACCATTCATTTTTAAAACAGTTAACCATCTCCAACTCCTGCTTATGTTGCTTTGTTTCCTTCATAGTGCTTTGCACATGGTAGGCACTCAAATTTTTTTAAAACTACTTTTTTTTATTTTATTATTATTGTTATTTTTGACACAGAGTCTCACTCTTTCGCCAAAGCTAGAGTGCAGTGGTGTGATCTCGGCTCACTGTAACCTCTGCCTCCCGGGTTCAAGTGATTCTCCTGCCTCAGCCTCCCAAGTAGCTGGGACTATAGGCGCCTGCCACGATGCCTGGTTAATTGCTTGTGTTTTTAGTAGAGACAGAGTTTCGCCATGTAGGCCAGGCTGGTTTTGAACTCCTAACCTCAAATGATCCACCCGCCTTGGCCTCCCGAAGTGCTGGGATTACAGGCGTGAGCCACTGCGCCCAGCTTCAAATATTTTTTTAATGGATGGAATGGACCATTATGTTGTTGCAGTGGAGAAAAAATCAGAGATTGGATATAAACTACCCTGATGGTCCCACACCCCTCCCATGAGAAAAGCTCTATGGTATCTATTGTGTTTCATTTTAAAAGTTGTATATAGTTCATTGTAAACAATCCAAACAGTACAGACAATACGAAGAAGAAAGTGTAAATCGCCTAAAATGCAGATATTTAAGAAGATCACAGTCTCTGCCTTTGTAAAATGGGGATAATAATAACATTTACATCATATTGTTACTGTGGGAATGAAATAGGTGGTGCTGAGCACATAGAAAATGCTTAATAAGTATTAGCTATAACCTTCCTCATCACGATCATCGTTACTATCAACAACTAATGGAAGACAAATAAATAAAATTTAGAATCAGAGATGTTTTAGCAGCAGAAAAAGTGAAGTGGTGCCTATTCCTTTGAGATTTATAGGACGGGAGAAAGAATAACTGTAGAAATAAAAATGGTATGTTAAGAGTAGATCAGGGAGAACATTTTAGGGGGATTGCACTTGAAGAAAATAGATCATTTTCTGAGAGCAAGAATGGAGGGGTAGCAGGGGGAATTGGGGTTTGGATGAGAGGAGGTCTGATCACCAAGGTCCCATTCAGCAATAAATTCTATGAATCTGCGCTTTGTTGCTGTGGGGAATGAAACAAAGCCCATTTTCCCTTTTCCCAGCATTTTCAACCATCTAGAACACTAAAGATGAATTAAAAGAGTCTTAAGTGAAAATTTGAACTTCTAAAAGAAAGGAAATGGTGTGTGGGGCCAACAGTGCAGATAAACAAGTGGATGCCTGAGCTGTGACTTAATTTAAAATACTACCATAATGTTTTTTGTTTTTTGTTTTTTTTTTTTTTGCTGCAGCAATTAGAAAAAAAAATGAAGCAGGTTGTTTCAGATAAACAGAAGCTGACTGATAATGGGGCTCCTGAAGAAACAGAAGCTACTGATAAAAACTGAAATTCAGGAAGCACTTTAAGGATAAAGAGTTGGCAGTGCAGTCAGACTGGTGGGCTGTTACGGGGCCTCTAAGAAGAGCATATTGTTAGGTAAAAGAATTGTGCACTGGGCTGGGCGCGGTGGCTCAAGCCTGTAATCCTAGCACTTTGGGAGGCTAAGGTGGGTGGATCACCTGATGTCAGGAGTTGAAAATCACCCTGACCAACGTGGTGAAACCCCATCTCTACTAAAAATACAAAATTAGCCAGGTGTGGTGGCACATGCCTGTAATCCCAGTTACTTGGGAGGCTGAGGCAAGAGAATCACTTAAACCAGGGAAGCGGAGGTTGCAGCGAGCCCAAATCACGCCATTGCACTCCAGCCTAGGCAACAAGAGTGAAACTCCGCCTCAAAAAAAAAAAAAAAATTGCACATTGATATTGTGTCCAAGGGTTCATAAGTGAGAAAGAGGGTATATTATTTTTGGTATTTCTATTTGCCTTGCTGAAGAAAAAACAAACAAACAAATAAACAAACCAAACTAAAATTAAAAAAAGAAAACTAGTGGCTGGCAGAAACAAATCTTGAGACATAAATGAATTAGACATTGATTCTCATGTTTGAAGAAGAGGCTAGATAAACAGGGAGCTATGAAAGAGCTTTTATTAATTCTAGCTTTGTGATCAGGAAATCAATATGTCCTGTATGGGTATTTTACAGACACTGTACACAAACATACACATATATGAATGTTTGTTTATATATATAGACAGAGACAGATTCTTGCTCTGTCATTGGTATGGTTTGACTCCATGTCCCCATCCAAATCTTATCTCCAGTTGTAATCCCAATGTGTCAAGGGAGGGACCTGTAATCCCCATGTGTCAAGAGAAGGAAGTGATTGGATTATGGGGGCAGTTTCCCATGCTGCTCTCCCTATAATGAGTGAATTCTCACGCGATCTGATGGTTTTATAAATAGCAGTTTTTCCTGTGTTCTCACTTCTCTCTCCTGCCGTCATGTGAAGGAGGTCCTTGCTTCCCCTTTACCTTCTGCCATGATTTGAGTTTCCTGAGGCCTTCCCAGCCACGTGGAACTGTGAGTCAATTAAACCTCTTTCCTTTAGAAGTTACCCAGTGTCAGACATTTCTTTATAGCAGTGTGAAAATGGACTAATATAGTCATCCAGGCTGTAGTGCAGTAATGCAATGAAGACTCACTGCAGCCTCGATCTCCTAGGTTCAAGTGACCTTCCATCCTCAAACTCCTGAGTAGCTGGTATTATAGGGCTGCACCACCATGCCTGCTATTATTTTCCACTTTTTTTTTTTTTTTTTTTTTTTTTTTTTTTTTTTTTTTTAGAGACAGCATGTCCCTGTGTTGCCCTGTCTGGTCTCAAACTCCTGGGCTCAAGCAATCCTCCTGCCTTACTTCACAAAGTGTTGGGATTACAGGGGTGAGTCACTGCATGCGGTCTAAGTGTTGTATTTTTATAGTGGATGATAAAGCACCTTTCTCCACTCTCTGATCCAGGCCCTTTGGTCTCTTTTCAGTTCCTGGTCTGTATCATGCTAGTCTATGCCTCAGATCTTTCACACATGGTGGTCCTTCTGCTTGGACTGCTCTGTCCACCACCCACACACCTTTCCTTTGCTTACCTAAGCTCCTAATTATCTTTTAGGTCTTAGCTTAAATGACACTACCTCAGGGAAGTCTTCTCTCATATATATATGCTCTTGTATCATTCTGAACTTGTCTTCTATATACTTGGTATATAAGCTTAATTGAATATTTTCAAGTTATTAGTTTGATGTCTGTGTTTTTTGTTAGGCTGGCTTGGAGGGATGCTTATCATTCACTTACTCTCCTAATGGGTTCTAAACAATAAAATATGCACACAAAGAATAAAGAGCAGTGGCCAATAATCCCAAAGTACAGGGAAAATGGTTTGAGGACACAGATTAGGTCTGAGGCCAAAATAGGCCTTTGTACTCTTTCATTGTCTAGATTCAAGATAGCTAGACCTTGATGCTGATCTGGCCAATTTAGCAACCTGGGTGAGGAGCAGGAAAAGAGAGAATACAGTCTGCTGACACAGTGGTGTACAAAAATGGAGATGGTACTGCCTTTCTTACTCATGGGTAAGGCAGACAGTGGAAGAGACAAAACAGAGGCTCTTTCCTGCTTTTGGAGGGAAAGGGGATCTCAGCTGCTAGAATAACATGGCTCAGTGAATGGTTGAATTTGACCAATGAGATTAGCCATTCCTCCTTCTGTAGAGAGAACAGAGTGTGCTAGTAAAGAGAGAGGGTAGTAAAAGTGGGAGATAGAGATAAGATGAGGGAGGGAAGAAATAGCTCTGAAACTCCATCAGACTATTAGGCCAGGGACTTTCTCTGTCTTATTTACCCAATGCATCATCTGTGCATACATCAAAGAGCAGTTGCAAAGTTTAAAAGAATTAATACCCTTGCCTAGCACAGTACCTGGCAAATTGTAAACATTCAATATATATTTGTGTGTGTGTGTGTGTGTGTGTGTGTGTGTGTGTGTGTGTGTGTGTGTTTGACAGACTTTCGCCATGTCGCCCAGGCTGGAGTGCAGTGATGCGATCTTGGCTCACTGCAACCTCTGGCTACTGGGTTCAAGTGATTCTTGTGCCTCAGCCTCCCAAGTAGCTAGGACTACGGGCATATGCCACCACACCTGGTTGATTTTTTTTGGTATTTTTGTAGAGACGAGAGTTCCCCATGTTGCACAGGCTGGTCTCGAACTCCTGACCTCAAGTGATCCTCCCGCCTTGGCCTCCCAAAATGTTGGTATTACAGGCATGAGCCACTGCGCCTGGCCTTAATATATATTTTTTGAATCATGAATCAGTTTTTACTGGAATTACTGAATCATGGCTAAATGGCCCATCAAACTTTTGAAAAGACGCTGTTATTTAACAGAAAATGTGAGGCAGGAAATTTGGCTCTAACCCTGCTTGTGCTACTTGATGTTTGACCTTGATGAAGACACTCGGCATCCCTGGGCCTTGGTTTTTTCATATGAAATATAAGCCAGTGGAATAAGCTTGATCGTAACTGGTTCTGTCTAGCTCTCTAGTCTGATCCTAAAATGTGAGGTTCCAATGCTCTTAGGCTTTAACTAAGCAGAAAAACAAAACAAAACACAACAAAAAAAACCCTAGTGCAGGAAAGTAGAATCTTTTCCTTAAGAATTACATGAGAGAAAGCTTTCTAAAGTCCATTAGAAGTGGCAGGTTTTGAAAAGCAAAGTCTAATTAGAAATGTAAGAAGCTAGAGGTGATTCTAAAAAGAACCCAAAATAAATACAAAAACAATCTTAAACAAGGACAATTAGAGCTTTTAAAAGTAATTAGCAGAATAATTTAAATCTCAAGTATTTGCCTATGGACAATTTACTAACTAAGGATAAATATTTGTCAATTTTAATTTAAATCTCAAGTATTTGCCTATGGAAAATTTACTAACTAAGGATAAATATTTGTCAATTAGTTTCCTCCTTTGGTCAAAACTGCAGAGGTTAAAAGCAGTAAGCAGTAGAAGTTACTAGAGAGCTACAGCTAACGTTCTGTTTTCTTAAAATGCAACATGAGTTTACAGTTAATGTACATGACTTATTACCAATTCACTATAGTCTTTCATTAATATGTGACACTTTTTTCTTTTATCTGAATACTTAACACACAATTACAGAGTATGCATACTTAGATCTTTCTTTAACTTCTCTCTAGTTGCCAACTATGACTTTCCAGTTTACTATTTTCATGGAGTAAATATTCAAGCAGGACCTTCCTGAAGTTCTGAATTTATGATTATTCACAGAAAATATTTTGCTCTTTTATTTTTACCATTAAACATTGTACGGTTGTGGCCCCAAACTAACACACTTAATAAAATATTCTAAATGTACTACTATGTTCCAGGCATAGTGATAGACATAGCAAGTGCAGAATAAAAATAAGAAAATTCTTGGCTTTAAAGGAGCTTATAGTCTAATGGAGGAGAAAGTCATGCAAAAGAAAACAAATTATAATTGTAACTGGGAGTGGTGGCTCACACCTGTAATCCCAGCACTTTGGGAAGCCTGAGACAGACAGATCACTTGAGCCCAGGAGTTTGAGACCAGCCTGGGCAACATGGTGAAACCCCATCTCTACCAAAAACACAGAAAATTAGCCGGGCTTGGTGGTGCATGCCAGTAGTCCCAGCTACTCGGGAGGCTGAGTTGAGAGGATCACTTGAGCCCAGCAGCAGGAGGTTGCTGTTGAGCCGAGATTGCACCACTGCACCCCAGCCTGGGCTACAGAGTGAGACCCTGTCTCAAAATAAAAAAAAGATAATTGCTCTGGAAATAAAAACACTGGGTCTTGAAGTTGACAGATGTACAAGGTGCTATGGGAGTATATAGGCAAGAGTGAATAATTATTTCCTAAGAAGTTAACTAAGCCTCATGGAGAAAAATGCCATTTGAATGGGTAGGAAAACATGCACAGAGAGTGAGTACATTACGAACAGAGAGAACAACACACATAGAGCAAAGGAGTTAGTAAAAAGCATACTTTGTTGGGAAACATGAGAAACATAGTTTTTTTGGTAGGAAATATTTAAAAACTATAAAGAGCTTTTGTAATTCAATGAGAAAAGATGAAAACCTCAATTGAAAAATTGACAAATATTATTATAAAATATTTATTAGACACCTGCTAGGTTTACACTATAGTAACAATGAAAGCAACAATAACATATTTCCTGCCTTTGTGGAGCTTGCAGTCTAGTGGGAGATGCAGATAAGTAAATAGAGTAATTCCCATTTTTGTGTGTGTGTGTGCGATGCAGCTACCATCAGAACACATAGGAGAAGCACCTACTCCATACTTGGGAAGCCAGGAAAGGCTTCCTGAAGGAAGTAGCCTCTAAATTTTAAAGGTAAAAAATAGGTAGATGGTAGCCAGACACAGATAGAAGGGAATTGGAGGATGAAAAGGCAGATGAGTAGTAGTCCTCATAGTGAACAATGCACATGAAGGCCTAGAATTGAGATACAGCATCGTATATTTGGGGGAAATTAAGACATTTCAGTGTAACTAAAGCGTAGGGTGCAAAGGGAGGAGTCAGATCATGTAAGCATTGCAAACTATGTTGAGAATTTTGGATTTTCTTAAGGAAGCCATTGAAATGCTCTAAGCAGGGACTATCATGATTAGATTTGGGCCTTAGCCAATATGATAGACTGCTATGAGAATGATTGGAGTGGGCCCAATCTGAGGCCAGCAGACCATTTAAGATTTTTCCATGACCCAGAAAAAAAAGATAAAGATAATAGTGGCTTGCAAAAGGGGGACGTCAGTGGGAATGGAGAACAGAGGATGCATTTGAAATACATTTAGAAGCAAGAATTAGCAGAACTTCGTGATTGATAGGATGTAGCTGGGGTGGTGGCAAAAAGAAGTAGGAATAGCTTTGGAAAGTAAGATGATGAATCATGTTCTGGAAATGTTGACTTATGGGTGCCTAAAAGACTGAAAATGGAAATTTACAGAAGGCATTTGGTTATATTGGCCGGGAACTCAGGAGAAAGGAATAGTAATAGTGAATAGCACATAAATAAAGAGTAAATAAATAAAATAAACACTATATAAATAAATAGTAGTCTATGACATGAGGGTATCCAGAGACAGTAAGTACTGTAAGAAAAGAGAGAATGCTTAGGACAGAACCCTGAGATAGAACTCTGCCTTTTAAGGAATGTACAGAGAAAGAAAAGTCCTTAAAGATGTGAAGGAATGGTCAAAGAGGTAGGTAAGAGAAAAGCCAGAGGGGCAGTGTGCCATGGAAGCTATATGTAGATAGTGTTCAAGGAGGAGGAAGTGTTTAACTGTATCAAAGTTGCTGAGAGGTTGAGTAAGATAGCACTGAAGAATGTCCATTGGATTTAGTAACAAGGAGGTTGTGGAGAGCAGTTTGAGTGGAATGTTGGGGGAGGCACCTTGGGTGTCTGCCAGTGGGTGAGAAGTGAAGTGATAACAGAAATCAGACCAGAGGACATACACTCACAATTCACAAAACAAAAAATACAAAGGGTGAGAAAAATAATATATATGAAAAAATAGAATGAGATAGCTATTTTTTTTAACCAGTCAAGTTGGCAAATACAGACAATTAATATATTGTCATCCACACATTGTTAGTGGAAGTATCATTTGATACAACTTTGGAAAGAAATTTGACATTAATAAAAAAAGTTGTTAAAATATTTATGCCCTTTAATATCACAATTGTGTTGTTTTCTTGGCAGAGAGGAAAATACATTCCCCCCTATTTCTTTTTGTTTTTGTGTTCTCTCTTATCACCCCATAGTAACTATTTGGAGGTGAGAACACCATGAAGACTTCCAAAGGTAGGAGGGGATTTTTCTTATTTTGAATTGTTGTTGTTATTTATTTATTTATTTATTATGGCAGGAATGCCCTTTATTGGTTACAACGAGAAGTGGAAGAGTAGGGGATAGGACAGCTCGCGATCCTGGGGCAGAGTCCTCAGACTTGGTTGCTCGCCACCCTGTCTGTTATTTTATTTTAAACAGTGGAGCAAATGGTTTTCTTTGGGAGTGCTGGGATGTCAAGCCAGGTTGACAGAAGTCCCATCTGCTGGAGGACATGCTACCACAGGCTTAGAAAAAACTGAAGAAAATTTGGAGACTAATAGGCTGAAGAACCTTCAAATACAGAAGGGGAGATGAAGCCTGCTTTTTTTCTCCCACTGAAAACAAAAAACAAAATAAAACCCTTTGGGAGGTAGAGAAATTCACCTTGTCATGGTGGGAAATTAAAAGATAAGGCTACTGATTTAAAATATAGAGGAAGGATAAAAGTGATGGAGAGAGCCAGGCCACACAAATAATTTTCTTCCTTGATTTCTAAGGGACTTCAAATATATTTCCTAGCAGCAGGAGCAATAAAAGAAAAAGGAAAGGGAAATATCCTTGAAGATTATTTTTTCGTCCCAATTATCCAGATCTCGTATGAGCAAAGTCAGAAAGTGGTATTGGTAAAGTTAGCCTCACAAAATCAAAATAAAGCAAAATATAAGCTTCATCAAAACCAGGACTTATGTCTGTTTTTTTCATTGCTGTACTGTCACCACGTAGAAGAGTGCCTGGCACATAATAGATGCTCAATAAATAATATTTGAAATTAAAATGAAAATCAAATGGAAAATTTGAGCCCAATACTGCTTGAAATGTGATCTTGGCCCTTAATTACTTTCTATGATTGGTATGGTCTGGGGACCGAGGGTTACATTTGCCAAAACTGACAGCCTCCATAGCAAGAGGAGTGAAGTGTGGGTTGTTGACAGAACCTGAATTTTTAATTATGATGATTATTGTTACTTTAAATCTTCTTAACAACAAAAGCAAAACCTGGAGCCATTTGATAGCAGTTGTTTCTTTGTTCTTTTTTTCTTTTGGAATGCAATGCCATAACTGGAAATCAGACTGACTCTGCAAATAGATACTGATTTTTTTTTTTTTTTTGAGACGGAGTCTTGCTCTGTCACTCAGGCTGGAGTGCAGTGGCACAATCTCGGCTCACTGCAAGCTCCGCCTCCTGGGTTTAGGCCATTCTCCTGCCTCAGCCTCAGGAGTAGCTGGGACTACAGGCGCCTGCCACCACGCCTGCCTAATTCTTTTGTGTTTTTAGTAGAGAAGGGGTTTCACCGTGTTAGCCAAGATGATCTCAATCTCCTGATCTCGTGATCCGCCCACCTCAGCCTCCCAAAGTGCTGGGATTACGGGCGTGAGCCACCACTCCCGGCATAGATACTATTTTTAAACTGATGTCGTTATCTCATTCTGTGTAAAGAGAAGAGAAGGGAGAACACTATCCAGTCACAAAACTTGTGTTAGCATTAATTGGGGATTATTATAATGTGCACAGCAGTTTTTACTTTTTCTAACGTGCAACCATGTGATTTTAAGAAGAGGCAATCACAACTACAGAATAGGGAAAGAGAAAATGCTCCCAAAGAACTGCATTAAGAATAAAATTTCTTAAGTTTTTTTGTTCCTATAGCAAATTTGGATATAGGAACCAATGTTCAAGTGTACATGGAGGAACTTGCAGTACTTTTTTATTATCTCTTGGCCGCCACCTTCTTTTCCTGTACTTTAAATAAATTGAATTATGTTCTTTAAATAAGTTGAAGGATGAATGAAGGAATTTCCCTACTAAAACGTTTACTGTTATAAAGCCAACAAGATGCAAAAGGGAATTTAACGTAACATTTAGAAATGAGATTGTATGACTAACAGCAAAAAAACACAACTATGCCGGCTTTTTTTTTACCCTGATTGCCAGCAATCTGTAGTTTAGGCCACTGACTCCTTGAAATGCTCTATTGTCTTAATTTTCTGGATAGAATTCTCATGTAGTTTTCCACTTATGTCTTTGGCTTCCTTCTTTCTCTCTCTCTTGTTTACAGGTTAATCTCATCCTAGCCAGTTTTAGGGTATTGCTTCTCAATCTGTGCTCTTTCCTTAGGAGATCTTCTCCATGTCTAACACTTGAAATACCACCTTACTCAGATAACTTTCAAAATTTTATCTCTAGGACAAGTTGTTCCTCTAGCTCCAGGCTTTTAGAGTGAACTGCCGTGTGATATATCTTCTTGTCCTGAAGGTACCTCAAACTCATTATATTCAGAAGTAAAATCATAATTTACCTCTCCAAACGATGGTCTGTACCCATAGCACCACTATCTATTCTGGCAGGCAAGCCTAAATCATCTCTGATACTTCTTTCCTCTCTTTTCCTTACCATATTCAATTCATCAGTAACTCTCTCAATTTCTCCTAAAAATCTCTCACTTTTGTTTCTCTCTGGCTATTCCACCATTAGTCTAGTACAATCTACTATCTCTTACCTAGACAACTTCAAAACCCAATAAGTCATCTTCCTGCACCTGCTTTTGCCCCATTTCAGTCCATTTTCCACAGTGCAATCATTTCAAAATACAGACATGAACATATAATGCTCCTTGCCACCAATCTTGGGGGAAGTTCAAAGTCTTAACAAGGCATTGAATTATCTACCTTTACCCACACCCTCCAGTTTCATCTCACTTTGAGCTTGCCTCAGCATCTTGTACTCCAGGTACACTAGCTTTCCTTTAATCCCTGTTCTCTCTAAGCATCTTCCTGCCACAGGGCCTTTGACCATGCTTTCTTCTTGGCTTGGAAAGTACTTATCTCATTTTCCCTAGTTAACTCACACACATCATTCAAATCTTAGCTTATTTTTCTTAAGAAAGGCATTTATGACTTCCTTGACTTGGTCGGCTCCTCCTATCTTATATGCTTGTATTCCATTGTGTTACTCTTTCTTATGTTTCTCACAATTTTTAACAATACATCTTTAATATACCTGTGTTATTACCTGCCTCCTTCACTAGAGTCTAAGCTACATGAGGACAAGGATTGTGGGTAGAGGTAGCTAGCTGCCCAGTTTCCACAGTTTAGAGTGGCTGTCCAGTCAGGAATTAAATTTCTTGGACCACTGCAGTTTAACACTAAGAAGAATTAAATTTCTTAGACAAATGAATTGAATTTCTAGCCAAATGAATATGATTGGAAGTGATGTGTGCCACCTCAGATCTCAGCTGCTTAGTCTTCCACAATGTCCCTTCATGTGGAAGTGACCTCTTCCATTATCTTTTCCTCTTCTTGCCAGCTAGAATGGAGATAAGCCTGAGAGTGACTTTGGAAACCATATGTTAAAAGAGACTGAGCCTCTGTCAGCTTATGTCCCTGATTGACTATAATATGAAGGACTACTGACATGCCAACCTATTGACCCACTGGTACTGTTACATGAAGAAATGCACAACTTACATTTGTTTCCTACAGCAGTTTCCCTACCCCAACTATTTCAGGGATGATGTTTGTCTTCTTCACCACTGTATCTCTAGTGTCACCACAGTGCTTTGCACATGGTAGATACTCATGAGCTATTGTTCAGTGAAATAGAAAATAAAGTAGTCTTTCAATAAATATTTGTTATAAAGTGATATTATTTTTATATCTACACATTAAAAGTGGTTTATAATTGCTTGAAGAAAATGGAATAGACATACAAATAGTAGACTTTTGACTGAAATGAACAACCAATTTGAGTTTTTGAAGTAATTTCTGCTTAGTAACAGTAGTGAAACAAAATGGATGGCAAGGTGCATGTGAAAAAAAGGTGAATCAACTAAGGTAAAAGGGTGTATGGTCATATCAAACAAATATTGTGAAGTCTTAAGTCTAACACTTAGGAAATATATTATTCAAAATAAAATTTGTTTTGCAGTATGTACAATCATAATGTAGTCTTTTATGGTATTCACTGTTGTAAAACTTGAGAAAAAAATTAAATTGTTCTATGGTGAGATTACTTTTGGTTCTCCGTTTACAGATTTTGTCTGTGTTGGGTGAGGTGCCATGTTTGCATCCATTTGTGTTGGTTGGATCTATTAGTGTGTTTATCAGAAATGAATGTGTGTGTGTGTGTGTGTGTGTGGGTGTGTGTGTGTTCTTGAAATCCTTGTTTAGTGGTCCAGGGGCTAAGAAGGGGGTGATTCCTTTCCTCCCCACCATAAAGGTCATGACTACCACCTCCATAACAAAAGACAGTTTAACCAGGGAAAAGCCCAGCAAATTTATTTGGTCATACTTTTACATGACACAGACACCTTCAGAATAAAGACCCAAAGATGCAGAGAAAACTGTCTATTTCTATGCTTAGGTTCAATGAAGCAAGGGCAGCCATATAAAACTGTGATTAGATAAAAAGGGTATGAACTAATAGAAACAGACTGAGTGGGAGAAACCTAGCAAGGCCTGTCTGTTCAGATTCTTCTTGGCCTCTCTGTTCTAGCATTTTTTCTTCCTGTGTATGAGATAGGACCTTTGTGGAATGAGGGTCTTAATTTCCTTATGTCCAGTTCTTTCTTACACAGAAAAATGGGGGAAAATTAGAGTAACATTTTTAGGGTTTATGATTGGCTTTGGAGAAAAAGGGTACTGATTTCTACCGTGTGCCTTGAGGAGGAGGGATTCTAGTTTCTGTGGCTAGTCTAGAGGGGAAACAGGTTCTGGTTTCTATGATCAGTCTTGGGAAAGAGGAATTTTCATTTCTATGGCTTGCCTTAGGGAAGAATGAGGGGCAGGAGACAAGAGGGCAGAAAGTCAAAGAGGAACTTCACTTCTGAGGCTGCTTCTGAGGCCTTCACTTTAGGGTATTGTTTTCTGAATCCCAACAGTGGAATGTAAGGGTTACCTAACTCTGTTGTTTAGAGAAGAGCTGGTTGTGCAAGAGAAACCATCAAGAATTTGCACTTCACTCCAGGAATCACAAATTCACCATTGAAGAATCCAGGAAGGCGTTTCTGTGGTGGGAATAAATTAGGTTTTCAGTTATTGGCAGGCACCTGTTTTGGTGAGAATGTGTGTATGGGAGCTTGCACACTTGTGGGCCAGGAGTGTGCAAGTGTGTCTACACAAGTGCGGCTGGGGAGGGTGGGGGCCCCAGTCATCCAGGTGTCAGGGTAGAAGGTGGTGTGTCAGTTGGGTGGCGTGGCTTTTACTTTCCCTTTTTGTCCGCAAAGGCTATCCCTGGGAGACGATACACCACCCCTCAGCCTACCCCATTTCCCCAGTTTTGGGGAGGACCCTGATTTTAGTCAGTGGCCTCTGTCCTGCGTGTATACTATGTCCCCTTTTCTGCAGAGCCCCAGTGGCCTAGGTAGCTTTAGGAAGGAGCTGGATGAAGAGCGGGAAGAGGCAGGAGGCAGGTCAGGGCTTGCATGGAATCGTGTGATTCTGTTGTCTTCAGGGTGCTTATTCCCGGTTAATGTGTCAGTGGGGAGTGATTCAAGCTGCTGTGTGCTAGAAGGACCTGAAGAGTGTGCCACTTACATGGCTGCCATTTTTATTTATAATTCACCTCTGTTTTGTACTTGCTGTTCTCTGACTGTGCCCTGTACTTTCCCAACTAGATGCTCATTCTGCTGAGTAGAATCTCCTCTTCCTTTTCCCTCTATAAATACTCTGTTTTCTCCATTTAAAAGTAATAAGAATATTTTGCTAGTTGCTTACTATGTACAAGGTCTATTACCTCTATTTTCTCATCTAATCCTCATGAACATTTTATTCAGTGATTCTAAATTATCTCCATTTTATGTATGAGAAAGCTGAGGCTCTGAGTCTTTAAGTAACTTAGCCTCAGTAAGAAAGCTGGCAAGTATCAGGGCTAGAGTTTTGCTGAGAAACCTGACAAACTGGTTTCTGATATGTCCTGCTTTGTGAAATGATACTTCCTTCATGAAGTCATTTTTGATGTTCCCACCAAGATGTGATCCCTTCTTGCAACTTCCTGTGCATTCTTTATATGGTTCTGTTATCATATTCTGTACTTTGTTATGAATATGTGTATTTCTCTGACGCAGACTATGAACTCTTTGAGGGCAAGGACTGTATCTACCCATCTTGTTCTCCCCTTAAATGACTTTAGGAAAGTCACTTAACTTCTGAGTTAGTCCACCTTTATAGTGTGAAAAGGTTGGCCCAATCAGTGGTTGCTAACTCAAATGAGTATAGGGATCAAACATGCAACAAATAATTGAGATGGCCTATTTGGCTGAGACATCCTGAAGAGCACAGCTCTGTTTCAAGGGAGTGGCAGCTACACAGTTCCTACTGACTGACTGTGGCCACGCTGGAATGTTGGGCTGGTGTTGCCAGATCTTTTGATTTTCCAAGAGAAATCAGAAAACTGGATTTTAAAAAAGTGATATCTCTTGATTTTTAAATGTTAGGTCAATTAAAATACAGACTAGTTTTATATGGGCTGGATCTGAGTCAATGACTGGTAGATATTTGTTATGTAGAATGAGAATTCTATGTAAATGGATATTCTAATACTTATCGACTATTTTCTAGAAATCAACGCTATTATAGGTACAATTTCCTATAATATTTAAAGGTTAAAAAAAAGGAGAAGAAATATCAAACCACTAAGGTTTTACTAACATTTTGGAGCAACAGACATATATTTAAAAACTAGTCTAGGCTGAGTGCGGCGGCTCACTCTTGTAATCCTAGCACTTTGGGAGGCCAAGGTGGGCAGATCACCTGAGGTCAGAAGTTCAAGAGCAGCCTGGCCAACATGGTGAAACTCTGTCTCTACTAAAAATACAAAAATTAGCCGGGCGTGGTGGCACATGCCTGTAATCTCAGCTACTCAGGAGGCTGAGGCAAGAGAATCACTTGAACCCAGGAGGTAGAGGTTGCAGTGAGCCAAGACCGCGCCACTGCACTACAGTCTGGGTGACAGAGTGAGACTCCTCAAAACAAACAAACCAAAATAACCCAAAATAAACGAAACCTAGTCTAAAAGCCTTATTCTCTAATTATCTGTATGTATATTTATAAGCATGTGTAATTTAAGTATATGTAATTTAGATATGTATTACTGAATAGGTACACATGTACTTTTATACAGAATTTACAAATTTATATTACATTTTAAATTTATATGAATCTACTTTTGCATTTATAGAATATGTAAATTTATGTCATAGATTTAAAAAAATTCTAAAGTCTCAGATTCAATTTCAGTTGAAAGAGGTGGAAAACTGGACAATTATCTCATTGCTTTGATACTCCAATTCCCTAAACTAGGCAAACCTTGGAAAATAAATGGCTTAACATTGTTTTCTGCCTTTGCTAGAATTTGAAATGACTATTTAATCTGTTTTGGTCATATCCTATATGCTAAGAATACTTTTGAGAAGCTACATGTTGACAAGAATAAAAATGAACTAGATCAGCCCCTTCCAGTACATGCAAAACAATAGAAACGTTTTTCAAGTTTTATTGCAAGAGCTCTGAGTTTCTCAGGTCACTAGAGCTTTATGCTGAATATCACTATTGATAAACATCTAAAATTTGATATAAAGAACTCACTATGGACATGGCACAGCATGATGTATTGTGGGGATATAAAGACAGGTAACATTTTCAAGGAGCCATAGTTTAGTCAATTTCAAGTAAGAATGAATGTATTTGACACTATTTCACCAGCTTCTCAAGATTACCCAGGAGAATATAGGAATTTCCTCCCTGGATTGGCTTTAAGAATAGGCTAGACATTAATTTGATTAAATGGCATGCTTATTTTCTTTCTAACTTTGTTGATGCTCTGTGTTACAAGTTATTTGGGGGTAAGAGTAATAAGAGTATTGTCTTAAAAGAAAATAACTTCAAATTTCTTTCTTTTGGAGTTTCTTCTAGGTTGCAGGTTGCATTTTTAGTAAAAAGTAAACAGAGATGGTTATAAATTAGCCAGAAGAATGACCAGAGGGAGAGAATTAATACAATCTCCATGACATTCCACAGATTAGACAATGTTGGAACTGGAAGGGACTTCTGCAGTTTCTTGGTAATTATTCTAACCCTCTAAAGGAGTTAGACTACTTATCTCCAAGACCCTTCATAGCTTACTTGACAAATGGGGCAGCTGGGGCCCAGGTCGAAGTTTATGTTTACTGTGGATCTCTCTCAGGGGAAAGGGAAACGGAGCTGATGATTAAAATACATAAATGAATTTGGATAACTTAAAATCGGTGGCAGTTTACATGTCACTTCAAATAAATGAGCAGAATTCACCTAGTGCTTGAGATCCTAGAGATAAGTTTTCGGACATATATATTTCTTTATTCTTAAACTCATTCTAACATATCTTGGCTATCTATGTGGAAAGAATCAAACCAATAAAACCAAATACCCCTAGCTCAGTGCCTGGCTCATTGCTGGTACTCAACATACATGTGTTTGGTGGCCCTGGGCAGTGATGGTCACTGTAGATTTTATTTTTCATGTTTTTAGTCTAGGTGTCTAACTACTGGCAGTGGAAGAAACTTTGTGATATTAAGAGTAAGTGTTCAGCCGGGTGCGGTGGCTCACGCCTGTAATCCCAGCACTTTGGGAGGCTGAGGGGAGTGGATTGCCTGAGGCGAGGAGTTCAAGACCACCCTGGCCAACATAGTGAAACGCCGTCTCTACTAAAAATACAAAAAATTAGCTGGGTGTGGTGGCGGGCACCTGTAATCGCAGCTACTTGGGAGGCTGAGGCAGGAGAATCACTTGAACCCTGGGAAGTGGAGGTTGCAGTGAGCCGAGATCATGCCACTGCACTCCAGCCTGAGCAACAAGAGCAAAACTTCATCTCAAAGAAAAAGAGAATAAGTGTTCTTTGACTCAAGCTTGTAATTCTTTTTGAGACAGAAACTAATTGAACAATTATTTTGATTTTTCATCACAAAACTGCTACAAAAGGTTATATTTGACTTAGATATAATTTTTGCTAGATCTATAAAAAGAAAAATTAATTTTTCCCTGGGATTTTATGACCTACCAAAATTAGACAAATACACAAAACAAATACATATGTAAAAGTTCATCAAGCTCCAGACTTCCTTCATCTGTTTAAAGGGTAATGATGAATGTCAGGGAAGAGAATGAACTTGTATGTATTGTTCCCATTGTTCAGCACAGCTGGGAATAGGAAACAGGTGGTATTAAGTTTTAATCTTTCTCCTTTCACATCAGAATATTCATACGTATGGTTTTTTAAAAAAATTCAGTGGGGGAATGGTATGCACTTTACTATTAATTGTGACAGAATTAATGGTGACTATTTCATGTGAACTATTTAATAATTATGACTTTGCTTTTATGCTTTTCCTTTACATACCTATTGCAACAATCTCTTACCAACACTATTTTTATTATGTTCTTCTCTTGTTTAAAAGCCCATAGAGAGGCCGGGTGCAGGTGCTCACACCTGTAATCCTAGCACTTTGGGAGGCCAAGGCGGTCGGATCACTTGAGGCCAGGCATTCAAGACCAGCCTGGCTAACATGGTGAAACTCTGTCTCTACTAAAAATACAAAAAATAGCTGGGCTTGGTGCATGCCTGTAATCCCAGCTACTTGGGAGGCTGAGGCAGGAGAATCACTTGAACCAGGGAGGTGGAGGTTGCAGTGAGCCGAGATTGCACCACTGCACTCCAGCCTGGGCGACAGAGCGAGACTCCATCTAAAAAAAAAAAAAAAGCCTATAGAGAATGCTTATAGCTTTAGTGGTTATAACAGGAAGCTCTAGAGAGATAGAAGGTACGTGTCTGAGTCTCTACCTTTTGCCGGCTGTGAGACTTCTGTAATGTTATTTATTTCATCAGTGGCTCAGTTTCCTTATAAACAAAGTGGGGGAATATATTACAACTTCACTGATAGTACGGTTGTGAGGGATAAATGAGACACTTTTTTTTCTTTTTTTTTTTTGAGACAGAGTCTTGCCCTGTCGCCCAGGCTGGAGTGCAGTGGCGCAATCTCTGCTCACTGCAAGCTCCACCTCCCGGGTTCATGCCATTCTCCTGCCTCAGCCTCCCGAGTAGCTGGGAATACAGGCGCCCGCCACCACGCCCGGCTAATTTTTTTGTATTTTTAGTGGAGACGGGGTTTCACCGTGTTAGCCAGGATGGTCTCGATCTCCTGACCTCAAGTGATCCGCCTGCCTCGGCCTCCCAAAATGCTGGGATTACAGGCATGAGCCACTGCGCCCGGCCAAATGAGACAATTTTTAAAGCTCTTAGCCTAGTGCCTGACATGACGTTATAGCCAAAACTAATTTCCTTTCTGCCCCATACACTACTTAGCATCTCAGTGCCATACATTTACTACCCCCACAGAAATGGCTCTTCACTCTTTAATGCCACAACCTTTCAATTCATCATAATCTTGCTCAAAACTCGCCTATTCCATGAAATTGCCTCATTTACCCCATTTAATTTAGGACCCCCCATTATTCTGGAGCCTCTTTTCAGCATTCACATTATCACTTTGCACAATCCTCTGCATCTGCAGATATATAGCTTTGTAATTGTTCTTGAGTCGTTTTCTGCATGTTTTGCCCCCTACACTAACTAGTTTCAAAGCTCTTCAGGGGCAGTGAGGAATTCATCTCCTACTTTGTAACACCCTTCCTATATCATCCTTGGCCCAAGCCTTGAGAACATAGTTTCAAATCTTGATGAATAAATGAATCAATGATATGTAATGAAATTACATTTTGCGGCTATGAGAAGAAAAATATCAAATAGATGCAATTTTATGCCTATGGCCTAAAACAGCAGGGCCGGGCACGGTGGCTCACACCTGTAATCCCAGCACTTTGGGAGGCCGAGGCAGGTGGATCACTTGAGGTCAGGAGTTCGAGACCAGCCTGACCAACATGGAGAAACCCCATCTCTACTAAAAATACAAAAATTAGCTGGGTGTGGTAGCATGTGCCTGTAATCCCAGCTACTTGGGAGGCTGAGGTGGGAGAATCACTTGAACCAGGGAGGTGGAGGTTGCAGTGAACCAAGATCATCCACTGCACTCCAGCCTGGGTGACAGAGCAAGATTCCATCTCAAAAAAAAAATTAATAATAAATAAATAAATAATAAATACAATAAAACAGGAGAGTGGGTGTTCTGACAATGAACAAATATTTGTGATTATTTTTATATTTTATGAAATGAGAATGAAAGAGGAAAATGCATCATTGTGTGACTGCAATAGCAATGTTAGCATAACAAATATATCACATTACAAAATGTTCTTTTGTCACAGAATGAGTGTCAAAACTATGATACAGCTATGTAACCTTGGACACGTTAATTAACCTCTCAAGTGTTCAGTTTTTCCATGTGTAATATAATTGAGGAGTTGGATTATATTGCCTGTCTGCTCTCAATTCTGCCATTTTATAGTTTTCAGATTACATACTTCAGCTTAAATTGGCAGTGTGGCAGTGTGTGTATGATGTGAATTCTGAGGATGTGATGTCTTAGTAGTCACCAACTGGTGCCTTTTGCGGGGGCTCCCAGTATGTATTAAACATATGTGGCTCGTGTCTCGAGTACATGATGTTATGATCTGTTCCCAGAGAGACCAAAAGATTCTAGGGCTAGGATAAACAAGATTCAGCACTTTCTAGGAGGCTAAGGATGATGAAAGAAAGAGAAACTGAAGAAATAATTTTTAGTTCAGGAGTAGAATGAAACAGGTAAAACAAGGCCAGCATTTGCTTTACCAAGAGGTAGGCATCTTTCCTCACTCCCTCTCTCCCCTTCATTTACCTCTCTACACCCCAGGGATCCTCCCCCCAACCCCCTGCCACCAAAAATGAAAGTTATCATTAACTACAATTCATGACTCGAAGTTATCATTTAAAAATTATTACGCTTAAGCATAGAGACTTGGCTATTTCTTTAAAAAGGCATGTAAAAATTTTATTAACACATGAAAGTAGAAAGAAATGTACATTTATACCAAGTAATACAAATCACTTGCAAATCTGCCAGTGCCCTAGGTTAGTGAGATTAAAGAATCATAAGAGACTAATGAGGGATTTATTCTCCAAACACCAGCCCAGAATAAAAAAAAAACAGACTGTATTGATTCATAAAAACATTTGTTCCTAATGATCGAGTGAAAATTACTTATTCAAAAACATCTCTCTGCCGTGCCTTTTTTTTTTAAAAAAAAGCAAAAGGTCTCTATCATGACTAGATTATGCTTTTCATAAAAATGGAAATCATTTAAATGTATAAATGAAAATATGGAGAATATGTGTGGTATAAGAGATCTTCCATAACGAGAACCAGTTTTTGAAAATATGTAGTTTGCCATGTAATAATAAACCAAAATGGAGTTTTAGAGCTTGGCACCTTATGTAGCACACTGAACATATGTCTGCAATCAAAAGATTATCTAAAATTCTTACCATTTAGCTATCCCTGACATAAAATAACTATAGAAACATGCTGTTGTATCCCCATGGGCCAATGAGTGGAGCTCAAAAGAAATAGAGAGAAGGAACCTGAGAAATTTCTCTAGGATGGTTTACGGCCTCAAGGGAACGACAAGCCTCTTACCAAAAGACTGAGAGAAAAAGAACAAGAGTTTCTATAGGTCAAGAGAACATGTAGTGAAAGTAAAGCCAGAAGAATAAGGTTGAGGTCAGAGAGTGGGATATTGGAGTCAAGGATTTCTGATATAGAGTAGTTTTGGGGAATGGCAAGAAATACAGTTCCACTATGGTAGTGAGTAGGTGGAGTGTGATGGAGGTAAATGTCACAGGAGTTAGAGGCTTAAGATATTGTAAACACAGGGTGCTGAGTGGACTGACAATTCATAGGGATCTTTATTGATTGAACAAATAGTGAGGGCCAATTGTGTGGAAAGTATTGTAGAAGATATAACCATAAATGAGGAAAATACAGTTCCTGACTTCATAGAACTTCCATTCTAGCGGAGGAGACAACTAATTTCATCACAATATAACCAATGTTACTTCTCAGAAAACAAAGAAATACATTTAGGCAAAGTACATATTTCCTCTCTGGTAGCAAATAATAATGGGATTATCTCTAGGAGGCTTGTCTTTGCTCATCATTTTTCTATCATTTTTCAAGTCAAAAATCATTTTCAGGAAGCTATAGTTATAAATCCCAGTTCCTAGATGAAAATAAAATAGACTCAGAGAAGTTAGGTGATTTACTCTGTCATATAGCTAGTGAGTGGCAGAGCTAGGATTCAAAACTGGATCTGTCATAGTTGCAGTCCTGCTATGGTGATGTAAGGTAACTACAGCCTATTTTTCCAGTAGACTGTAACTGAAAACTATGGAAAAACACACACAAAAAAAACCATCTACTTGAGGGCTCCAAGAAAGTTAATAAAACAGGAAGATAATAAAAGAAAGTCAAAATTGGAAGAAATAACGTGCATGGTGGTTAGTTTTACTTTTTTTTTTTTTCTTGTGTTCTTTTGTGCCAAGGTTGGGTCCCAGTCACATAATGCTGTGGTGATGTCGAAGGTTAAAACTCGGATAGAAATCTCATCAACTTTCTGGTCAAAGAAATAAGGGAAATGAGCCCCACAAGGCTGGAGAGTGTGAGAGGAATTACAAATGGAAGAAAACTGAAGGGGGTCCCCTAATTCTGCAAAAATCACAGCTGAATCCCTGAGCTATTCATGCTTGGGATAGACCATAATGAGCAAAGTAAAGGCTTTGAGAACTAAAGTGAGATCATAACCACCCATACAAGTCTTGGGTTAACCTTGAATAATGCCTTCGATGGACAGATAAAAATAAAAAGAGCTAATTCTTAGAGGAATAACATAAAATCCAATATTTCAGAAACTTAATGAGGTATGATTTACATACTATAAAATTCACCTGTTTAAAATTTAGAACTAAATGATTTTTGAGAAATTTACTGAGCTGTGCAACCATCACTACAGTTTAGTTTTGAACATTTCCTTCACCCCAATAAGATCCCATTTCCTGACTACAGTTAATCTCTATTCTTATCTCTACTCCCAGAAAACTACTAATCTACTTTTTGTCTCTATAGATTTGCCTTTTCTGGACATTTCATATGAATGGAATCATACAAAACATAGTATTTTACATCTAGCTTCTTTCACTTAGCATAATGTTTTTTAGGTTCATCCATATTGTAGCATATATCAGTATTTTGTTATTTTTAATGGCTGAAAAGTATTCCATTATATGGCTATTCCACCCATAGAAGATTTGAACTGCCACTTATAGAAGGCAAGACAGAATTTATGAGCTGAATCTAACGGGTTGATTACCTGATAAAACAAAACGTAAACATTCTTCAGAGAAGTACAATAGGATAATTTTCTAAACAACATAATAATCAAAATGTCCAAGAAATGCTCTAAACTGGACATACTAAAAGCCAGAAAAAAAGTGACCAATTCTCAAGTGAGAATACATTCAGCAGATGTGAACCTTGAAAAAATGCAGATGTTGGAATTATTAGAAACACCAAAAGAAAATGCATTCAAAATGAGTGGGTAGATGAATGTGTTCTCAGCAGAAAAATAGAAACTATAACATTGAACAAAATGGAAAATTTAGAACTGGAAAACACAACATTTGAAATAAAAAATTTTACCAGTTGGGTTCAATAATAGACTAGAGATGACAGAGGAAAGAGCCAGTGACCTAAAAAATAGGTCAGTAAATAGTGTCCAATCTGAGGAACACTAAGACAATGAAGATTAAGAGGTTGAACAAAATGAACACACTTCAGGAACTTCTGACGCATTATAAAGAAGTATAGCATTCAGGTCATTAGAGTTCCAAAAGGAGAGAAAAGTGCAAAAATATTTTAAGGAATAATCTCAGAAAACTTTTCACATATAGTAAAACATAAATTAACATATTCAAGAAACTTGGTGAACCCAAAACAAAATAACTCAGAAAATACCATGCCCAGACTACTGAAAACCAAGATAAATGTAAAAGTCTTAAAAGCAGTCAAGAAAAACATCATATGGTATATGTGGAACAATGATTTGAACACCTATGGATTTCCCATCAGAAATCATGAAGGCTGGAGGACGATGGGACAACATCTTTAAAGTGCTGAAAGCAAATAACTGTCAACCCAGAGTTTTATATCTGCTGAAAATATATTTTGTAATTGAAGGTGAAATAAAGACATTCTCAGAAAAAGGGAAAATGAGAGAATCTGTTACTCACAGATGTGTTTTACAAGAAATGCTAAAGGAAGTTCATCAGGATGAAGGAAAATTATACCAAAGGGAAACTGAAATCCTTAAGTTTGAAGAAAGAGCAACATTATACGATTAAGTATAAAAGCCTGTTTTTCTCTGAAATTCTTTAAAATATATATTAATATTGAAATCAAAGGTATAAGATTTGGTGGAGTTTTCAATGTAGGTAGATGTTAAACTTACGAAAAATAGAAAATAAATGGGAAAAAAAACCTATATGGTTGTATGGCTTCTATGTTTTACTTGAAGTGGCAAAATTCTACTTAAGAATGGCTAGCTCTTAAATAGATTGTAGCCATACACAGGGTTGGTGCAAAAGTAGTTGCATTTTTTCCCATTACTTTTAATGGCAAAAACCACAATTACTTTTGCACCAACTTTATACATGTATATGCACATACACACACATGCAGAAATCCTAGAAAAATGATTAAAAATATAATTCAAAAAGAAATTGCAAAAAGGCCAATATGTAAGTTGAAATAGAATAGTAAAATGTATTTAATCCAAGAGAAAGCAGGAAATATCAGGCCTAATCAAATGTCAGGCCTAAATGCTAAAAATTACATTGAATACAAATAATCTCAACACACTAATTCAAAGACAGAATGAAAATTGGATAATAAAAATAAGAGCCAATTATATGCTGTCTACAAGAAATGCACTTTAAATATAAAGACATACATATGTCAAAAATTAAATGATGGGAAAAGATACACTATGCCAACACTAATTTAAAAAATGCCATAGTGGCTATATTAATATCAGATAAAGTAAATTTAAAAGCAAGGAATATTTCCAGGGATAAAGAAGGAATCCATGATTATAAAAGAATCAGTACACAAAGAAGACATAACAATCATATATGTATATGCAGCTAACAAAAGATCTTCCAAATACACCTGATAAAAAGTAAAAGAACTGAAAGGGGAAATGGACACATCTGCAATTGTACATGGTAACTTTAACATACATATATCAATAGTTGACAGAAAAATTAGGAGCTGAATGTGGATATAGAAGACTATCACCAACTTGAATTCACCTTCTTACCAAGTGTACATGGAATATGCCCTAAGATAGACTATTCTGAGCTATAAAACAAACTTTTAAAATGTAAAAGGATTGAAATCATACAAAGTATGTTTGCCAATCATAATGAAATTAAAGTAGAAATCAATAACAGAAGGATATCTGGAAAACCCTCAAATATTTGAAAGACACTACTAAGTAACCTATGAATAAAAAAGGGAGACCCAAGGGAAATTAGAAAATATTTGGATTAAATTAAAACATTTGTGACATGCAGCTAAAGCAACTCTCCAAGGGAAATGTATAACACTAAATGCATGTATTAAAAAAGAAAAAGTTCTCAAAATAATGGTCTAAGCATCTTTAAATATTTGTCCTTCTGTGACTGGCTTATTTCACTTAAAATAATGTCCTCAAGGTTCATTCATGTTGTTGCATGTTGCAGTTTTTTCCTTTTTTTAAAGGCTGGATAATATCCCATTGTATGTATATACCATGTATTCTTTTTTTTTTTTTTTTTTTTTTAGACGAAGTCTCACTCTGTTGCCCAAGCTGGAGTGCAGTGGCGCAATCTTGGCTCACTGCAACCTCCTCCTTCCGGGTTCAAGTGATTCTTCTGTCTCAGCCTCCCGAGTAGCTGGGACTACAGGTGCGTGCCACCATGCCTGGCTAATTTTTTTGTGTTTTTAGTAGAGATGGGGTTTCACCATGTTGGCTAGGCTGGTCTTGAACTCCTGACCTCAGGTGATCCACCTGCCTTGGCCTCCCAAAGTGCTGGGATTACAGGTGTGAGCCACCGCGCCCGGCCTATATCACATATTCTTTATTCATTGATTTACTGATGACATTTAAGTTGTTTCCACAACTTGGCTATCATGAGTAGTGCTGCAATAAAAAGATTGCTAATATCTCTTAAAGATCCTGATATCAGTTATCTGGGATGAATACCTAGAAGTGGGATTGCTGGATCATGCATTAGTTCTATTTTTAATTTTTTGATGATACTGTATACTGTTTTCTATGGCAGGTGCAGCATTCTGCATTTCCACCAACAGAGTACAAAGGTTCCAATTACTTCACATTCTCACCAACATTTGTTGTCTTTTGTTTTGATAGTAGCTCTTCTAACAGGTGTGAGCTCATTGTGGTTTTGATTTGCATTTCCCGGATGATGTTGAACATCTTTTCATATACTTGTTAGCCATTTGTAATCTTCTTTGGAGAAATACCTATTCAAGTCTTTAGACCATTTTTAATGGGACTTCTAGGGCTTTTTTGCTGCTGAGTTTATTTTTGAAATAATTCCATATTAACATTTTGATAGTTTACGACTGCACTACTATAAACATCAATCTAATTAATATTCTTGTAGCTACATCCTTGTACACATATGTGAATATTTCTGTAGGATAAATTGCTAGAGGAGGGTCAATGAGTAAAAGCATTTTGAAACTTTGGATATATAATTGGCAATTTGGTAAATTCCTCTTGCAAACATTTTGTTTCCTTGGCTCTTTGGTACTATTATTCTTTTGGTTTTCCTTTTACATCATTGACTATCCCATTTCCTTTTCTAGGTTCTATTCCTCATCCCAACCTCCAAATGTTGGAAAGTCCCATAGCTCAGTCCTTGGAGCTCTGCTTTATCTGTAATGGGTTTCTATATAATCTCAGCTGGTACCATGACTGCCAAATTTATATCGCTAGCCCAGGTCTTTCCCTGAATCCCAGGCTATCCACCTGGGTATCTAAAGGGCATTTTAAACTTAACATGTCTGAAACCAATATTTTTATTCCTACCCCCTCCTCAATCAGCTCTTCCCTTATTATTATTCAGTCGCTTAAGCCAAACACAGAAATATCCTTGATTTTCTCTCTCTTCCACAATCCACTTTGAATCCATCAACAAATCCATTCTGGTCTACATTCAAAATATAACCCAAATCTGAAAACCTCTCACCATCTCTGCTTCAACCACTCCAGCCCAAGACACCATCGTATCTCAACTGAACTACTGCAGCTGACTCCTAAGTGCCCTCACTCTCGCCCCTCTAAAGTCTATTGTACATACCATAGGATGAACAATCCTTTGAAAATGCAAATAGGACTATGCCAATGACCTAGTCAAAGTCTTCCAGTTGGCCAGGCATGGTGGCTCACACCTATAATCCCAACACTTTGGGAGGCCAAGGCTGGAGGACTGCTTGAGCCCAGGGGTTTGAAACCAGCTCGGACAACATAGCAAGACCTCATTTCAAAAACAAACAAATGAAAAAAGTCCTTCAGTGGCTTCCCAGTACACTTATGAAATCCATAGTTCTCTGTTCTGTACACACTGGCCTCCTTGCCATTTTGTTTGTTTGTTTGTTTTTTCTCCAGTTGCTTACAGAAGCACTCCTTGCTATTTCTTGATTGCCCCCAAGGAACTTTTCTCTTGCAGTTGCCTTTGTTGTTTTATTTCATTACATTTTCTGCTCAACTATTACCTCCTCAGGACCTCTTAGACCATTCTATATAAGACAGCACCTTCTGCCACTCTTTGCCTCCTTATCCTGCTTAATCTGTTTGTCATAGCCTTTATCAGTAACAAATACAATATATATTCATTTGTTAATTTATTTCTGTCTCCTAAGAATGTAAGCTCTACAGGTGGCAAGGCTGTTTTTCTATTTTCTTCATTATTATATATAACAGGCCCTCAATGAATAAATAAATAAATTAATGAGGCTGATTGCTATGATCTGAATGTTGGTGTCCCCTTAACCAAATTTATATGTTGAGACCTTATCCCTAATGTGGTGATATTAACAGGTGGAACTTTTAGGAGGTGATTAGGTCATGAAGGTTGAGACTTATATTAGTGTCCTTATAAAAGAGACTTCAGGGAGCTTGTTTACCTCTTCTACCATGTGAGGATGGAGTGAGGAGTTACCATCTATGAGGCACAAGTCCTCACCAGACACCAACCTGGTGCTGCCTTGACCTCAGACTTCCCGGCCCCCAGAACTGTAAGAAATAAATTTCTATTGTTAATAAATTACCCAGTGGCCAGGTATGGTGGCTCATGCCTGTAATCTCAGCACTTTGGGTGACCAGAGAGGGAGGTTCACTTGAGCCCAGGAGTTTAAGACCAGCCTGGGTAACACAGTATGACCTCATCTCTATAAAAAATAGAAAGTAGCTGGGCATGGTGGCACATGGCTGTAGTTCCAGCTACTTAGGAGGCTTAGGTGGGAGGATTGCTCGAGCTAGGGAAGTCAAGGCTGCAGTGAGCCATAATCACCATAATCACACCACTGCACTCCGGCCTGGGTGACAGAGTGAGACCCTGTCTCAAAAAAAAAAAAAAAAAAAAAAAAAAAGATGATCACTGTGGAGTTTTTTTATTTCTTAATGGTACATAAAATAATGTGCATCCTACAATTGATGGCATCAAAGATTTGATGAATCATGCTACTTGAGCTGCTTGTCATTTGTCTACCATTTTATTTTATTTTATTTTATTTTATTTATATTTTCTGAGATTGAGTCTCGCCCTATAGCCTAGGCTGGAGTGCAGTGGTGTGATCTGGGCTTGCTGCAACCTCTGCCTCCTGGGTTCAAGCTATTCTCCTGCCTGCCCCCTGAGTAGCTGGGATTACAGGTGCCCGCCACCACGACTGGCTAATTTTTGTATTTTTAGTAGAGACAGGGTTTCACCATGTTGGCCAGGCTGGTTTCGAACTCCTGACCTCAGGTGATTCGCCTACCTTAGCCTCCCAAAGGGCTGGGATTACAGGCATGAGTCACTACACCTGGCCTGTGTACCATTTTAGGTCCAGAATAAGTAGAGGACCTGGTGCTTGCCTTTGAAAAGCTAACAAAGTGATAAGTCAGAATTGCATAAATCTTTTTAATTTTGGGCTAAATCAGGTAGCAATCATTTCACAAAAGTATCAGATTAGTAGTTTTCTGGTTGCCTTTGATGGGCCTGGCTCAGGAGTTCCCAGGCTATGAGTGAGAAAGGAAAGATAGGAGATATTGAGCTTAGACAGGAAGGCTTTTTGGCCCATACTCCAACTCCAATGGAGCAGCTCTTCCCTTACCTATATTAGATTATGGGTTTCCTTGATCTTCCCATTATTTCACTTGAATAAAGAATGCTATTGATTAAAATAAACATAATTATTTGAAAAGTACCGTTTTAAATGTTGAAAGAAGGGCCAAAGAGTATGTGCTAGAATTGTAGAGGAAGCCTTTCATTAAATATGTAGAAGGAAATTAGATAATGCTCTTTTATATTTATATAGTACTTTACATGCTTCCAAGTGCATTTGCATATGTTATCCCACTTAAGGTTTATTATATCGCCAAGAGTTAGGCAAGTCAGCTAGCACTACACTCATTTTACAAATGGGAAATATGTGTCTGTGAGTTATTCAAGATTACATTACTAGTTACTATAATCTATGGAAGAGCCAGAATTCAAGAATCAGAAATCAAAGTATTCTGATTCCAGGAGAGCATTAACAAAATATGGACTCTTTCACAAGTAAGAAAACTTAATTTCTCTCAAAGACTTTGATTCTCTTAAAGCATATTAATTTAAGATTTTCCTTTCAATCATATTTATCTACAGCTCAAATCTAATCCTCATATTACGTTGTTCCTACACCTAAAGCTTTCTAGCTCAGAGTTTTGTCTCCTCTGATGCCCTGAGAAACAGCATAATGTGGTCACACTGTAATGTGATATAGCTGATATTTTTTCAAAAAAATAGTGATGAGTAGATGCTTCTACCAGATTGCAAAAAAACTTATTTTAATGGTCTTTTATTACAGAATCATAAGGTAACTGATGAGGAGACTGGATTTAGCAGACTGAATCTGGCAGCTTAACAATAATCAGTGTGCCAGACACAATTACTCTGTCCCAGACACATTACCCAAATCATTTCATTTGATTCATAACAGCAACTCTATTTCATGAGATGATTGATAGCTCCTGAGCTGACTCCCTTCAGCACTATCACCCACTCCCTCCCTGAGGACATTCCATAGGAGATCAACCTTGAACAAAAAAAATCTTTTTTTTCATCAAAAGTATTCAATATTTAGAGACAGTTGTATGCTTTAATATTACACTTTAGCTTTTACTACCATTTAAACTTTAACATTAGGCATGCACAGCTAAGATCTGGAGAGCCTTTATTGGACAAGTAAGTGAGGTACTTCAAGACACTATAAATTTAACTGTACAGTGCAGCTTTTGATGGAATGAAATGAAGATTACCCCAAAAGGCAAGTTCTCAGGGATGGAAAGAGACTTCAGACTTGCAGTCCAATTTTATTGATGCAAGAATCGACTCAGAACAAATGTGAGAACTCTGGGGCTTTCTCAGGCCTTACAGAAATCCTCTCCCCTAGGCAACATGAGGTTAAACTGATTTCATATAGTTAGAATCTGCCCAATATTCTGCTTCTGCATTCACCAGCTCCCATAGCTGAGACTGCTTTGCCTTGCCTCAAATTCTGAGACCAATTCTGCTTTTATACAAGAGCGATAGAAGGAAAATAATGACGTCTGTTAAGTACTTTCTCTGTGTCAGCCACATCATCCAAATCGTTTCATTTGATTCCTCACAACAGCCCTGATTACTGCCAACACACAGCACTTAAGACAGTAAATTCTATACACAATTTTTGACTGATTGAACAAACATGCAAAGTAGTTCTTCATACATATTCCCATTTTATAATTGAAGAAATAGATGCTCAGATGGGTTAAATATGTTGCCCAAAGTTATGGAGGTGATAAACTTCTTCGTCTCTGTCTCCTTGTCTCCTTCCCTTCCTTTTTTTTTTACCTTTTGCAAGTTTTAGAAAATTCTCAGAAGTTACACATAATTGGCATTGAGAACCTAAACATTACAAAAGTATAAAATGTTAAAAATGAAAGTCTCTTTGTCTTTGTCATCCTCTATCCACTTTCCAGAGATAACAACTATAAGTAATTTGGTGTGTCCATGTCCTTTTCATTGTATCAAGCAAATCTTATCACTGTTGCTGTGGCTCTGGGTTGAAGCTTATAACTCCTGGATTGACATAACTCGGCTTTGTCTTGATCTTTTGTTCCAAACTCCCATTCTGCACCCCCAATTGCACAACTATTTTTATTATTGTATCCTCGTGCTTTTGTTTCTGCTACTGTCAGCAAGAATATGTTGGTGTTGTTTATAATAAGGGTATTACTCTAGCTGTGTTTTAAAAAATTAAACCTTTTCTATTTAATTTGCCAGTGTACACTTGGCGGATATGACAGACAGTGGAAATGTATTGTGCACCAACTGCTTTATGACTGTGGTAGCAGTTGAAAAGGTAAGCATGGCAGCAGTGTGCACTAAAACTGATAAATGGATTGTAAAGAAAAGCAGTACACAATCAAAGAACTGGTAACTGCTTGTCTCTGCACTCTGATTTGATGAGGTTCTATGATAGAGCCTCAGTCTTCCCGGAGGCAATCTGTGTTTTTGCAGAAACAGGTAACTTATCTTAATAGATCTTTAGTTTATCATCAAATTTCTCCTTTCATTGTGTCTTGCAGTAATTTATCTTTTACAAGGGATCTGTACCGATTCCATTTCCAGCAAATTTCTCCCCAACATCTTCCTTATTCAGCCATTTAACTGTCTCTTCACTGAGTCAGTTCTAAGGACCAGCCATCACTATTCTGTGACCACAATATTTTCTTCCTCATCTTCTTTTATTAGCTACAGTACTCTCTCTTTTTGTTCCCCACCCCTACCAAATAATCTTCAGTATTTTTAGCTTTCCTGATGAGTTTTTCATTTAGTTCTTTTAACTTTCTTGCCTACTCATCATGAGACCCATGATATCTCTTTATTAACTCAAATAGTGTCTTATTTATTTGATATTTTGTTAAGTCTGCAAAGCTCATTCTCTCTTTTATTTATTTATTTTTTTGAGACAGGACAGCATCTCACTCTCTTGCCCAGACTGGAGTGCAATGTTGTGATCACAGCTCACTGCAGCCTTGATTTCCTGGGCTCAGGCCATCCTCCCACCTCAGCCTCCTGAGCAGCTGGGACCACAGGCACACCACCGTGACCAGCTAATGTTTTTAATTTTGTAAGAAATGAGGGGTTGGCCGGGTGCAGTGGCTCACGCCTGTAATCCCAGCACTTTGGGAGGCTGAGGCGGGCGGATCTCCTGAGGTCAGGAGTTTGAGACCAGCCTGACCAACATGATGAAACCCCGTCTCTACTAAAAATAGGAAAATTAGCCAGGCGTGGTGGCACGCTCCTGTAATCCCAGCTACTCAGGAGGCTGAGACAGGATAATCGCTTGAACCTGGGAGGTGGAGGTTGCATGGAGCCAAGATCTCACCATTGCACTCCAGCCTGGGCAACGAAAGCGAAACTCCGTCTCAGAAAAAAAAAAAAAAAAGGGAAGGGGATGGGAGGGGAAGGGAGGGAAGAGGGCTTGCTATGTTGCCCAGGCTGGTCTAAGGGGAGGGGAGGGGAGGGGAGGAGAAGGGAGGGAAAGAGGGCTTGCTATGTTGCCCAGGCTGGTCTTTAACTCCTGAGCTTAAGAAATCCTCCCGCCTCGGCCTTCCAAAGTGCTAGGATTACAGGTGTGAGCCACCACGTCCAGCCCTGCAAAGCTCATTCTCACCAAGCAAGAAATGTCCTATCATTCTGTTCCTTTGATTTTACTCCTAGGCCATGAAACATTTCTGAGTAAAGTCACAAAACCATGATGACCAAGTTCACAATAAATTTTAGCTATTGAACTTCAGCTGGATTTTGCACTTTGCTTACTAGTTCTTTCAGCCTTTCTTAAGCTATTCTGATAATTTCCTATGGTAGATGCCTAAGCTTTATACAGTCTAGTATCTCAGCTCTAAACATAGTTACTTAATTCCATGGATAAAACTGAAGCCATGAAATATGGGCTCTGACCCTCCCTGGTTTCCCTCTAAGTAAATTTTTATTGCCAAGCTTTCCTCTCCACCAGTATCTAAGCATCTAACATCCTATTTTTGTTCTGGAAGAAATACCTCTCGCATCTTGCTGCATCAATGATCTCCTCTCTGCAATGTCAATCTCTTTTGTTCCCTCAGAATTCTCCACAATATTGCTTGAAATTGTATATCTCCTAAAATTACCATTTCATTTTCCCCCCATACCCTTTACTGCCAATATTTTAGACTATTTTTAAGGTTTCCATTCCTTACTGCTTGTTTGTATTCTTTAAAATCTGGCTTCTAATCTTCTAAACTGTACTAAAATTATTTCTCTAAAGTTCCAGTGTTCTGATAATAGTTTTATATTGTGACTTTTCCAGTTGTCATCCTTTTAGCCCTCTCTAAAGCATAGACTCTGTTGTCTCTTTATATTGAGAAACGTCTCTATTGTGGACCTACTTCTATCTTTAGGTGCCCTACCGCATTAAAGTCTGCTATATATTGTAAGCTTTTGCATGGAGAATTAAGGGTGTTTATTTACACAAAGATCTGTACTTGAATGTTTGTGGGGATTTATTCAAAATAGTCAAAACCAAAAATCAACCGAATTGTCCTTCAATGGGTGAATGGCTAAACAAATTGTGGTACATCTAGAAAATGGAAAACTACTTGAAAATAAACATGAACAAATTACTGATAACAAACAAAAAACATAGATGATTCTCAAAAGCATATGGTAAGTGAAAGAAGCCAGACACCAGTTGCATACTTGACCATTCAATTTATATGATATTCATGAAAGGCAAACTACAGTTACATGAAGCAGATTAGTGGTTGCCAGGATTTGAGGTTGTGAGAGGGTATTGACCACCAAGAGACAAAAGGGAATGTCCTAGAGTGATGAATATTTTCTATATAATGATCACGGTGGTGGTGGTTACATGACTGGATAAATTCTTCATTGATATTTTAGAATTTTACTGAATATAAATTATATCTCGCTAAACTCACAAAAAGTTAAATATAACAAATCAGAACTAGTGCAACAATATTAATATCCTCATGTACTTCCCAAAGAAAAAAAATTTTATGGTTATTCAAAATATTCCATTATAGTCCCAAATGCATTATAAATTTATTTTTAAATCTACCACTGAATTCAGTGATGTTAGTTAAATAGAACATACTTTTTGAATAAAAACTGACTCAGATTAAGAAAACAAAAGTAATAAAAAATAAGTAAAACATAGTCGCCCAGGCTGGAGTGCGGTGGTGCCATCTTGGCTCACTGTAACCTCCGCCTCCCAGGTTCAAGCAATTCTCCTGCCTCAGCCTCCTGAGTAGCTGGGATTACAGGCACCCGTCACCACACCCGGCTAATTTTTGTATTTTTAGTAGAGATGGGGTTTCACCATGTTGGCCAGGCTGGTCTTGAACTTGTGAGCCCAAGTGATCTGCCCGCCTTGGCCTCCCAAAGTGCTGGGATTACAGGTGTGAGCCACCATGCTGGGCTGGCCTGAAGACTATGTTTATAACTATCATAGATCGATGTAACTATTTCATTCTTGAGGACTACTAGATCATTTCACCAAGTAGGCGGACAATTCAGATTGTCTGAATGACAAACTACAGTACTGGAGGTGAGGAGTGATGACTTCTTGTGAGATATGACCCTTTTCTTGAGGGAACACTCTTTGAGATGACAGCAAGGCACAAATGATTTTAAATGGGCATGGTCTCATGCCTGTAATCCTAGCAGTTTAGAAGGCTGAGGAGGGCAGATCCCTTGAGCCCAGGAATTCAAGACCAGCCTGGGCAACATGGTAAAACTTCGTCTCTATTTAAAAAAATAAAAATAAATGTATTAGTTCATTCTCACACTGCTGTAAAGATACTACCTGAGACTAGGTAACTTATAAGGAAAGAGGTTTAATTGACTTACAGTCTCACATGACTGGAGAGGCCTCAGAAAACTTAGAATCATGACAGAAGGGGAAGCAGCCACGTCTTCCGTGGCAGCAAGTGACAGAGAGCATGTGAGAGTGCAGGAAAAACTACCATTTATAAAACCATCAGATCACATGAGAGAATTCACTCACTATCATGAGAACAGCATGGAGGAAACCGCTCCCATAATACAATCACTTCCCTCCCTTGACACGTGGGGATTACAATTGGAGATGAGATTTGGTTGGGGACACAGAGCCAAATAAATGAATAAATAATATGGGCACGGTCAAGGTTTTCCAACAACTCTCTTGGTATTCCTAACGGAATTTTTCACATGTTGAGACGTTAATATCCTACACAATGATGTTTAACGTTGGGTAGTAGTCCGTATTTAAAAAAAAGATTTCCATGGTAAAATAAGGTTGGAAAATATTGTATTAAACAACATAAATAATTTAAAATAGATTACTGTAGTACATTTCAGAATGTTTTGATATGCAAATATGCATTGGAAATCTCCAAGCAAGTGACAGAGTAGGCAGGGCTTCCCAAACTTACCTGATTCTATGACATATTTGTATTTTACACCTATTAACTTCTCTCAGAGCTATCTGGAAGACACTTTAGGAAATGCTATTCTAATATTTACAGACCCATGAATGCAGTGTATACCCAATTTTCAGGTCTTGAGTTTTGCGACTTTTTTGCCTTGCTCTGAAAGATTTTATATGGAATGTGTAGGGAATAAGGACCAGTATGTTGCTAGGAAAGTTAATTGGACAGAGGGATAAATCATGTGGGTAAAAGCAAGTAGAAGCTTGTTAGGCAGATTCTGTACCTTCTCATCAGCAAAATATTTATAAGCCTTCCCTAAGTGACAGTTACAAGTAAAATTTTCAAAGATGGCAATCCTGAGCTTTTGCTTTTTCACTGTATCCTAATGCTAGGTGTTCCTTCTTAGGCCTATTTCTCTAGTATCTGTCATCATGTCCTTTAAGATTCATTTATTCAACCAGACCTTATTTAGTATCTATTATGTATATTTCACTGAGGTAGGTGTTAAAAAGTATGAAAAAAAGATGTAATGAACATGGTTCCTTTCCTTGAGGCGCAAATAATCTCACATGTGAGACAAAACTTACTGCTCATTTGGCCTTCTTTTTCACTGTTGTGCAATATACCTCATTCGAGGCATGTCAGGCTCATCATTCTTCTCCTCCCAACTCAGATACATTTTATGCCAATTTTGTTCTCAGTCCTTTGGTTTATGCCATTCTCTTGCTCTGGAATGGCTCCTTACTCCTTTCTCCTATCAATATCTGGCCTTCCTTCAAGATCGAGCTGAGGTTGCCATCCTTTCTTCTTTTTCTTTTTTTGGATATGGGTTAGCACTCTGTCACCCAGGCTGGAATGCAATGGCAGGATCATACCTTACTGCAGCCTGGAACTCCTGGGCTCAAACGATCCTCCTGCCTCAACCTCCTGAGTGGGATTATAGGAGCAAGCTGGAGTCCCATTCTTCCTTTAAAACCTTCCTTTACTGCTCTTTTCTCATCTACTCTTTCTTTTGTTTTATACTGAGGTTAATTGCTTATGTGTATTTATCTTGCCTCCTCAAATAGATTGCAAGTTCCTTATGTTTCTCAGAATAGGAGAGTTTAAAAAAATTAAAAAGTTTTTTTTAAAAAAGATTACGAGTTCCTTTAAGGTAGGGAATGCTTTATATGGGTATTCCTTACAGTACCTAGCACAATTCTGGGCACAGAATAGGTTGATAATAAATACTTCTTCTGTATTTATTATTATTATTGTTTGAGACAGGGTCTTGCTCTGTCTCCCAGGCTGGAGTGCAGTGGCATGATCACAGCTCACTGCAGGCTTGACTTCCCAGGCTCAAGCAATCCTCCCACCTCTCAGCCTCCAGAGTAGCTGAGACTACAGGTACATGCCACCATGCCCGGCTAACTTTTCTTTTGAGACAGAGTCTCCCTCTGTCACCTAGGCTGGAGTGCAGTGGCACCATCTCGGCTCACTGCAACCTCTGCTTCCTGGGTTCAAGCGATTTTCCCACCTCAGCCTCCCGAGTAGATGTGACTACAGGTGTACACTACCACACCTGGCTAGTTTTTGTATTTTTAGTAGAGACAGGGTTCGCCATGTTGGCCAGGCTGGCGGCTAACTTTTTAAAAAAAATTTTGTAGAGACAAGGTCTCGCTAGGCTATGCAGGCTGCTGTATTTTCATGATATCTTGTAGGCGGGGTTGCCTATGGGCTGGGAGAGGGAATAATATTTCAAGTAAAATAGGTGGTTAAAAATTGTTAAGCTGTAGAGCCATAACCTTAATATTTTAATGCTTTAGTTTTTGACTAATTATATTTCTGGCCAAAATGACATGTTTGAAAGAGTATTGTAGCATAATTCAAATGTCTACAATTAGAACTTTGGAAAGGATGTATCCACCATTTTTTTCACATTCAAAATATTTCCATAGCATACCCTAAGAAATTAATGTATGCCCTCAAACTGATACCAGCCGAAATATTATTTCATGTTATCCAAAATAATCACTTTTTTCCCAGAAATATCACAACAATTAAAACTAAAAATTGGAGTGATCAAGATTAAATAGACTTGACTTTGTCTCCTTTCTGTTTACTATTACAGTTTTCCACTTGAAATCAGCTCACCTTGGGATGTATAGAATGGTATACAGGCCTTTTATATGATGGCACACACACATCTGTAATCCCAGCACTTTGGGAGGCTGAGGCAAGAGAATGGCTTGAGCCCAGGAGTTCAAGGCTGCAATAAGCTGTGAGATTTAGCCACTGCACGCCAGCCTGGGTGACAGAGCAGGACCCTGCTCAAAATAAATTTTAAAAAGGTATATATATTAAATGAAGTAAAATGAAAAATGTATGTTCAAAATGGAGTTCATGAAAGCCAATATAAAACATTTAATACTGTATAATTTTCAGCTTTTAATAAAATAACATTTTCCGTTTTAATATAATGAGCTGCATTTTCTGCTTTGGCAGAAGGATGCAGGACACATTACTTTCACTATCAACTGTTTTTGTAAACAACATAGTTTAGTTCAATTAGTGTGACTCATTCCAACAGGTCATTAAATCAGTATTACAGGCTAACTGAACTGATTAGTCAAAAAAATTTTCACAGCGGAAAGTCACAACATCTCAATTCTATTAGAGTAAAACCTTGATTGACCTGACTCTAACTAACCTGAACTCTCAATTAACAGGATTTTTTTTCTGCACTTGAATTTTAAAAGAACAAGGCAAATAAAAGGACAACTTTATAGTAAGTATGTTATAGATAGTACAGTTATAAATGGTAGGCTGTCCCAATGAGCAGGCCTATTTGTTGTGTTTTGAAGAACACTGTGAAGGACTCTAGCCTCCCAGATAGCATTCAGTTTGAGATGCCTGAAATTTTACCTTTGCTCATTAGCCTTTGATTTAAAGAATGGCAAAATACAGCTGTCCTTGAAAAGAGAATTGCATAATAATCTTTTTTTTTTTTTTTTTTTTTTTAGATGGAGTCTTGCTCTGTCACCCAGGCAGGAGTGCCTTGGTGCCATCTCGGCTCACTGCAACATCTGCCTCCTGGGTTCAAGCGATTCTTCTGCCTCAGCTTCCCAAATAGCTGGGATTACAGGTATGCGCCACCATGCCCGGTGGGTTTTTGTATTTTTAGTAAAGACGGAGATTTCTCCATGACGGCCAGGCTGGTCTCGAACTCCTGACCTCAAGTGATCTGCCCGCCTCGGCTTCCCAAAGTGCTGGGATTACAGGCGTGAGCCACCATGCCCAGCAGAGAATTGCATAATCTAAAATGAGTTACACCTTATCAATCAAACGTATATTTGATATTTTCCAACATGAAAGTTCACTGTGAGGCCCATAAAAGGTCAATTTTGATGGCGCAAGGGTGGATTGAAAATTGAGGACAAGATAGTTTCCAAAGAAGGCAGATGTCTTATGGCTACCACATGAGAGATCTTGGTTATCTGCTAAGGCAGCATGGGAAGAAGTATCTTTGGGGATAACGCAATGAAGGGAAGGCTGGAAGATACTAAAGTGAAACTGATTTACCTCAGATTTTCTAATGTCAGCCTTCAGTACAGCTTTATTCATTTATTTATTTTTGAGACAGGGTCTTGCTCTGTTGCCAGGCTTGAATGCAGTGCCAAGATCATAGCTCTCTGCAGCCTGGACATCCCAGGCTTAAGCAATCCTCCCACCTCAGCCTCCTAAGTAGCTGGTACTACAAGCAGGTGCCACCAAGCCCAGCTAATTTTTGTATTTTTTGTAGAGATGGGTTCTCAGTATGTTGCCCAGGCTGGTCTCAAACTCAAGCAATCTTCCCGTGTTGGCCTTCCAAAGTGGTGGGATTACAGGTGTGAGCCACCACACCCGGCCCACTACAGCATTTTAAGAGTCCTACTACAGTGCTTTTGGTAATTTCTTAAGGATTTTATTTTGCTAAATGTAAAAGACTGAATTTCACTACCATAATTTCTGGTTATGGGCATCTTGGAATTAAATTTTGAATTGGCATCTTCTTTTCCTGGTGAACTCTTTTGTATAGTAACTCTAAGGAGCTGCCCCTGCCAAAGAAACATGTGCCCTTGGAGATAACAGCTACGAAGCCAACCTGTACCTTAGCCTTTGATTGTGAAGGTTTCTTTAGATGTCAGCCCCCACTTCAAAGAAAATAAAATACATAAAAAATAACATCAGTCATAAAATCAGAGAGGCCTTCAATTCCAGCCAGTTTCAGTTAACTTCGAAACAATTTCTACATCTACAAAATTATTACATTAGCTTTTGATTTTCATTGCAACAATTCATTATTTGGCAGTACCATCTAGAGACTTCCTTGGGGGTGGGGGTGGGACATGTCATTAGGTAAGACTTTGTCAGGTTGGCAATGTTAACTATATAATTTGAATACTCTAGGACCTTAGATTCAAGACAAAACTTTTCATGGAATCTAAAATTAATTCTTTTCTTGTTTTATTTATGTATTTATTTATTTATTAAGCTAGTGTCTCAATCTGTCACCAAGGCTGTAATGCTCACTGCAGCCTCAACCTCTTGGGCTCAAGTGATCATCCCACCTGTCTCCTGAGTAGCTGAGACTATAGATGCATGCTGCCATGCCTGGCTAATTTTTTTATTTTTTATTTTTTATAGAGATCGGGGTCTCACTGTGTTGTCAAGGTTGATCTCAAACTCCTGGACTCAAGAAGTCCTCTCTCCTCGGCCTCCCAAAGTGCTGGGATTACAGGTGTGAGCCACTGTGCCCTGGCCCCTTATTTTTTTGAAATGAGGTCTGAGTTCCAAATGAAAAAGGTAAAAGAAGATATATGTATAGAATAAACTTTACTTATAATCAGAAAAAAGTATTCAAAGGGAAGATTAGGTATACAGGACCAGCTTTGAATAACTTTGTGAAGTAACCAGTTACTGCACATTCATTATATGCCAGCAACTATGCTAAATTGATGATTTGTATTTGACCTTTTTGTTCTCCTCTCCATTGTTAGAGATACGGCAGTAGTATAGGGCCTTAGGTTTTAAACTACTTTAGAGTTTATTCTGATGGTGTTTTTTTTTTGAGACGGAGTCTGGCTCTGTCACCCAGGCTGGAGTGCAGTGGTGTGATCTCAGCTCACTGCAACCTCCACTTCCCGTGTTCAAGTGATTCTCCTGCCTCAACCTCTCAAGTAGCTGGGACTACAGGCATGCACCACCACGCCCGGCTAATTTTTGTATTTTTAGGGGAGACAGGGTTTCACCATGTTGTCCAGGGTGGTCTCGAACTCCTGATCTCAGGTGATCCACCCGCCTCGGCCTCCCAAAGTGCTAGGATTACAGGCATGAGCCACTGTGCCCAGCCAGGACAATGGGTTTTAAGTATGACAACAACATGTTGAGATTTACATAGTAGAACGGATTTTCCTTATGAATGGATTGGAGGTGGGAGTAGTTAAGAGACTGTTGCAATAATCCTAGGGAAAGACTACTGGCGGTCTGAAGTACAGGAGTGGCAATGGGGATGGAGAGAAGTGGAAAAAATAAAAATATATTTGCAGATGGTAGAAATGATAGGACACTGTGATTGATTGGATATGGAAGGAGGTTGGTGTGAGAGAAATAGCAATCGGGGATGATGAGCTCTTGGAGATAACATAGCCACAGAGCCAATCTGCACCTTACTTAGCCTTTGATTGTGAAGGTTTCTTTAGACTCCAGTCCTGGTTTCATTTAGAATTAGGTACGTGTTGGGCATATTGGTCCTTCTGCTTCCCTCTGAAGTATCTTCTGTGTGCCAGACACCCTGCTAGGTACTGCTGTGATGTAGACAGAATTCTGTTCTTCAGTAGAAAATTATTCATTGACTATAGCACGTCTTCAGAGTTATTTGATCCTGCTTGAGTGGAAGCTATTTTGCAATTCTGTAAACTGAAGATAACATAGCAATGCAAAATAATCCTTGTCTATAGACAATAACGATTGTCTACAGACAAGCAAATTCAGTTCTGTGAGGTGGGAGGGACAACTCTCTCCCTCAGAACAGTTTTCCTCCCATTTACACATTTATTTCAATATTTCTGATCTATAAATGTGTCTGTTCTTGGATTCTCCTTTTGACCAGTTGTAACAGTTACTAGTTTCCTTATTAATGAGTTAAATAAAATGTGTTCAACAGGTGTTCATTTTTATATTTGTATGAGAGTCACGATTTTGCCATTTGTTTTGAAAATTGTTTTGTAACAGTGGTGAACTTGACAAACTGTCCTTCTGGAACTTACATACCAGTGGGGCAAATAGATAATAAAGTAAACAAATAAATACAGATGTATAGCAAAATAAGTATTGATAAGTGCCATGGAAGAAAACATAGCATGGAAGGAGGATGGGGTGTGGAGTTGGGTGGGGTAAGGTGGGGTTGCCATGAAATGGTGGGGTGGGTGTCAGAGCAAGGTCTTAGTGAGAAAGTTTTCTACAATCAACATTAGAACACATCCTTGACTTTGGACTATATCAGGGCACTCAAAGTTATGTGAAAGTATAAGCCACATTTATAATCCTGTTAGTTCTCCTTGTCACCTCATAGTCTCTTTACTGCCTTAATCGGGTGGGTGTTGTTACTCCACTACATCTTTTTTTTTTTTTTCTTTCCTGACAGTCTCGCTCTGTTGCCCAGGCTGGAGTGCAGTGGTGCAATCTCGGCTCACTGCAACCTCCACCTCCAGGGTTCAAGCAATTCTCATGCCACAGCCTCTCCAGTAGCTGAGATTACAGGCGTGCGGCACCACCCTCGGCTAATTTTTTTTTTGTATTTTCAGTAGAGACGGGGTTTCACCATGTTGACCAGGCTGGTGTCAAACTCCTGACTTCAGGTGATACCACACACCTTGGCCTCCCAAAGTGCTGGCATTACAGGCATGAGCCACCTTTTGTTTTTCCCCTCCTTCTTCTCTTTCAGGGAAACCCACTTCAATCTCTTCCCCTCCCTTCTGATCTATATTTTACCTTCTTCTAATGCGAACTGGTGTTTGAACTCAGTGAATTTCTCAGTGAGAAGGTAACAGTTCAGTTGAGAGATAGGATTATAAACTTTCTGAAACAGAGCTTGGAGTTAGAAAAATTTTAGCTTGTACCAGAAACTTCTAAAAGGTTGGGGTCTCCACCAGAATAAACCAATCAATGGGAAAGCATGTGTTGAATTTCTTTTCTGGGTGAAAGGCACTATACTCAGTGCTGTAGGGCATAGAAAAGAGAAAGGTACTATAGAAATATTTAACTTAAACTTGACAGGAATTCAGGTTATTTGAAAACAGATAATTAGAGTGATTTCACCACCACTTAAATATTTAGGAGGGCACATGCAGCTGTCCCTTCTATGCCTGTATAGTTTGGAGAGATAAGAAAAACTTAACAGGTAATTCCTTTTATGTGTCCCCTTGCCCAACAACTTCCAACCCCTCTAAGTAGTGTTTCAAAACATCTTCTTGAAAATTCCATTCCTAAATCATGATTTCAGAGCTGCAACCTAAGGAAATTGTTTTATGTAATTGCTGAACTTACCATCTGGATATTAGACACAGAGTTAATTAAAAAGCCATCAATTTTTTTTCCAATGTATTCACAGGAAAATGATGGAAGCCAGTTTTGTGGAGGTATTTACCAAATAGCGGCTCATGCATGTATTTTCTGAGCTTGCATGCTCACCACTGGAATACTCTGACACACACTAGGATTTATGGGTGTACGTGCTATGGCTATGGGCCTGTTTTGACAGTGTATTTGTGACTTTGTCACTGCCTCATTCACCCTCCACCATTTAGATACTGTTGCTATTGCCATATACCTTGAGGATACTACTTTTAGATCTTTCCCTGAGATAGTGTCAGATCACTGGAGTCAGCTGGTGTTGCAAATTATTAAATGTAGGAAGGCCACCAAATTTTGGTTTTGTTGTTTGACTTTTTATAGGTGTTAATTTTGTCTCCCAGCTAAATTGTAAGCCCCTTCAAGTTAAGGAATCCCAGGCTTACAAGCAATGCCCCATTAATGTTTGCAAACATATGCTATATCTCTTATGGCCATTAGTCCTTTATCTTACACAGCCAAAACTTACTTGTTGGAGAAGTTGTGCAAACACCATGATGGGATTTACGGATTCACAAGTGAAAGCCGGGGAAGAGATAGTGGAGAGGGAAAGACAGGTCTAAGGTTTGGATAACCCCATCAAAATGCAAATGTGTAATCTGGTAGGGGTAGTGCATTAAATCATTGCTAACCATCAACATACTTGCTAGATAAATTGACCAAGTGAATTTGATCGAGTTTCTATATGAGAATGTGAAGGAGGGAGCAAGTTTTGACTTGGATAGGGAGGATGTCGTGGAACACGAAATATGTTAAGGGGGTGGCAGGGAGAAGGCAAGCTCATGCTAGGAGGCTTCAACATGCATTTATTCAAGAAGTATTTATTAGCTCTGTGACTACATAGGGTGGAGGAGTAGAATGATAAGAGGAGATGCGAATGCAGATGGCGTGAAAGAGAAAACAGACAACCTCCTTCACAATTTTGTCAAAGGCTAGCCCTTTCCAAAGGTTATTTTTTTCTGTAAACATCTTATCTCTTCTTTGTTAGTTTGTTTTAGACCATATTGGGCTTCTCTTATCTTCTTGTTCCTTATCTGTTTTTGATTCTTTTGCTTGTTCATTGACAAGCAGGGCTGAGAGCAGCCTGTGAGATCCCTGGCTTCCTGGAAACTTTTCTCTGCAGTCACGGAAGACATTTGCTTTGCCCTCTAAGCTGCCTTGGCTGGGCTCTGGGGATTTACATAAACAGATTATTTGAGGCAGAAAATGAAGCCCATCTCATCATGTTTTGGTGTTGCCTACAGACTGGGTTGATGAAGGGGTTAACTTCTTTTCCTGCCAAGGTCATCAAGAAGAAAACCATCCTCGGAGACTTGCTAACATTAACCTGAGGACTAAAGATTAGGGTTGTGGAGGGACCTTTGAGCTACAACGCTTTCACAGTCAAACTGCACTGAATCAGAAAAAAAAATTAAAATAAGGAGCAAGGCCACTTAAAGGGAAAAGCTCAAATTTTACATTTTTTAAGAAGAAATGCATCTTCGTTCCTTTTAGGACTAGTACAAACTCTCACAGAACGTGTCTGATTGCAATAAGACAGTATTTGGAAGGTGGCACAGTATCAGAAAGGTCACATATAGGCTTTGGTGATGAAAGACATGTTTAAAACCTGGTGCACACTTAATAGCTATGTGGCCTTGATCAAAGACACATAACTGCTATTGCCTTAGTTTCCCAATCTCAAAAATAGATATTCCCATGTCTATCTTGCAGGATTTTTAGAATTAGAGATAACACTGAGAAAGCACTAGCACAGTGCTCTCACAAACTAGGTCCCCAGTCAGTGGTAGGCAATAATAATACAATATTAATGATGTGAGAATAGTCCAGGTTCTTTACCCTCTCAGAGATGGGCTAGAAAAGCTGGGATAGAGGAAGAGGGTGCCCTGTTCCTCTGCAAGGGTTACATGATTTTCAGAGAGGTAGGAGAGATTCTGTCAAGCCAGAGAAATAATAAAACAAAAATGTTTTAGATAAATGGGAAGAGTGGCCAGGCACGGTGGCTTATGCCTATAATCCCAGCACTTTGGGAGGCCGAGGTGGGCGGATCATGAGGTCAGGAGTTCGAGACCAGCCTGATCAACATAGTGAAACCCCATGTCTACTAAAAAGACAAAAATTAGCCAGGTGTGGTGGTGCGTGCCTATAATCCCAGCTACTCAGGAGGCTGAGGCAGGAGAATCACTTGAACCCGGGAGATAGAGGTTGCAGTGAGCCGAGATTGAGCCACTGCACTCCAGCCTGGGTGACAGAGCGAGACTCCATCTCAGAAAAAAAAAAAAAAAAAAAAAGAGAAGAGCACACTGGATGAACAAAGTTACATTGCTTAACAGGCAGCCCTAAATACTGAAATTTATGGGAAGTTCAACTGTGGGACAAGTACTTATAATTAGTAACATTAATTTTCTCATAGACTCTAAATATGCTGAGGCACTTATAGATTGTTCTGTTAAATTGATTAATTCTGCCTCTTGTTTACACTGATGAGAAGAAATGCTTTGCTAGACCCAGAAAATCAACACTGGTCTGAATAATCACAAGTTCTGAATTAATGGGTTTGTGACACAGCCAGGTAAAGCTATGCTTGATTTTCCTTTATTCAAAATCTCCTGCTTCACGACATATTCTTCTTTAAATTGAGGCAATTCCTATTTAGGCTTCTATTATCAGCAAGTGGCCCATGGGCATTTTTTAAAGTTTTTTTTTTTTAATTGTGGTAAATTACTGAACATAAAATTTACCTTTGTAACCGTTTTTAAGTGTATAGTTCTGTGACATTAAATATATTTACATTATTGTGCTACCATCGTGACCATCCATTTCTAGACCTTTTCCTCTTCCCAAACTGAATCTCTGTACCCATTACACACTAACTCCCCATTTCCCTTCTCCCAAGTCCTTGGATACCACTATTCTACTTTCTCTCTCTATGCATTTAACTATTCTAGGTATCCTATACACATGGAATCATACAATATTTGTCCTTTTGTGTCAAGCTTATTTTATTTAGCATAGTGTGTTTAAGGTTCATCCATGTTGCAGCATGTATGGGAATTTCATTCCTTATTACGGCTCAATTATAGTCCATTGTATGTATATACCACATTTTGTTTATCCATTCATCTACTGATGGAAACTTGGGTTGTGTTACCTTTTGGTTATTGTGAATAATGTTGCCATGAGCATGCGTGTACAAGTATCTGTTTGAGTCCCTGCTTTCAATTCATTTTGGAGTATATACCTAGGGATGGTACTGCTGAATCATATGGAAATTCTATGTTTAACTTGTTGAGAAACGATCAAACCATTTTCTTTTTTCTTTCTTTTTTTTTTTTTGAGACAGAGTCTGGCTCTGTCGCCCAAGCTGGAGTGCAGTGGTGCTATCTCAGCTCACTGCAACCTCCGCCTCCCGGGTTCAAGCAACTCTCCTGCCTCAGCCTCCCAAGTAGCTGGGATTACAGGCGTGTACCACCATGCCCAGCTAATTTTTGTATTTTTAGTAGAGATGGGGTTTCACCATGTTGGCCAGGCTGGTCTCGAACTCCTGATCTCAAATGATTCACCTGCCTCGGCCTCCCAAAGTGCCTGGATTACAGTTGTGAGCCACCGTGCATGGCCTACCGAACCGTTTTCTGTAGTGGGTGCACTATTTTCACATTCTCACCAGCAGTGTAAGAGGGTTCTAATTTCTCCACATCCTCAGCAACACTTATTTTCGATTTTTTTTGTTTATAACCATTGCAGTGGGTATGATGTAGTATTTCATTGTGGTTTTGATTTGCATTTCTTTAATAACTAATGATGTTGAGTATTTTTAATGTGCTTATTACTGGTATATTGTCTTTGGAGAAATATTTATTCAAGTCTTTGCCATTTTTGAATTGGGTTGTTTGGGCACCTTTTAGATATGTTACTTTTTTCTCTTCTTTTTTTCACGTCAGATAGGTAATGTGCCTACCTTCTACTCCTAACAAGGTTTGAGGGAGGCACATCTCACATATATGTGTGAAAAACCAATCATCGCACTCATGAACCACAAAAGGATTTAGTCAGTTCCAGCAATGGAGCAGTGTAAATTATTCTCAACAAGAAAAATGAAACAAATTTTTAAAATTAGAAACAAACTTGAAGATACATTTTCTAGGAACTATGGAGAGTAAAGTATATATCCTAAGCGAAGAGGAAGAAACAGAGAAAAATAAAAGAACCAGAAAGCTTCAGGGAGATGAAGAGACCATAAGAGATGCTATTCCTTTAGTTGGGATAACTAGGCTGCCATGGCTATATGGTGTTTGACTAACTGAGTGTTGGGCGAGGGGTGTGGGACAAGACTGTAAATTGAGGATAAAAGAAAATCAGGAAGAACTATTAAGTCGAAGTGATAACAGATATAAAGATTAGCATTCTAATGAAACATTGGTATTTGGTTAGAGTAAGATATGTTGTGCAAATAAAATTGCATCCTGGAGTTCACTTGTTTGGCATTTGTGTGGCATTTTCAGGCCAGGCGTGGTAGCTCATGCCTGTAATCCCAGCACTTTGGGAAGCCGAGGCGGGCAGATCACCTGAGGTAGGACGTTCGAGACCAGCCTGGCCAAGATGGTGAAACCCTGTCTTTACTAAAAATACGATAATTAGTTGGGCATGGTGGTGCATGGCTGTAATCCTAGCTACTACTCTGGAGGCTGAGGCAGGAGAATCGCTTGGACCCAGGAGGTGGAGGTTGTGGTGAACCGAGATCATGCCACTGCTCTCCAGCTTGGGCGACATAGCGAAACTCTGTCTCAAAAAAAAAAAAAGTGTTTTCAGATTTCGTTATTATTTAAGTTTATTATATGCTTTTGATATGAACAAGGTAAAAGAAAGATAATATCTCTACTTCAATGAAACAAGTCTTAGCTTATGTCTTATAGATCAAACCTTGAGGGCTGTGGCATACAACTGCCATCTGGTGACAGTATGTTCGCATAGCAGCGTTAGGTATTTAATACATTAAAAAAAAAACCTACTTGTGGGCAGACTTTGCAAAACTAAAGTCATGATATAATAGTTAAGGGTCCCAGGGGTCTAAATTAATAAGATGTTTTATTTAAAAAAGATAACATATAGGCCAGCCATGGTAGCTCACGCCTATAATCCCAGCACTTTGGGAGGTCGAGGTGGGCAGATCACTTGAGGTCAGGAGTTCAAGACCAGCCTGGCCAACATAGTAAAACCCCATCTCTACTAAAGTACAAAAATTAGTTGGGAGTGATGGCGCATGCCTGTAACCCTAGCTACTGGGGAGGCTGAGGCAGGAGAATCACTTGAACCTGGGAGGCGGAGGTTGCAGTGAGCCGAGATTGGGCCATTGCACTCCAGCCAGGGCAACAGAGTGAGACTCTGTCTAAATTAATAAATAAATAAATAGTCTTTTTAAAAAAAGAACATAACGTGTCAACCTCTGATAATACTTCTTTATGGAAATCAAAGTGATGCAGAGACTGTTCCTGTTTATTATTGGCAAAATGGAATTTTTTATGGACACAGTTTATAAATTGTGAATGGTTTCGTTGTCTTAGTGATTTGATTTACATTTGAATATACTGTAAACGTACACGGCTGAGAAAGTGATTAAATTTTTAAAAAAGAATTGCATCTGAGAGGAGACATTTTGTAAGCTGTGAGTCTCTCATTTTAAAGTTTATAGTCATTTCAACAAAATCAAGCATCCTTTTTTCCATTGTGTAGTTCAATCTTTTTCTTTTTTCTTTTCTTTCTTTCTTTCTTTTTTTTTTTTTTTTTTTGGCCTGGCCATTTTCTCTCAAAAGATCAACCATTTTCTATGTCATGTAAAGGTTCTTAATGCTTTTAGAATTTATTTTACTTGAAGAAATAAGTTCGATAAGTCAAACCCCAAGATGATTTCAGGAGTAATAGACTTTCTTTTGAAAATAGGTATAATACTGGTTGCACAAATGTAAATGATCTGCTCCAATCATCTAAAGTCTGTAAGTTTGGTAGGGACAGACGACCCAATCTCCGGCTGTCTTCTCTTTTGAGTCCAATTGTGAAAGCTTGTCTTTTACTAGTCTCATTTTAATTAGCTGATAACGAGAAACAATGATGAAGTGGCCCGAGGGAAAGCTCCGAGCTATCCAACTGAACATCACAAGACTGGCTCTAGAGTCTAAGAAAAGCTAAAGTATTGCTTAGTTTTTTTTTATTTTTATTTTTTAACTTTCTTTTCTTTTTGTTTTTGTTTTTTTCTTTGAGACAGAGTCTTGCTCTGTCGCCGAGACTGGTGTCTAGTGGCGCAATCTCGGCTCACTGCAACTTCTGCCTCCCAGGTTTGAGATTCTCTTGCTTCAGCCTCCTGAGTAGCTGGGATTACTGGCATGCACCACCATGCCTGCCTAATTTTTGCATTTTTAGTAAAGACAGGGTTTCACCATGTTGGCCAGGCTGGTTTCGAACTCCTGACCTTAGGTGATCTGCCCACCTCGGCCTCTCAAAGTGCTGGGATTATAGGCGTGAGCCTATATTGCTTAGTTTTAAAGTAAAAAAAAGAAAATAACTCGGGGACAATTAGAGTTAGGAAGAAAGGAGAGTCTTAAATACCTTCCTAATTACACTGGTCTGGGAAGTTTGCTTAAGAAATTTTATAATTTTATAAATTATAATGGAATGCCATTTTCCTGAGGAAAACAGTCTATTTTGTTGAAATACCTTAGTTGAATTTGTAAGTGACTTTTAAATCTTCTTGTAGCTCCCTTTGTGAGCAATTACCTACCTATTTCTTTGGTTCATAGTAAGGAGTTACAGGCAAGAGAGGAAGGTATGGTGTCGGGGGAAGATTTATTCAGGCATCCACAGGAAACTCCTTGGGACATTTCCCTGAATCTTACCTCCATTATAAGCGATCAAGGCTTATTATGAGCCTTAATTGATACTTTACACATTTATCCAGTACTAGGCCTCTAACATCTTTAGTGTTAGCTTGAATAAAGTGAGTAAATAGTCAACAGTCTTAAAAATAGACTGATGTCTGCTTTTATCCATCTGTTTTTTACCCATCTGAAGCAAGTAGTTTGATGATAATGTTCCCCAATAATCAGTAGTTGGGAGTCAAATGGACACCTTGCTATCCATAATTTTAGTATGTCTTCACAGTAATGTCTGGATATCCTCTATTTTCTGCTGCTATAGACACCACACAAGTGTAGCTCTTAGTATAAAAATTGCAACAATTAAGTGGTTTTCTGTGCCCCCACTTCTGTCGCATCTGGCCCATCTGGTATGGAGGTAAGTTAAATCCATTTTTGCCGACATCATTTTCTCTTACCCAAGTTCTTAGAATGTTTACAATTTATGTAATATAGCAAATCCAAATTCACTGTTCTGAGGTTCATTCATGTTGATCTCTTGTGGCACTAGTTTTTGGATTCCTGAGCCACCATGTAAGAATACACTTACCCTACTAAAGGGATCACATAAAGAGAAGGAGAGTTTTAGTTGAGACCAGTCTTTAAAGCCATCCCCTACAAGAGACCGGGTATGTGAGTGAATTTGTCTTGGACCCTGCAGACCAGCTCAGCTGCTGAGTACCATTGAGTAACTTCAAGAGAAGGGCAGAGGAATTGGCCAACTGATCCCTGCCTGGATTTCTTACCCACAAAATTATGAGACATAATACTTTTTTTTGGTTTTAAGTTTTAGGGATGGTTTGTTACATTGCAATAGATAAAATAAAACCTAGCTAGCTTTCTACTCTTCCTTCAAGAGTTAGTTTAGGCTTCGTATCTAGGAAACATTTTCAGTTTTCCTTTTTAAGTGCCCTTCCCAGTTTGGATTAGGTGCACATTTTCTTTGTTCCCATGTCATATGAGTACTTCTTACACTGTATTCTATATTTCTAAGTTTATGCTATGTGCTCCACTAAACTGTGGGCTTTTTTAGGGTATGTCTTATTCCCCTTTGTGAGAGGAACTTACCCCAGGACTTAGCACATAGTGGCTATTCAAAATAATAACTAAATCATAGAATCTCAGGGTTGGAAGGACTTTGGATGTCATTTTAAATAATTTGATCTACCAAATGTTTGTTCCTTCAGCCTGTGTGAGAAGTCCCTCTCATGATGAGAACTTATTACTTCTGGAGGCGGCTTATCTTTAAACAGCTCAGACTATGAGCACATGCTTGTCAGCTTAACACTCTCCCTCTCCAATAATTTTTTTCATTCCAGTTCATCTCAAGGCTCATATACTTGTTAATATGTTCATTTGTGTTCACTTACCATAAGCTTTTTAGTGTTTATACCATGTGTACCTAACTGCATTATAAGCTTCAAATAAGGTAGCTATCTTAGACATATTTTCTTTTCCCTGCTGGAATGTGCTCCACCCAGAAGTAACAATTTCTGCTCTTAGCTGATAGACCAGTAGAATGAACTGGGTAAGAAAAAGAAAAATCACAAAAAAGAAAAACAAAAAATAAGAATGAACTGACTGAGTATGGGCTCTGGAGTCAGACATCTTGGGTTCAAATCTTGACACTCTCACATACTACTGATTATGTGAAAAAAGATAAGTTGCTTGATCCAAATAAGTCTGTTTTCCCATGTGAAACAAAACAGAGAGGGTGACTTCCTTGTACATGCATTTACATAGCACTTTATGTATATAGTATTATTTATATAGTACTTAGCCCAGAACCGAAAACATATAAAATGCTTAATGTGTGAATCTAATAATTACTATAGGTACACATTTCATAGGTTTATTCATTTAAAGGAAGAAAAAAAGAAAAAAAAAAAGAAACACAGTGTCAGTTGACTAAATTAAGCATTCTTTCTCATATTGAGCATTGGATAACTGCCTGGTTTTATTTTGTCTTTCTTATCTGCTTCCCTCACCTATGCCTGGCTCCTTTCTCTATAAAACTTTACTATGGTGGCATTCCATTTTTTAAAGCTTATCTGCTTTTGCCTTTTCTTTTTAAAAAACTTTTACTCCTAACCTTGAAAGAGAGATGGAAGATTTGAATGTGCAAATAACCTCATCTGTACACAAGATGATAGATGCTTTTGTCATAACCTTAGATAATCACAAAACCATTTGGATTAAAGCCTATGTTTCACTTGCAAAAAAAGTAAGGCATTGTATAGACAAATTCATCACCTAATTTCACTGGTAAAAATGTCCAAGTTCATACCATAAAGAATTAAGATATTATTCTACTATGGTTTCAGCCTAGCTCTGTGACTCTTCCATGTCTCAGCTTTCTCTACCATAAAACAGTTAATCATAATTTAGAGTCTAAAAAGAAGAAAATAAGAAGAAATAAAATAAAATAAAACAGTTAAAATAGTAATTTCCTATTTACCTCTTAGGATTGCTGTGAATATCAATGTAATGAGGTTCTTGAGGGTAGGTATTAGGGTGGGGGAATGATTCCTTTCCACTTCAGATGTTTCCTACCAGGTGGAAGGACATCCATTTGTGTAACACTTCTGGCACTGATTTGTTCCATACTCATTCTTAACTGAGGATGGGTGAAGAGCACATATTTGTTTTGCAACTTTGTTTTTTGTTTGTTTGTTTCTTTTTAGAGATGGAGTCTTGGGGTGGTGGTGGGGTCTCAATATGTTGCCCTGGTTAGTCTCGAACTCCTGGTCTCAAGCAATCCTCTCGCCTCAGCCTCCCAAGTAGCTGGGATTAGAGGCGGAAGCAACTGTGCCTGGCTGATTGACAACTTTGAATGGAGAAATTAAGCAAGCCTAGTGCAGTCCCTTCCTTTGCTCTGCTTCCTTGGGAGTAGCTGCCTGCAGGGAGCATATATTCTCCTTTGTTCTCCAGGGCTGGCTCTGTTTTCCAGGTCTAATTCTGTTGAGTGGTTAAGTCTGTAAATCTCAGGGTCTGATTATAAAGTCCATGTGGACTTAGATGCACCATATTCTTCAATACTAGTTTTAGGAGCAATGACGTTGGTATTTTGGTATCTGTCTACCTTACTACCATATGCTACATTTCAATTTGTTTCAGGACTTGAACAGGAAAGGGACTTTTTATCTATTGGGCTGCCTTAAAGACCCCTAAACCAAGGGACTAGGTTTTAATAATTTTTATAGTTTTAGCACCTACTGCAGGGTGTGGCACATAGCAGGTACTCAAAAATGCCTTCTTGGTGAAGCCCTTTTGAATAATGTGAAGTGCTGTTAAATGCATGATAATATTTGTTATTTATTTATTAAGGAAGAGAAAGCTGTGCCAAGCACGGTGGCTCACACCTGTAATCTCAGCACTTTAGGAGGCTCAGCCGGGTGGATTACGAGGTCGGGAGTTCAAGACCAGCATGACCAACATGGTGAAACCGCGTCTCTACTAAAAATACAAAAAAATTAGCCGGGTGTGGTGGCGTGTGTCTGTAATCCCAGCTACTCAGGAGGCTGAGGCAGGAGAATCACTTGAACCTGGGAGGCGGAGGTTGCAGTGAGCCGAGATCACTCCACTGCACTCCAGCCTGGGCGACAGAGCAAGACTCCACCTCAAATAAAAAAAAAAAAAAAAAAAAAAAAAAGGCTGTGTTGGTACATTTATTTATCTCAGTTTTCTGGGGGACTCTAATACCACAATATAGTTGATGCCCCCAGGAAATTTGAATAACCACACACAATGTTCCAAAAGTTTTATAAAGTAGCATGGAGAGCTCTCTCCTCCTGCATATATTACAAACTGGAAAACTCAACTATAAGGCAGTAATACAATTTACTTAGGCACTCACAGCAAGTTAATAGTAATGGTTGGAGTAGAATAACAACTTCAGACCTTTATTAAGTAGTCTAGGTTCTTATTTTAATATCTGATGAATTACACTGAGACTGCATCTGTAAGATTCCAAATCACTAAATGTAAATGCCAGACTTGTTCCTCCATTCAGAGGATCAGAAATAGTTGGATATGTTCTAGAATCTTTGGATCACAAACAAAGCCATTGAGGTAGTTTGTATGGAGGAAGTAAGAGACTATCACAATAAAAAAAGAGATGTAAAGTTATCAGAAGAGTAATTTCCAGTTAACTGCACATTTATAGAGACAGCAACAGATGTGTGACAGCTGGGTTAATTGAATGTCTGGTGGACCTTTTTCTACATAAGATAATCCTGTGTGCATATTATGGCGAAGAAAGCAGATGTGACCAGTCAGTTGTCTAATGAAGATAATAAATGTCACCTGGAGAGTATACTGATCTACTAAACTTAATGGTTTGTTTTTCTTAGCTTGCAAGATAATCTGGCAATTAATTTTTGATGGTGTGGTGAATAAATTTTACATCTAAAGCACACATACTATTAAAAAAATTATGTGACAGAATTTGCTATAGCATTTCCTATTTTTAGCTTTTATTTGAAAGTTTTCCAAAACGTATGTTGCCATGAATTTCTAAAGCCATAACCCCATCTCAACACCACTATGTATATATGCAAATGGAACTGAAGTCAGTGAGTTTGATAATTCTGCTGACTTGGGCTGCTAGAACATTAGCTAAGTCTTGATGTGTAAGAAAGAACACTGGTCTGTCAGCCAGGACACCAGAGATCTAGTCAGTGGCTGTGTCACTCAATAATTTAGGGACTTGGATATTTACCCTTGACTCAGAAGTCTTAGGGAAATAAAAAGAAAAAAGAAAACGAATATTTACCTCTCTGGATTTCACCCAATCTCATGTATCTAAAATTAGATGACTGGGCTAGATTGTACTAATTCCTTTTTGCGGTCTGACCAGCCACAATGGGCTTGGACCCACAGTGATCAGCCATGACCACCTTTGGCTGGATTTCACTGATCATGATCAGCCTTGACTGGCATGGTGGGCTTTAACTGATTCTAACCAGCTGTGACCAGCTTTGATTGGCTCTGGCCAGCTGTAACCAGTTTTGACCAGCTTAGACTGACTGTGAACAGCTTTGGTCAGCCTTGGCTGGCTGTGGCTGGATTTGGCCAGTTTTCACTGCGTCTGACTGACTTTGAATGGCCTGGAGTGGTTTTAATTGGCTGTGACTGGTTTTGAATATCCATGACTGGCTGTGACTGGTTTTGACGGGATTGACTGGTTTTGACTTGCTCAGTCTGGCTGTGACTAGTTTTGATCAGATTTGAGTGGCTTTGACCAGCTTAGACTGGTTTTGACTGTCTTAGATTGGCTGTGACAAACTTTGGCTGGCCATGACCAGCTATAACTGGAATCTACCAGTTGTGACTGGCTTAGCTTGGTTATGACCAGCCTTGAGTAGTCTTGATCAGACCTGACCAACTTCTGACTGGCTTTGACCAGAATTGACCCACGTTGACCAGCACTGACAGGCTTTCACTGGCTGTGACTTGCTTTGCCCAGTTTAGATTGGTTTTGACCTGCTTAGACTGGCCATGAATGGCTGCAGCCAACTTTCACAAGAATTGACTGTTTTTTACCATCTTACACTGATTTTGACTGGCTTAGACTTCCCATGACAGGCCAGGCCATAACTGGCCACAACTGGCTTTGACCAGCATTCATTTTGACCAGCTTAGACAAAACATGACTGGCTGTGACCAGCTTTGAACAGAATTGACTAGTTTTGACTGGCTTAGACTGAATGTGACCAGCCTTGACTGGTTGTGATCAAATCTATCAGACTGTGACTGGATTTGAGTGGAATTGACTAGTTTTTGATCGATTTAGACTGACTGTGACCATCTATGACCAGCTGTGTTTGGCATTGTCCAGAATTCAGTGTTTTTTACTGGTTTATATTGGCTGTAACTGGCTTTGGCCATATGTGACTGGCTTTGATTGGAACCAACTGGTTTTGACAGGCAGTGACTGGCTTTGTCCAGAATCAACCGGCTTATACCAGCTGTGACCAGCCATGACTAGTTTTACCAGGATCAACTGGTTTTGGCTGGCTTACACCAGTTTTGACTGGAGTAGGTTGGCTACAACCAGTTTTGACCAGAATTGACTGGTTTTGACTGGGTTAGATCAGCTGTGGCAACCCTTTGACTGGTCATGATGAGATTTGACTGGCTGTGACTGGCTTTGGCCAGAATCAACCAGTGTTGATGAGTTTAGGCTGGCTGTAACTGGCTTTAACTGGCAGTGACTGGGCTTTGACCAGAATTAACCAGTTTTGACTGGCTTAAACTGGCTATAAGTGGCTTTGACCAGCTATGGCTGGCTTTGTCCAGAATTTACCAGTTTTGACTTGCTTAGATAGGCAGTGACTAGCTTCAAACAACCTTGACTGCCTTTGACTGGAATTTACCACTTTTGGACACATTTGGCTGATTTTCAATGGATTTGGCTGGTTTTGATCAGCTGTCACTGGCTTTGATTGGCCTGGACTGGTATTAACAACATAGGACCATTCTTGACCAGCTACAACTGGCTTTGACCAGCCTGGGCCTACTTTTTTCTGGCCTTGACCAGTCTTAACTAGCCATGATCAGACTGTTTTTTGCTTTTTGTTTTTGTTTTTGTTTTAAGGCAAAGTCTCACTGTGTTGCCCAGGCTGGAGTGCAGCGGTGCAATCTCAGCTGACTGCAACCTCCACCTCTCCAGTTCAAGTGATTCTTGTGCCTCAGCCTCCTGCGTAGCTGGGATTACAGGTGCCTGCCACCACACCCAGCTAATTTTTATATTTTTAGTAGAGATGGGGTTTCACCAAGTTGGCCAGGCTGGTCTTGAACTCCTGACCTTAAGGGATCCACTTGCCTCAGGCTCTCAAAGTGCTAAGATTACAGGCATGAGCCACTGCACCTGGTGGCCTCAGACTGTTTTTGACCAGCCGTGACTCGAGTTGACATGCTTTGACTGGCTTAGACTGGTGGTGACTCACTTTGAACAGTGGTGTCTGGCCATAACCCTGCTGCCTCCTGCCTGACCCAGTGTATAGATGGAGGGGAATAGAGTGGCGACGGAGCTTTTGGGGAATGGCTTAGGAGATGGTGCACTGGAAGAGTTCACTGGTGGGTTTCCACCTTAAGGGCCTTGGGATAATTTCTTCTTGCATATGGGGAAATAGGCCATGGGGGCATTAACTCAACTATCAGGGTAGGTGGCAGAGGAGAGAGGCAAGGATGCCTGCTTGACAAGAGTAAGCTAGGGTGAGTGTGAATTTTCTCCCTTTGCTCCTTCCTGAGTCCTTGAGCTTCGCAGAGCAGCCTCTGAAGCCCATGTAGATACTCGATGTTCAACAATTCAGAAAATAGGTAAGAATGACAGGGCCAGAGAAGGAAAGGATGAGGTGGGTATGTAGTAGAGAGGCAAGGTGTTAGCCGGGGAGGATGCTAAATTAACCTACAAGGTAATAGTGAAAGAAAGGAAGGCAATAGTAAAACAACCTTAACCCTAGCCCTAGTCCCAATCCCAGCCCCAATCCTAACCCCAGCCCCAACCCTAACCCTAATCCTCAAATTCTTTTATTCGTTAATCCCTAAAATCTAAGCCTTAACCCTCTAATCCCAAATACTGTAAATACTAACCCCAAGCCCAACTCCAGATGAAACCAAAGAAATCAAACACAGGCATGACATCACAAGGACAAAAAACTACAGAAAAATATCCCTTTTAAACATAGATGTAGTAAACCTTAACAAAATAATAGTAATATGAAACTATAATTACCCCTTGATAATCACAGGGGATTGGTTCCAGGACCCTGCCAATACCAAAATCCATGTATACTCAAGTCTCACAGTCAGCCCTGTGAAATCTATGGATATGAAAAGTCAGGCCTCCATATATGTGGGTTTTACATCCCATGAATACTAGTATTATATATATAGTATTGTATATAGTATAGTATTATATATATAGTATTAGATACATTGGAACTTCCAATGGGGTGAATGAGAGTGACTTGGACTTACTTAGTGGGATCCTTTTGGAGGCTTCTGATACCTCCACGCTTGCTGAGGCTTTTCCACTGGGCTTGGAAAAAGAATATAATACTATATATATAATACTATATAGAGAGTATATAATTAGTATATTATATATATGTGTGTGTGTATATATACATATATATATTTTTTTTTAAATAAGATTTTTCGCTTTTGTCACCAAGGCTGGAGTGCAATGGTGCAATCTCGGCTCACTGCAACCTCTGCCTCCTAGCTTCAAGCGATTCTCCTGCCTCAGCCTCCCAAGTAGCTGGGATTACAGGCATGCACCACCACAACCGGCTAACTTTTTGTATTTAGTAGAGCTGGGCTTTCACCATGTTGGTCAGGCTGGTCTCAAACTCCTGACCTCAGGTGATCCACCTGCCTTGGCCTCCCAAAGTGCTGGTATTATAGGCATGAGCCACCACACCCAACCCAATACTCTACATTCACTATTAGATCCTCTTAGTAGAAACCAGTATCCTAGAACAGATGCAGAGTGAGATTTACCTAACAATTTAGTAAAAAATATAGAGCTGATGTATTATGGAGCTGATTTCTTTATCTACACTGGTAAAAATAGTGAAGAATTTTGAAATTGTTTTCTTAGAAGACATTACCTAGTTTTGTTGTTTAAACAATGGAAAGGATGAAATGATTTTATTTTCATATGAATATGTAAACCATATATATTTGTTACCTTTTTAAACATAAATGTAATTAATATATGGAAATACAATTTTATTTTAGCTTACAGCAGTGTTTTTCAAACCTTGTTGCACATTAAAATCACCTGGAGAGCTTTTATAAAGTAGATGACTAGATGTGCAGATGTGCACCCTGCCCATTCTGACTTAATTGGTCTCTACTGGGTAAAAGCCTCCCATGGGATTAAGTGCAGCCATGTTTGAGGACCACTGACCTAGAGTTTTCAGAGTCCAGAGTGCTCACTATTACACCATGAAATCTTTTGCTGACCTAGAGTTTTCTAAGTGGCTCTTATCTTTTTTTTGAGACGAAGTTTCACTCCTGTCGCCTTGGCTGGAGAGCAATGGTGCGATCTTGGCTCACTGCAGCCTCTGCCTCAATTGGTTTCAAGCGATTCTCGTGCCTCAGCCTCCCAAGTAGCTGGGACTACAGGTGCGCATCACTATGCCTGGCTAGTTATTTTGTATTTTTAGTAGAGATGGGGTTTCACCATTTTGGCCAGGCTGATCTCGCACTCCTGACCTCAGATGATCCACCCACCTTAGCCTCCCAAAGTGCTGGGATTACAGGCATGAGCCACCGCACCTGGCCCAAAATGGCTCTTACCTTGCTTCAACCTTTGTTTAACAGCCGATTTATCAATTAAAAAAATGCAACAATAAAGGAGTTCAGGCAAATATAGAATTTTAAAAAAGCATTGAGGGTTATTAGGTCAGTAAGTTATAATTCAGACCTTTTCCATTGGATGATCAATGGGTTATTTAAGATTCTTTGGTTAGAGAAATCTGCACAGAAATGTCTTTGAAATCAAGGACTGTGTCCTGTCATTTTTATGTCCTCACTTCCAGGCACAGCAAAGACACTCACAAGTATTTGTTGAGAGAGAGAGAGAGAGAGATGAGGGGGAGAGAGAGAGAGACAGAGGAGGAAGGAAGGGAGGAAGGAAGGAAGGGAAGAAGGGAAGGAAGGAAGGAGAGAGAAAGAAGAAAGAAAAAAGAAAGACAGACGGAGGGAGGGAGGGAAGGGAGGGGAGGGAGGGAAGAAAGGAAGGAAGGAAGGAAGGAGAGAGAGAGAGGAAGAGAGAGAGAGAGAAAGAAGGAAGAAAAGAAAGAAAGCTAACCAAACAGCAAGTATTTGTGTTCTTAACTAGTGTTTTCAAATATGATTCTAAGATTATTGTCAAAGACAGGGTCTCAGTCTGTCTCCCAGGCATGAGTGCAGTGGTGCCATCATGGCTCACTACAGCCTTGATCTCCTGGGCTCAAACAATCCTCCCATCTCAGCCTCCCATGTTGCTAGTACTCCAGGCATGCACCACATTGCCTGCCTAATTAAAAAAAAATTGTAGAGATGGTGGTCTCACTATATTTCACAGGCTGGTCTCAAACTCCTGGCCTCAAATGATCGTCCCTCCTTGGCTTTCCAAAGTGTTGGGATTACAGGCATGAGACTGTGACTGGCCAAAAGTATGAAACTTAAATGGAGTTGGTTTTCATATGAGGAAGAGTTTACAATGGGTTAGAGTAACCAGGAAACATTTCACAGGTGAAGTTAAACTTGAGCTGATGGAAGAAATAGAATAATCCAATAAGAGACAACATTATGAGCAAAGATGCAGAGGAATTTTGGAGGCCAAAAAGATAGGTTTGGGCTAGAATTTGGAAAGTCTTAGATGCAAATTGAAGTGTTTGAATTATTAAATTTTATCTTAATGAATGAAAAATCGTTGGTGTGTTTTGTGTTCGTTGGTTTTTAGCAGGGGAGAGATATGACAAAAATAGCATTTTAGATATATTATTTTGGTGCTATGATAGCCATTGACAGGTAAAGAGAGGTTGGCATCGATGCTGGCTTGAAAAAGTATGAGGGTGTTGAAGATGCAAGCCCTTGAAAGTCATACATGGGATTAAGCCACGATGACAGTAAGAACAGAAAGAAAAGGACAGAGAATTTGTGAAGAACTACAAAAGCAGAATATATATAGCATGTCTGCTATGTGCCAGGCAATGTACTAGCCATTGGTAACATACAGGATATTTAGCAATTGGTATGACATGTGCAGCCTAGACTTCCATTGATCAGAACCTATGAAGCCCAGTAGGTGGTACCAGTGTTCACTGACTGAATATCAGTTCTAGATAAAGCAGAGGACAAAGCGGTCTGTGTTTCCATGGAGTTTACATTGGTAAAAACAGGATATGTTTGGGGCTAAGGTATCATGAAGGAAAAGATAATCCACATAAAGTTGTGACACTAAAAATGATTCCCTTGACAATAAATATGCAGGATTAGTTTGATCACTCCTTGATTGTTTTGTGAGATTTTATGTCCTTTTTCCTTGCATTTTGCACTAAACTACCACATTTGGCACCACTTCCATGGCTCTTGTGGCCTACTGTCATTGACTTTGGCTACCATCAAAACCAATTCCCTGTCTAGATTGCTAGATTGGACATGTTTACTTCTTATTACCTTCCGTTGTGAGCTTTGCATGCTTTAGTTTCTTTTTTTTTTTTTCAGATGAAGTCTTGCTCTGTTGCCCAGGCTGGAGTGCAGTGGTGTAATCTCCATTCATTGCAACCTCAGCCTCCCAGTTCAAGAGATTCTCCTGCCTCATCCTCCCGAGTAGCTGGGATTATAGGCAGGCGCCACCACGCCTGGGTAATTTTTGTATTTTCAGTAGAGACAGCGTTTCACCATGTTGGCCAGGCTGGTCTCGAACTCCTGACCTCAGGTGATCTGCCCGCCTCCGCCTCCCAAAGTGCTGGGATTACAGGCGTGAGCCACCGTGCCCAGCCTGCATGCTTTAGTTTCAAACAGTTCTCAAATTTAAGTTGCACCACATGTGACAGATCCATCAAGATGTAGTGATATTTGCAGTCATGTTATGGCAATTGTTATATTAAGGCTTTGAGTTTGGTTTAAAAAAGAAAAAGGAGAGGTGAGGAGTAAGGTGGCTGTGGAGAGAGAGAAAAACAAAATGAAACAGAGAGAGAGGAGAATGATAAAAGCATGCAAAGCTGATCCAAGTTTACTGGTAGCTAGAGAAGAGAGGCTTTTTTAGGTCAAGTTGTTTTTTTCAGACCTCTTAAGGATTGTACTTTTTACATAATAAATGGGATCACCTTTGTAGTAAATCATTTCTGCTTGTTAAAATGTCTGAAAACACCAGACTGACCATTTATCAGGATGTTTCTTAATCACGTTTAATCAGGTATAAGTTTTCAAATCATTTATTAAAAGTGCTATCTTTTACACAAAAGATATTCTTAGTCATTAAAACTGGCAAAATGAAGTGCGTTATTGAAAACACTAGGGAAGGTCAATTTTTCAGAGTAACAACTTTTAAAACCATTTTATTATCTAAGACTTTTGTTTAAAAACAAATAAAAATAATACCTTTATTGTTTCTGAAAGATATAGTTTATTGTAAAAAGTACTTTGAAGATACTGAAAAAAATTTTAAAGTTAACCAAAAGCACCCATATTTGCCAAACAAAGACACACAACATAATGTCAAGTAATTATTTCATCTCAACCCTTTTTATACGTATAGAATATTTTATATACTTTCGTATCCTAGTTTTTAAAATCTAGCATTATATCTTGAGCATTTTCACATGTCCTTGCATACTTTTCTAAAATATAATTATAGTTGCTATATAATGTTATACCACATAGGTGCAGCACGCTTTGTTTTATACTTCCTCTACTATAGGCCATTTAAGTGTTTTCATGTATGGGATATTGTTAACCATATTGCCATAAATAAAACTTGCTTTCCTGCATTTCTGATTATATCTCTAGTTTATAGACCTAGATTTGCAATGATTGGGCCTGAATATATGAATATTTATAAGGGCCTTTATATATTTTATTATCCAGAAAAATATCTTCTTGAGTACATCGGTAAGCTGATAAGAAATTGTCATCCAGCAGCCAAACGAAGGCAGACACCTGAAATGGATAAACTGCTTTCTGAAGCCAACCTTCAATATAAGATAATTTGCTGAGTCTAACAAACTTGGACTTTTGTTTTTCACAGCCGTGTGGAGTTCATGGAATAGGGGACAAAGCTCATGGTCCTCCTAAGGTGGAGAACCTAACAGGAGACGCTTTACAAAGCTTGGGCCCCAAAGAGCCACACCACAGGTTAAGGGTTAACTATAAATAAATCTGTTGCTCATCCAAGAGACTGCAAGGAAAACTGTACTACCTGCCTTGAAATTTGGCACTAAGAGTGTGAGGCTATTTTCTGTTGAGATTTTGTAATAACAAGATAGTCCTCACATGGGTTTACAGTCCAAATACTATGTGGGTGGTGTGGAAAACCTAAAGTTGAGTATTTAGTTTGAAGCCGACGCAGACTAGTTGGTTGCTCCTCCAAGTGCTTCATAGAACCAAGCTCAAATCCTGTTTTGAGGAGATTCACTTTATCTCAGGCTCAAGATAATTCCTACTGATAGTAATCAAAGGAAAATGAGAGAAAAAAGCCATTAAACTCATGAGGAAAAAAGGTACCACGAGTGAGAACCAATAGGAACAACAGATAGTAGACTAAGACTTCACCAGAAAAACTTCATTTTTGAAACTACCAAACTCAGAGTATAAAATAAGCATGCTTTCTTTATTTCAATATATTAAAGAGAGGATTAAAAATATGAGTAAATAACACATGAATGTGAAAAGCTATAAAAAACTTGCAGAATTAGAATATGCACAAACACACACACACACACACATGCACACACACATACACACACATATACATAAAAAACAACTTGATTTTTCCAGGAAGATAGGAAATATAATTGAGGTTTAAACTTAGCGGATGAGTTTAACAGTGGATTATATACAATTGAATAGAGATTTAGTGAACTATAATATAGAACTAAGAAAATCAAGACTTAATGAACTATAATATGGAACTAAAGCAAATATACAGACAACATCCCAAAGAGATGAGAGATGGGAAATATAAAAGAGGGATTAATAGATTTATAGGATAGACTGAGAAGATCAACATGCAGAGACGTAAAAGGAGAAGAAAGAGAGTGTGGACTGGAGAAAATATTTAAAGATATTATGCTTGAATTTTTTTTTGTAAAACTGTTATGGAATTAATGTTTGTGTCCCCTCAAGTTCATACGTTGAAATTCTGCCTTCCAATATGATGTCATTAGGAGGTGAGGCCATTGAGAGGTAATTTAGGTCGTGAGGAAAAAGCTCTCATCAATGGGATTAGTCTCCTTGTAAAAGAGACTCTAGAGAGCTCTCTTGCCCTCTTTCTTCTGTCTCAGGATAAAATTAGAAGTCAGCAGTCTGCAACTTGAAAGAGGGCCCTCATCAGAAACAGACAATATTGGTACCCTGGTCTTGGATGTCCAGCCCCCAAAACTGTGAGGAATAAATTTCTGCTGTTTATAAGTCACTCAGTCTATAGTACTTTGTTATAATAGCCCAAACTAAGACATTGTTAAGACACCAACCAATACATGGATTTCAGAAGCCTAGTTAATCCCAAGCAAGATTTAAAAAAAGAAATCAACACCTAGAAACATTTTGTTGAAACTAAAGAACAACAGATGCAAGGAGATCTGAAAATGACCAGCAAACTTGAGATCTCTATCCAACAAAGATATCTTTCAGGCAGAACAAAAGTGATTCAAGATGAAAGATTTGAGAAGCAAGATTTGATTCAAGATGAAAGATTTGAGAAGCAAGACGGAATAACGAAGAAATAAAATGATGAGTACATGGTAAACTTAAATAGAGAATATTTAGACAATAATAATGATGATGTCTTATGGAACAAGAACAGATAAAACAAAATACTGAATAACAGCATACAAGTCAAGAGGAGGTTTGATCACATTGGAAAAGGCTTAAAGTGTACGAAAGTTCTTGTACTATTCAGTTTGAGGGTAAATATACTGAATAGCTTTAGAATTTCGAAGGATGGGTATCATATAGGCAATAATCTCTGACCACATGTGATTAAGTTAGATATCAATAGATAACTACAAAGATACCATATGCTGAGAAGTTAAGACACACATTTTAATAACTAACAAATCAAAAGAGAAATGATAATGGAAATTGTGAAATAGTTGGAAATAAAAATTAACAACAAAAATGCAATATAACAAAACTTGGATTCATCTAAGGCAAAACTAGAGGGAAATTAATAGTCAGGTATTTATATTAAAGAAAAGAAAGGCTGGAAACTAATGGCATACACATACATCTCAAGAATTTTTTAAAAAGTAGAAAAATAAATGCAAGAAAAAGATAAGTAAAGGAACAAAAAAAGCGGAGACTAGTGAAATACAAAATAAACATATAGAGGAGCAACACAGCCAATTTCAAACTTAAGGAAAAAAGATAAAATTGAAAAATTACTGGCAAAAGTAAGCAAGAAATAAAAAAGTAAGAGATATGGTACAGATGCACGATATTAGTAATGTGAAAGGATATATAACAAAAATACAATTGTTATTAAAAAGATTATAGGAAGATATTATGAGCAATTTCATGCCAGTACACTTAATAACTTACATGACATGGAAAGATATTTAGAAAAGCATAACATGCAAAGTAGCTGAAGAAGAAATATAAAATGAATCATAAGGATGGGGCTGTAATCCAAAATGTGACTTGTGTCTTTATTAAAAAAGGAAGAGACATCATAGACATGCATGCCCAGAGAAAAGGCCATGTGAGGACTCAGTGAGAAAGCAGCTATCCTCAAGCCAAAGAGAGAGACTTCAGGAAAAATCAATCCTGCTGGTACTTTGATCTTGGACTTTCAGCCTCCAGAATAGGGAGATAATAAATTTCAATTGTCTAAGCCATCTCATTTGTGGTATTTTGTTAGGGCAGCCCTAGCAGACCAGGACACATATTTTCACCTAACAAGAGAGTCATAAAACACATTAAAAAATACTGAGATAATTCAAGGGAGAAGTAGACACTTTTTTTTTTTTTTTTGACAGGGTCTTGTCCTGTTGCCTAGTCTGGAGTACAGTGGCACAATCATGGCTCACTGAAGCTTTGACCTCTTGGGATCAAGTGATTCTTGCACCTCATCCTCCCAAGTAGCTAGGACTATAGGCACATACCACCACACCTGGCTAATTTTTTTTTTATTTTTTATTTTGTAGTGAGATGCATAGTGAGATGCAGTCTCGCTATGCTGTCCAGGTGGGATTCGAACTACTGGGCTCAAGTGATCTTCCTGCTTTCTTCTCAAAAGATGCTAGGATTATAGGTGTAAGCCACCACACCTGGCTGACAATTCAATACTAGTTGTAGACTTCAATGTCTCACTTTCCACAATGGATAGAACAAGTAGGCAAAAGATCAAGAAGGAAATAGAAGATATTATTATACTATGCTATAAATCAAATAGACCTAACAGACATCTATAAAATGCTCTGAAGAGCAGAATACACATTCTTCTTGAGTGGGTGTGGAAGATTTCCAGGAGAGACCATATGCCATGCCATAAAACAAGTGTCAATAAATTGAAAAGATAAGAATAATACAACATATGTTTCCTGTTCACAATGAAATAATATTAGAAATAAATAAGAGAAAGAAGTTTTGGAGCTTCATAAATATGTGGGGATTAAAAAACACAGTCCTACATAGTCAATGGATCAAATTAAAAAATCACAAAGGTAATTAGAAAATCCTTTGAGAGGAATGAACATAAAATATACAAAAACTTATGGGTTGTAGCTGAAGTAGTGCTAACAGGGAAATGTATAACTGTAAATGCTCATATTAAAAAATGAGAAGGATACCTTCCATCTAAGACACTGGAAAAATGTGGACCAACTAAACCTAAAGCAACTAAAACGATGAAAGTAATAAAGATTAAAGCAGAAATTAATGAAGTAGTAAGTACAAAAGCAATGGAGATAATCAAAGAAACCAAAAATTTTTTCCTTTGAAAAGATAAAATTGATGAACTCATATGTATACTGATCAAATAAAGCATTTTGGAAAGAATCAAAATTAGAAATGAAAAAAAGAACATTATTATTGATTTCACAGCAATAAAAAGGATTATAAGAGAACACTATGTATAATTTTATGCCAACAAAGTAGATAACCAGGATGAAATGTACAAATTCCTACAAAACAAAAACTACTACTTTCAATTTCTGGTCCAGTAAAGAGTTTGGAAGTCATTACTCTCATCTTCACAATGAGAAAAAGGCTGAACAAACTGAAACTCAACAACTCCTCCTAGATCCTTTAAAGAATTGAGATTGTAGGTCAAACTGTTGTCCCCCAACCCACAAATTGGAGAGACAGACAGATGAATACAGAGAACCACAGCTTATTGGAGTAGAAACACAGGAGCAGAAATTACCACTGGAATAAGTACTGGGGTAGGAAAACAAACTGTAATTGATGAATTGCTGGAGGCTGAATGTGGACAAATTTGCGAGTTAGAAACTCCAGGGGGTGGGGGTCCCAGTCTTGGTGGGCAGTGCCCTCGCATTTTGTGAGTTTTACCTCCAGAAACCTTACCACATTCTCATGGTGAAGATTGGATAAAAGTTCAGTGGTAGTTCTGGCAGGGCAACAAAAAGTTATCATTTTGAAATATGCCCAGAGCATTTTGTTCTTCTTAACAAGACCTGTCATTAAGAAAAACTGTTTTCAGAGCTTAACTATCAGAGTTTTACCAGAGCCTAACAAACCTGGGGGAAGAGAAATAACCAACTCCACCCACCTCTAGCTTTCCATCTTGGGAAAGGGAAATACCAATTTCAGTCTCCTCTAGCCTCCTGCCTCATCTAAGGGGGAAAGAACTGAGAAGCTCTTCTGAAGGTCAAGCCTAGGGGCACAGGTTTATTAAAAGACTGGGACCTAATCATAGGACTATAAAATGCATTCCCTCCACCTACGCCTTACCACTACATCAATAAGGCTCCTGTATAATAACAGGGAGATATAATGAGAAGAACTGCACATTTCAGACATTATTTAAGAAGTTTCTATGGAAATCCAAAGACAACATGGGAGACAAAAACACCAGAGGAAAGTTCAGTCTCTGGCATATACAGCTACAGCAAACAGTAAACACAGCCTAGTTTCTAGCCAGACAAACATGAAACCTCACCCCAAAGACCTATTTACCTCAGTTTCTTTTCCCCAATTCATCATGCTCAGCATTCAATAAAAATTAAGAGGCATGCTAAAAGACAAAAAATACAATGTGAAGAGACCGACCTAACATAATAACCAGACCCAGATATGATAGAAATGTAAAAATTGACAGACCAGGAATTTAAGACAAGTATGATAAATATACCAAGGGCTGTATTGGAAAAAGTAGTCAACATTCAAAAAGAGACGAGTAATGTAAGCAGAGAGATGAAAACTCAAGGAATCAATGGGAAAACCTAGAAATAAAGAAAGTACCACAATTGAAATGAAGATTGCCCTTGATGATCTCACCAAGTGCCTGGGTATGGCCAAAGAAAGAATTGGTGAGCTTGAAGAAATATCAGTAGAAACTTCCACAACTGAATTGCAAAGAGAGAAAGAATAATAATAAGGGCAGAACAGAATAGCCAATGACTATGGGACAATTATGAAAGGTGTAACATATACCTAATGAGATATTAGAAGAAGAACAGGGTACAGTGTACACTGCTCAGGTGATGAGTGCACCATAATCTCAGAAATCACCACTAAAGAACTTATCCATTTAGCAAGAAACCACCTGTTCTCCAAAAACTATTGAAATAAAATAAAATAAAAAGAAGAAGAAAGTAAAGAACTAAATAAATACCAAAGCAATATTGACTGAGATTTCCCAATTTACTTACACATATCAAGCCACAGACCCAGGAAAGTTAGTTAACACCAAGCAGAATAAAGAATAAAAATGTACACCTAGCCATATTATATTTGAATTGCAAAAAATCAAAGACAAAGAGAAAATCTTGGGGAAAAAAAAAGCCAGTGGGAAAGAAACAGCTTACCCATATAAAGCAGCAAGTTTAAGATTACATTGAACTCATTGGAAACCATATAACCAAGAAGAGAGTGAAGTGAAATACTCAGTGTTGAAAGAACAAAGAAACACCAACCTAGAATTCTGTATCCAGAAAAATTATCTTTCAGAAGTGAAGGAGAAATAGATTTTATTAGACAAACAAAAATTGAGGGAAAAAAATTAAACAAAAAATTGAGGGAATTTATCAGCAGTATACTTGCCTTGCAAAAAATGTTAAAGTTCTTCAGAAAGAAGTAAAACTGAATAGATTGTAAATTAGGATTAACATAAGAAATGAAGAGACTTACATAAGAAATAAATGAAGGTTAAAATAAAATATTTTATTTTTTCTTTTATAATAAAATGAAATATTTTATTATTCTGAATAAATATAATAATGATAGCAACAGTGTATTGGAAAATTATAGCTTATGAATAAGTGAAATGAATTACAATAATATTATAAGGGACAGGAGGGAGGAACTGGGAATGTTCTAAGTTACTTGTATATCCATAAAGTGGTATAGCATTATCTGAAATTGAACTTGGATATATTGTAAACGTATATTGCAAACTCATGGGCAACAATTTAAAAAAAGGTTTAAAAAAGATACATTAGGGTTCTCCAGAGGAACAGAACCAATAGGAGATATTAAAAATACATTTACTGGCTGGGTGCGGTGGCTCATGCCTGTAATCCCAGCACTTTGGGAGGCTGAGGCAGGCGGATCACCTGAGGTCAGGAGTTCGAGACCAGCCTGGCAAACATGGTGAAACCCTGTTTCTACTAAAAATACAAAAAATTAGCCGGGCGTGATGGCGTGCACCTGTAATCCCAGCTACTCGGGAGGCTGTGGCGGGAGAATCACTTGAACCCGGGAGGCAGAGATTGCAGTGAGCTGAGATCGTGCCATTGCACTCCAGCTTGGGCAACAAGAGCAAAACTCCATTTCAAAAAAAAAAAATTTACTATGAAGAATTGGCTCACACAATTATGGAGGCTGAGAAGTCCCATTTTCTGCCATGGGCAAACTGGAGACCTGGAAAGCTGGCGATATAATTTCAGTTCGAGTCCAAAAAGTCTGAGAACCAGGGGAGCTGATGGTACTAATTCTAGGTGAAGAGCAGAAGACCAGTGTCTAAGCTCACCCAGGCAGGCAGGTAGCAAAAGGAGTAAATTCTGACTTTTTGTTCTATTCAAGCCCTCAATAGTTTGAATGATGCTCACCTACATTGGTTAGGGCAATCTGATTTACTGAGTACATTGATTTGAATATAGATTTCATCTGAAAATGTCCTCATAGACACACCAAGAAATAATGCTTAATGTAGGCACCCCATGGGGCAGTCAAATGGACACATAAAACACAACATTACAAAATACAATTGATATGCTAAGAGAGGAGAAAAAACTGGAATCACATAAAATGCTCAATTAAAACCAGAGAAGGCAGAAAAATAGAAGACCAAAAAAGAGACAAAGAATAAGAAAGGGCAACAAAAATACTAACAGAAACAGTTGATATTAATTCAATTATATTAGTAATCACTTTAAAGGTCAATCATGTAAATACAAAAATTAAAAAATGGTGACTCTCTTATACGAAAAATATACTTGCACATTCATGTTTATAGTAGCACAATTCGCAATTGCAAAAATGTGGAACTAACCAAAATACCCATCAATCAATGAGTGGATAAAGAAAGTTTGGTATGTGTGTGTGTGTGTGTGTGTGTGTGTGTGTGTATGTGTGTGTGTATATATATAAGCTTATACACACACACACACACACACACATATATATATGATGGAATACTACTCAGCCATAAAAAGGAATGAATTAATGGCATTCGCAACAACCTGGATGAGATTAGGGACTATTATTCTAAGTGAAGTAACTTAGGAATGGAAAACCAAACATCATATGTTCTCACTCATAAGTGGGAGCTAAGCTATGAGGATGAAAAGGCATAAGAATGACACAATGGACTTTGGGGACTCAGGGGCAAATGGTGGGAAGTGGGTGAGGGGTAAAAGACTACAAATTGGGTGCAGCGTATACTTCTCGGGTGATGGATGCACCAAAATCTCACAAATCACCAGCAAAGAACATACTCATGTAACCAAACACCACCTGTTCCCCAATAACTATGGAAATAAAAAATTAAAAAAAAATAACAAAAAACAAAAACAAAAATGGTGACTATTTGAGTGGATATGAAAACAAGATCCAACCATATGTTGTGTATAAGAAACCCCAGTTAGAGATAAAGACTCAAAAAATAAAGGAATAGAGAAAGATAAACCATGTTAACATAATCAAAAGAGAGCTAGAGTATATATAAATATGTATGTATTTATATATAATATATATTTTATACCTAGTATATATATTTGTATACGTTTTATATATATATATTTATATATATATATATATATATTATTTTTTTTTTTTAAAGAAAGTTCTTTCTCTGTTGCCCAGGTTGGAGTGCAGCAGTGTGAACATGGCTCACTGCAGCCTCCACCTCCTGGGCTCAAGTGATCCTCCAACCTCAGCCTCTTCAGTAGGTGGGACCACAGTTGTGTGCCACCATGTCCAGCTAATGTTTTAATTTTTTGTAGAGACAGGGTCTCCCTATGTTGACCAGGCTCATCTCGAACTCCTAGGCTCAAGCAATCCTTCCACCTAGGCCTCCCAAACTGCTGGGATTAAAGACGCAAGCCACCACGCAGAGCCTATATTAATATTATATATTACATTCAGACAAAGCAGACTTCAGAACAAGAAAAAGTATCGGGATAAAGTGGGGAAAAATAATAAAGGAGTCAGTTTTCCAAGAAGACATAACAATCCTGAATGTGTATGTGCCTAACAACATGTTAACACGTGAGGCAAAAACTAATAAAACTTCAAGGAGAAATAGATGAATCCACTATTATAGTGAATGTCAACATCCTTCTATCAGTAATTGACAGATCCAGCCAGCAGAAAATCAGTTAAGGATATAGTTGAACTGAACAACACCATCAATCAAGTAAATCTAATTGACATTTATAGAATACTTCATCTAACAGCAGCAGAATGCATGCTGTTCTGAAGCTCACACAGAGCATCCACCAAGATGAAACACATTCTGGACCATGAAACACAACTTAATACACTTAAAAGAATAGAAATCACAGAAAGGAATCTCTCGGATTGCAATGAAATTAAACAAAACATTCAATTACAGAAAGATAGTTGGGGAACTCCAAACCTGAAGATTAAACAACACACTTCTATATAATCCATCGGTCAAAGAAGAAGTCTCAAGAGAAATTTGAAAATATTTGAGCTAAGTGAAAATGAAAACAGAACTTATCAAATCTTTGGGATGCAATGAAAGCAGTGCTTAGGGGATAATTTCTAGCATTGAATGCATATATTAGAAAAGGAGAACATTTTAAAATCAATAATCTAAGCTTCCACTCTAGGAAACTGGGGGAAAAAAGAACAAATTAAATCTAGGCAAGCAGAAAAAAAGTAATTAGAGTAGAAATCTCTTCCAGAAGATAGAAGCAGAGGAAATATTTCCTAATTCACTCCATGAGGCCAACATTACCCTAATACTAAAACTAAACAAAGTTATTACAAGAAAGAAAAACTACGTAACAATATCTCTCATGAATGCAGATGCAAAAATCCTCAACAAAATATTGTCATATTGGATACAACAATGTATAAAAAAATTATACACTATGACCAAGAGGGATTTATCCCAAGTATGCAAGGCTGGTCCAACATTTGAAAATCAATTAATGTAATCCATCACATCAACAGGCGACAGAACATGTCATATGATTCTATCAGTAGGTGCAGAAAAAGCATTTCTCTAAATCCAACACTCCTTCATGATAAAAATTCTCAGTAAACTAGGAATAGAGGGGGGAGTTCCTCAACTTGATGAAAAACATCTACAGAAAACCTACAGTTAACATCATTTTTTTAAATTTTAAATTCTTGTGGGTACATAGTAGGTATATATATTTATGAGTTACATGAGATGTTTTGATACAGGCATGCAATGCATAATAATCACATCACGGAAAATGGGGTATCCATCCCCTCAAGCATTTATCCTTTGTGTTATAAACAATCCAATGAAATCTTTTAGTTATTTTTAAATGTACAATTAAACTATTTTGACTATAATCACCCTGTGATGTTATCAAATACTAGGTACTATTCATTCTTTGTATTTTTTGTACCCATTAACCATCCCCACATTCACCCTTTCTGGCCCCCACTACTCTTCCAAGCCTCTGGCAACCATCCTTCTACTCTCTATCTCCATGTGTTCAATTGTGTTGAGTTTTACATTCTACGAATTAGTGAGAACATGTGATGTTTGTCTTTCTGCGCCTGACTTATTTCACTTAACTTAATGACCTCTAGTTCCATGTTCTTGCAAATGACAAGATCTCATTCCATTTTATGGATGAGTAGTACTCCACTGTGTATAAGTACCACATTTTCTTTATCCATTCATGTGTTGATGGACAGGTTGCTTCCAAATCTTAGTTAATGTGAACAGTGCTGCAACAAACATTGGAGTGCAGAGATCTCTTTGATATACTGATTTCCTGTCTTTTGGGTATATACCTAGCAGTGGGATTGCTGGATCATATGGTAGGTCAATTTTCATTTATTTCTTTATTTGGGTAGGGCAGGGACAGGGTCTTGCTCTGTCACCTAGGCTGGAGTGCTGTGGCATGATCTCAACTCACTGCAACCTCCGCCACCCAAGCTCAAGTGATCCTCCCACCTCAGCCTCCCAAGTAGCTGGGACTACTGGCATGCACCACCACAGCTGGCTAATTTTTGTACTTTTTGGTAGAGATGGGGTTTTGCCATGTTGGCTAGGCTGATCTCGAACTCCTGGGTTCAAGTGATCCACCGGCCTGGGCCTGCCTCCCAAAGTGCTGGGATTACAGGCATGAGCCACCACACCCGGCCAATTGCCAATTTTTATTTTTTGAGGAACCTCCAAATTGTTCTCCATAGTGGTTGCACTAATTTACATTCCCACCAACAGTGTACAAGGGTTCGCTTTTCTCCACATCCTTGCTGGCATTTGTTACTGCTTGTCTTTTGGATATAAGCCATTTTAACTGGGGTGAGATGATATCTCATTATAGTTTTGATTTAGATTTACATGATGATCAATGATATTGAGCATCTTTTCGTATGCCTGTTTGCCATTTGTATGTTTTCTTTTTCTTTCTTTTCTTTTCTTTTCTTTCTTTCTTTTTTTTTTTTTTTTTTTTTTGAAACAGAGTCCTCCTCACTCTGCTGCCTAGGCTGGAGTGCAGTGGTGTGATCTTGGTTCACTGAAATTTCTGCCTCCCAGGTTCAAGTGATTCTCCTGCCTCAGCCTCCTGAGTAGCTGGGATTACAGGCACATGCCACCAAGCCCGACTAATTTTTGTATTTTTAGTAGAGATGAGGTTTTGCCATGTTGGCCAGGCTGGTCTCAAACTCCTGGCCTCTAATGATCATCCTGCCTTGGCATCCCAAAGTGCTGGTATTACAGGCATGAGCCACCATGCCCAGTCTGTGTTACTAATTTTATTTTAGACCTAAACCACCTTGTTAACAAAGTAATTAGCAGTGTTTTCCACAGGTAACAAGAAGGCTTTTTTTTTCTTTCTCTTTTTTTTAGATGAAGTTTTGCTCTTGTTGCCCAGGCTGGAGTGCAGTGTCATAATGTCGGCTCACTGCAACCTCCGCCTCCAGGACTTAATCAATTCTCCTGCCTCAGCCTCCCAAGTAGCTGGGATTACAGGCATGCACCACCATGCCTAGCTAATTTTTTTATTTTTAGTAGAGGCAGGGTTTTACCATGTTGGTCAGGCTGGTCTCGAACTCCTGACCTCAAGTGATCTGCCTGCTTCAGCCCAAACTGCTGGGATTACAGGCATGAGGCACCACGCCTGGCCCCATTTGTATGTTTTCTTTTGAGCAATGTCTATTCAAAACTTCTGCCCATTTCTTTATCGGATTGTTAGGCTTTTTCGTGTAGAGTTGTCTGAGCTCCTTATATATTCTGGTTATGAACCGCTTGTCAGATGGGTAGTTTGCAAATATTTTCTCCCATTCTGTAGGTTGTCACTTCACTTTGCTGATTGTAACCTTTGCTGTGCAGAAGCTTTTTAACTTAATGTGGTCCCATTTGTCCTTTTTGTCTTTGGTTTTCTGTACTTGTGGGTTATTGTGCAAGAAATGTTTTCCTAGACCAATGTCCTGGAGATTTTCCCTAATGTTTTCTTGTAGTAGTTTCATGATTTGAGGTCTTAGATTTAAGTCTTCTATCCATTTTGATTTGATTTTTGTATATGGCAGGAGAAAGGGGTGAAGATTCATTCTTCTGCATATGGATATCCAGTTTTTATAACACTGTTTATTGAAGAGATTCTCTATTTCCCAGTGTATGTTCTTGGCATATCTTTCAAAAATGAGTTCACATTGGTGCATGGATTTGTTTGTGGGTTTTCTATTCTGTTCCATTGGTCTGTGTCTGTTTTTATGACAGCACCATGCTGTTTTGATTACTATAGCTCTGTAATATAATTTGAAGTCAGGAAATGTGATTTCTCCAGTTTGATCCATTTTGTTCAGGATAGCTTTGACTATTCCGGATTCCATATAAATTTTATGATTATTTTTCTATTTCTACAAGGAATGTCATTGGTATTTTGTCAGGGGTTGTATTGAATCTGTAGATTGCTTTAAATAGTGTGGATTTGATAACAATATTCATTCTTCCAATCCATGAACATGTACTATCTTTCTATTTTTTGGTGTCTCCTTGAATTTCTTTTATCAGTGTTTTATAGTTTTTGTTATAGAGATTTTTCACTTTTTTCATTAATTCCTGGGTATTTAATTTTATTTGTGGTTAATGTAAATGATAATTCTTTTTTATTTCTTTAGAAGTTCATTCATTGTTGGCATGAAAAATACTACTGATTTTGTATGCTGATTTTGTATCCTGCAACTTTACTGAATTTGTTTATCAGATCTAGTAGTTTTTTTGTGTGTGGAGGCTTTAGGGTTTTTCCAAATATAAGATCATAACATCAGAAAACAAGGATAATTTGACTTTTTCCTTTCCAATTTGGATGTCTTTTATAACTTTCTCTTGTCTGATTGCTCTAACTAGGACTTACAGTACTATGATGAATAACAGTAATGAAAGTGGGATTTCTTGTCATGTTCCAGTACTTAGAGAAAAGGCTTTCAACCTAGAACCAGAAATACCTTGACCCAGCAATCCCATTACTGGTTATATACCTAAAGGAATATAAATCATTCTGTTATAAAGATACATGCACATGTATGTTCATTGCAGCACTATTCACAATAGCAAAGACATGGAATCAACTCAAATGCCCATCAATGATAGACTAGATAAAGAAATGTGATACATGTACACTATGGAATACTATGCAGCCACAAAAAGGAATGAGATTATGTCTTTTGCAGGGACATGGATGGAGCTGGAAGCCATTATCCTCAGCAAACTGACACAGGAACAGAAAACCAACCACTGCATATTCTGACTTATAAGTGGGAGCTGAACAGTGATAACACATGGGCACAGGGAAGGGAACATCACACACTGGGGCCTGTCAGTGGGGCAGATGGAGGGAGAGCATCAGGATAATTAGCTAATGCATGTGGGCTCAATACTTAGGTGATGGGTTGACAGGTGCAGCAAACCACCATGGCACACGTTTACCTAGGTAACAAACCTGTACGTCCTGCACACGTATCCCATAACTTAAAATAAAATAAAATAAAATAAAATAAAATAAAATAAAATAATTTTTTTTAAAAAAAGAAAAGGCTTTCAGTTTTCCCCACTCAGTATGATACTAGCTGTGTGTCTGTCATGCACGGATTTTATTATATTGAGGTATGTTCCTTCTATATCCAATTCTTTGAGGGTTTTTATCACATTTTATCAAATATTTTTCAGCATCAATTGAAATAATCATATAGTTTTTATCCTTCATTCTGTTGACATGATATATCACACTGATTGATTTGCACATTTTGAATCATCCTTGCATCCTAGAGATAAATCTCATTTGGTCACGTGAATGATCTTTTTAATGTGTTGTTGAATTTGGTTTGCTAATATTTTGTTGAGGATTTTTGCATCAATATTTATCAGAGATATTGGCCTGTAGTTTTCATTTTGTTGATGTATCTTTTTCTGGTTTTGGTATCAAGGTAATACTGGCCTCATAGAGTTTGGAAGGATTCCCTTCTTTTTTGTTTTTATTTGTGAATATGAATAGGATTGGCATTAGTTCTTTAAATAGTAGGTAGAATTCTGCAGTGAAGCCATTGGGTCCCAGGTTTTTCTTTATTGGGAGACTTTTTATTATGCCTTCAATTTCATTACTTGTTATTGGTCTGTTCAGGTTTTGGATTTCTTTATGGTTCAATCTTGCTAGGTTGTATGTTTCTAGGAATTTGTCCATTTCTTCTAGAATTTCCAATTTATTGACATCTATTTGCTCTTAATAGCCACTAACAATCCTTTGAATTTATGCAGTATCAGCTGTAATGTTTCCTTTTCCATCTCTGATTTTATTTATTTGAATCTTCTCTCTTTTTTCTCAGTCTTGTATAAAGGTTTGTCAATTTTGTTTAACTTTTCAAAAAACAAACTTTTTTTCATTGATATTTTGTATTTGCTTCATTTCATTTTTACTTTTTTTTTCCTTCTCTGATCTTTATTATATCTTTTCTTATACTAATTTTGGGTTTGGTTTGCTCCTCCTTTTCTAGTTCTTTAAGATGCATCAGCAACTTGTTTACTTGACAGTTTTCCTCTTTTTTGATGTAGTCACTGCTATAAACTTCCCACTTAGTACTGCTTTCACTGTATCCCCTAGGTTTTGGTATGTTATGTTGCCATTGTTACTTGCTTCAAGACATTTTTCAGTTTTCTTCTTCATTGACCCACTAGTCATTCCAGAGCATGTTGTTTAATTTTCATTTATTTGCATACTTTCCCAAATTCCTCCTATTATTAATTTCTAGTTTTATTCCATTGTGGTTAGAGAAGATGCTTGATACTATTTCAATAGTTTTGAATGTTTTGACTTGTTTTGTGACCTAACATATGGTCTATCCTTGACAATGATCCATGTGCTGAGAAAAAGAATGTGTATTCTGCAGCCATTGGATGTAATGTTCTGTAAAAATGTATTAGATCAATTTGGTATGTAGTGCACATTAAGTTTGATGTTTCTTCGTTTATTTTATGTCTGGGAGATCTGTCCAATGCTGAAAGTGGGGTGTTGAAGACTCCAGCTATTGTTGTATTGTAGTCTATCTCTCTCTTTAACTCTAATAATATTTGCTTTATATATCTGGGTGCTCCAGTGTTGGGTACATATATATTTATAATTGTTATATCCTCTTGTTGAATTGACACTTTTATTATTATATAGTGACCTTCTTTGTATCCTCTTATAGTTTTCGTCTTGAAATCTATTTTGTCTGATATAAGCATAGCTATTCCTACTCTTTTTTTGGTTTCCATTGGCGTGGAATATCTTTTTCCATTCCTTTATTTTCAGTCTATGTGTGTCTTTATAGATGAGGTGTGTTTCTCGTAGGCAACAGATCAATGAATCTTTTTAAAATTTGTTCAGATGGCCAGGTGTGGTGGCTCACGCCTGTAATCCCAGCACTTTGGGAGGCCAAGGTGGGTGGATCACTTGAGGTCGAGAGTTTGAGACCAACCTGGCCAACATGGTGAAACCCCATCTCTACTAAAAATACAAAAATTATCTGGGTATGGTGGCGTGTGCCTGTAGAACCAGCTACTCGAGAGGCTGAGGCATGAGAATCACTTGAATCCAGGAGGTGGAGGTTGCAGTGAGCTGAGATCATGCCCTTGCACTCCAGCCTGGATGACAGTGAGACGCCATCTCAAAAAAATAAAATAAAATAAAACAAAAGAAAATTTGTTCAGACACTCTATGTCTTTTGATAAGAGAATTTACTCTATTTACATTCAATATTATTATTGATAAGTAAGGACTTATTCTTGCCATTTTGTTATTCTTTTTCTTGTCTTCTCTTCTTTCTTTCCTTCCTGTCTTTCTTTTTGTGAATGTGATTTTCTCTAGTGATATGATTTGGTTTCACACTTTCTACTCGTTGTGTATCTATTTCATGTTTTTGGTTTGAAGTTACCATGAGGCTTGCAAATACTATCTTATAACCCATTACTTTAAGTTGATAATAACTTAACACTGTTTGCATAAACAAACAAGCAAAAAGAAAAGTAAGAAAGACTCAGTGTTTTACCTTCATTCCCCTGCTTTTTAACTTTTTGTTGTTACTATTGATATTGTATTGTCTATGTCTTGAAAAGTTGTAGCTATTATTTTTTATCATTTCATTGTTTAGCCTTTCTACTTAAAAGTAGTATAGATACCACAGGTACACGGTTATATTCTGTGTTTTTCTGTGTACTTGCTATTACCAGTGAGTTTTCTATGTACTTACTATTACCAGTAAGTTTTCCACTTTCAGGTGATTTTTTATTGCTCATTAACATCCTTTTATTTCTGATTGAAGTGCTCCCTTTAGCATTTCTTGTAGGACAGGTCTGGCATTGATGAAATCTTTCAGCTTTTGTTTGTCTGGGAAAGTCTTTATTTCTTCTTCACAGGATAATTTTACCAAATATAGTCTTCTAGGGTAAAAGTTGTTGTCCTTCAGCACTATAAACATGTCATGCCACTCTCCTGTAAGGTTTCCACTGAAAAGTCTGCTGCCAGATGTATTGGTTCTCCATTGTACCTTATTTGTTTCTTTTCTCTTGTTGCTTTTAGGATTCTTTCTTTATCCTTGATCTTTGAGAGTCTGATTATTAAGTGTATTCTTTGGGTTAAATCTGCTTGGTGTTCTATAGCCTTCTTTTAGTTGGATATTGATACCTTTCTCTAGGTATGGGAAGTTATCTGTATAATCCCTTTGAGTAAACTTTATACTCATCTCTTTCTTCACTGATTCTTTCTTTTTTGTGATCAGTTTTGCTATTAAAAGACCCTGATGCATTCTTCAGTATGCAAACTGCATTTTTCAACTCCAGAAATTTCCGGAATTTCTGCTTGATTCTTTTTAAGTATTTCAATCTGTTAAATTTATCTGATAGAATTCTGAATTCCTCCTCTGTGTTATCTTGAATATCTTTGAGTTTTCTCAAAGCAGTTATTTTGAATTCTCTGTCTGAAAGGTCACCTATCTCTGTTTCTCCAGGATTGGTCCCTGGTGCCTTATTTAGTTCATTTGGTGATGTCATGTTTTCCTGGTTCGTGTTGATGCTGGTAGATATTACTCAGTGTCTGGACATTGAAGAGTTAGGTATTTCCTGGAATCTTCACTGTCTAGGCTTGTTTGTATCTGTTCTTCTTGGGAAGGCTTTACAGATATTCAAAAGGACTTGGGTGTTTTGATCTAAGCTATATCTGCTTTAGGGGGCACACCAAGCACAGTAATGCTTTGGTCCTTGCAGATGTATAGAGGTACTGCCTACATGGTCTTGGACAAGATCTGGTAGAATTCTCTGGATCACCAGGCAGAGACTCTTGTTTTCTTCCCTTACTTTCTCCCAAACATACAGAGTGTTTTTCTCTGTTCTGAGCCACCTACCACTGGTGGCAGAGTGACATAAGCACCCCGGTGGCCACCATCAATATGACTGCACTGGGTCAGACCTGAAGCCAGCAGTGAGTGCACTGAGTCTTGCTCAAGGCCTGCTGTAAACTACTTCTTAGTTACTGCCTATGTTCACTCAAAGCTCTGGAGCTCTACAGTCAGCAAGTTGAAAAGCCAGCCAGGTCTGTCTCCTTCACTTCATGTTGGTGAGTTCCCTCACACGCTGGGTGGGTCCAGAAGTGCCATCTAGGAGCTAGGGATGAGAGTCAAAAACCTTAGAATTCCACCTGGTATTCTATTGTGTTGCGGCTGAGCTGGCCCTCAAACCACAAAATGCAGTCCTTCTCACTCTTCTTTCCCCTTTCCAAAGGGAGAGGACCCTCACTCTGCGGCCACCACCACCTCAGGCTCACAGGAAGTACTACCCAACTACCACTTATGTTCCCTTAAGGCCCAAGGGCTCTTCAGTCAGCTTATGGTGAATGCTGCCTGGCTTGGGACTCAACCTTAAGGCAGGGGTCTCCCTCTAGCCCAAGGCAGGTCCAGAAATGCCATCCAAGAGCCAAGTCCTGGAATTGGGAACCCCAAGAGCCCACTTGGTACTCTACCCTACTGTGGCTGAGGTGGTACCTAAGTTGCAAGACAAAGTCCACTTTACTTTTCTCTTTTCTCAAACAGAAGGACTCTCACCCTGTAGCCTCCATTGGTTTGAATGTGCTGAGTCTCACCTGAAGCCAGCAAGTTTCAGCATCTCACCTAAGGACCTTGACATAGTACGTGGATATTGCTGCTGATTATTCAGGTCTCACAGGCTTTTCAGTTAGCAGGTGATAAATGCTGCCAGGGTTTGGTTCTTCTCTTTAAGGCAGTGGGTTCCCTTCTGGCCCAGTCTTCATCTAGAAATGTCCATGAGCTAGAACCTAGACAGTCAGCCTCATGATTCTGACCAGTGCCCTATCCTGCTGTGGCTGAGCTGGTATCCAAGATGCAAGGCAAAGTCCTCCCCAGTCTCCTATCTCCTCTGCTCAAGCAGAAGGAATGGGTCTTTTTTGGAGTCATGAGTTGTGCAGTCTGATACTAGGGGTGGAGTGATGCCAGCACTCCCTTAGACACCCTAGCTGGTGTTTTAGTAGGTCATGTGCCGCTTTCACCCCCAGTCCACTGTCTGTGGACTCAGTTCAGCCCTAAGCACCTAGGAGTTGCAGTCCTTGTGTCTTAGACTGTCTTTCAAGTATTTGGGCGGGGGGGCGCAGAACACCTTAGCCCATGGTGGCTAGAGCTGCAGGAACTTAAGTTCCAACCACTGGCATTGGTAATTCGTCTCTTGCTAGGGCTTGTTTAAATGCACCCTCTGTGGATGGGCATCAGCTGAGGCTGATCCAGTCTTGCTTTCTTCTGCAGTAAGTGCAGCACCGAGTTTAGTGCCTCACAATTGGTGGTTCTCCCTCTTCCCAGGGCAAAGAAATGCTCTTTGCACCAAGCTGCTGCTGCCGCCACTGCTGGGGGACTGGGGAGGGATGTCGTCAGTAGTTCAAGACTGTTTTTCCTACCTCTTCAGTACTTCTTTTAGCAATATGAAGTGAAAAACAGCTACTACGAGTGCTCACCAGATTTTTGTTTTTTATGAAGGTGCTTTTCTGTGTCGGTAATTGATAAATTGGTGTCTTTGCAGGGGGTGAGGTGGTGGATGATTGGTGGGGCCTGCTTTTCTGCCATCTTGCTCCACCCCTTCTCTTCTGTTTTTGAAAGAGTTTGTGAAATACTGGTGTTATTTCTTCTTAAAACATTTGGTAGAATTCACCAGTGAAGCCATTGAACCTGGACTTTAATTTGTGCAAAGGTTTTTTATTTAATAATTTAATCTCTCTATTTGGTGTAGCTCTGTTCAGATTTTCTATTTCTTACTGAGTTTCAAAAGTCTGTGGTTTTAAAAAAATTAACGGACTATTTTCAGGACAGTGTTATGTTTATAGAAAAAATGAGTGGAAAAGACAGAGAGTTCCCATATATACCCCTCAATTCCCCTAGGCACTATCCTCTATTATTAACGTCTTGCATCACTGTGGTATATTTGTTTCAACAAATGAGTCAATATTGATACATTAATATTAACTAAAGTCCATGGATTATATTAGGGTTCACTCTTTATGTTGTGCATTCTGTGAGTTTTGACAATGTATAATGACATGCATCCTCCATTAAAGCATCATACAGAATAGTTTCACTGCCCTAAAAATCCCATTTCACCTATTCATCCTTTCCTTCTGAACCCATAGTAACCACTGATCTTTTTACTGTCTTCATAGTTTTGCCTTTCCCAGAATCTAATGTAGTTGGAAACATGTACTATGTAGCCTTTTTGGATCTGCTTTTTTTCACTTAGGAATATGCATTTTAGGTTTCTCCATATCCTTTCATTACTGGATAGCTCAGTGTTTTTAACCGTGGAATAATATTCCATTGTATGAATGTACCATAGTTTGTTTTTCTATTTACCTATTGAAGTATATCTTGGTAGTTTCAAAATTTTGACAATTATGAATAAAGCTGCTATAAACATTTGTGTATGTGGGTTTTATGTGTATATGCTTTCAACTCATTTGGGTAAATACCAAAGAAAACAAATTGCTGGATCATATGACAAAATTACTTTTAATTTTGTAAGAAAATACCAAATGGCTGTACTATTTTTGCCTTCCCAGCAGTAATGAACACAAGCCCCTGTTACTCCACATCCTTGCTAGCATTTGACGCTGTCAGTGTTTCGGATCTTAGCTGTTCTAATATGTGTGTAGTGATACTTCTTCTTAACACAGGTCCTTGTTAGTTATTTCCTTTATTTTTTTTTTTTGAGATGGAGTCTTGCTCTGTCACCCAGGATGGAGTGCAGTGGCACGATCTTGGCTCACTGCAACCTCTGCCTCCTGGGTTCAAGCGATTCTCCTGCCTCAGCCTCCTGTGTAGCTGGGATTGCAGGTGCGTGCCACCATGCCTGGCTAATTTTTGTATTTTTAGTAGAGATGGGGTTTTACCATGTTGGTCAGGCTGGTCTCGAACTCCTGACCTTGTGATCTGCCCACCTCGACCTTCCAAAGTGCTGGGATTACAAGCGTGAGCCACCGTGCCCACCTGTTATTTCCATTTTAATTTGGCGAATCATCTAGCCAGAACCTAAGATTTCATAGGAGACACACATAAAACCTGAGTATGTCACATAAAGTAAAACTCCTTAATAAATTCGTATTTTCTTCTAGCAAAACACATGGATATGACAGCACATTTTTGAGGGACAAAATTCATGCTTGGGTGGAAAATATGATCAGCACAGAAAGTTTGCAATTAAGGGGAATTCATTTCACTAGCAAAAACACCACTCAAAATTTTAAGAAATGATGGGCATTTGTTTAAACAAATTTTATTTGTGTAATCCCTCTAGTGCTTTGAATCCCAGTGAGAAGATATAAACACATATATCTATAAACACATTCAGTGACTTTATTACCTTAAGTTTCTTTCATCCTTGATACATGAGTAAAGGAATCTGGTTTTGCATTTAATCCCAAGTGTGTTACACTGACCCAAAACAATAGATTTGACTAACATTTAGTAAAGTATAATACTGATATTTTATTTTACTTACATAAATTTGTTGACTTTATTTTCATCCCTAGCCAAAAATTGCAAATACATTTAAGAATCAAAAGTAGTCATTCCACTCTTGGCATCTTCTCATTATGAGGAATTTCTAGGAATAGACTCCCCAGTATTTTCATTAGTTGTCTCTTTATTTTTTTCTGTATGCCACTGCTCAATCTTTCATTTCCTTCTAACACTGCACCTCCCTTATTTTTAATTTTTTTTTTTATTTTTAGTAGAGACGGGGTTTCACCATGTTGGCCAGGCTGGTCTCGAATTCAAGTGACCCACCTGCTTCGGCCTCCCAAAATGCTGGGATTACAGGCATAAGCTACCGCGCCCAGCCTCCCTTATTATTATTATTATTTTTTAATGTGAGGTACAGCTCATGAGCATTTCCATGCACAAAGATATCTATAAAAGTGAACTAAAATCTTAATTGACAGTTCCGTAATAACTATCGGTTTGTACAAAGGATAGTAAAGTTTCCTGAAGGCTGAAAGTGATCTGCAGACTATCCAGCTTATAACGCTCTGCAGGATTACCTTTGAATAATTCCCCTACCGCCCACCCCAGCAGCCCTAAATCATTACCCATCATGTTTTATAGAGCTCCAGAGAGGACTTTTGAGACAATTTTGCAATGTTAATGTTTAATATTCCATAAACTATTGTCAGGGTAAAATAAAATTCTCTTTTCTATTTAACTTACCTTTTTAGCCTATTTTGATATAAATTTTCCCTGAAGGTGGCTATTGCTCATTAAGTTCATTCACATTCTTTTGAAGGTTATTAATAAAAGGCATGAAGCTTATGTTTTTAATCTCAATGCTCAATTTTCGGTGGTCATTTACTTGATCACTCAGCAGCATTGGCACAAATGACCTGTTCCTTCCAAGTTGTCCTTTCTCCACTTGGCCTGTTGTACACTTCATTATTCTGGGTTTCTGTTTGTTTGTTTGTTTTGTTTGTTTGTTTTTCCTGCTACCTACGTCATTAGCCATTCCTTTTCAGTCTTATTTTCTGGATTATTCTCTACTTTTCCACCCACTAAATGTTGGAGTGCCCCAGGGCTCTGTCCTTAGACAGTGTTTCTTCTTTATCTACACTTTTTTTTTTTTTTTTTTGAGACAGGATCTCACTCTGTTGCCCAAGCTGGAGTGCACTGGTGCCATCTCGGCTCATTGCAACCTCCACTTCCTGGGTTCAAACGATTCTCGTGCCTCTGCCTCCCGAGTAGCTGGAATTAACAGGCAGGTGCCACCATGCCTTGCTAATTTTTTGTGTATTTTTAATAGAAAGGTAGTTTTGCCATGTTGGCAAGGCTGGTCTCACACTCCTGAGCTCGTGATCCACCCACCTTGGCCTCTCAAAGTACTGGGATTACAGGTGTGAGCCACCACACCTGGCCTATCTACACTTTTTCCATAGGTGATATCATTCATTGGCCTTAGATATTATCTACACACTGTTGGCTCCCAAATTTATATCTCCCTCATAGACCTGTTCCATGAGTTCCAGACTGATATATTGCACTGCCCCCTTGGCAGCTCAAACTTAACACACTCAGCATTGAGCTTCTGAATCTACCCTCTCCCTCCCAAACTGCTCTTTTCTCATTGTTTCCCATTGTAGTCAATGGAACCACCATTCGCCAGTTTTTCAGGCCAGAATCCTTGGAGTCATTAGTGACTATTTTCTCTCATAATCCTCAAACAGTGTATTAGGAACTCCTGTGGGCTCTACTTCCAAAATGTGCCCAAACTATCACCCCCTTTCACCACTACCAACACTACTACCTTTGTGTAATCTACTATCATTTCTCACTTGAATTATTGTAATAGATTTCTAGCTAGTTCTCCTGATTCCACTTTTGTCCCTTGATAGTATATAATCCACAGAATATTCATATTAAACTTTCTGCTATGGACTAAATTTGTCACCCCTCACAAATTCATATTTTAAAGGAGTAACCCCCAATGTGACAGTATTTGGAGATGTGACATTTGAAAAGTAATTATGTTTAGAAGAGTTCATGAGGGTGGGACCCTCATAATATTAGTGCCCTTATAAGAAGAGACACCAGAGAGCTCAAATCCTCTCTTTTAATCCACCTGCATGCACTGAGGAAATTCTATGCAAGGACACAGTAAGAAGGTGACTGTCTGCAACCTAAAAAGAGAGACCTCAGCAAACATTGACCGTGATGCTGCCTTAATCTTGGACTTTCAGAACTTTGAGAAATTTTCTTTGCTTAAAATACTCTGTCATATTTTGTTGTGGTAGCCTGAGCTAAGACACTTTATAGAAATATATGAATTAAATTATGTAATTTCTGAGACCAGCCTGGGCAACAAAGTGAGACCCCATCTTCTCAAAGATGCCTTTCAATATCTAAAATAGCCACATTTCTTTTTCTTTTTTTTTTAATAGCCACATTTCTACACCATTACTTTTTATCCTTTAACCCTGATGAGTCTTACTTTTTTTGTTATTTTTTTGCTATTGTTGTTATTGTTGTAGGTTTTAGGTACAGGATCTCTGTCACCAAGGCTGGAGCGCTGTGGAGAGATCATAGCTCACTACAGCCTCCACCTCCTGGGCTCAAGTGATCCTCCCACCTCTGTCTCCAAAGTAGCTAGGACTACAGGCATGGGACACCATGCCCAGCTAACTGATGAGTTTTTACACACTTCTCAGTAACTATTCTCTCTGTCTCTCCTTCTCTGTAATTTATTATATTTTACTCCTACTAGATGATAAGGTAAGTTTTATAGAGTTAGGAACTGTGTCTCTTTTCTTACTATTGTAGTCTTGTACATAGCAGGTGTTTAATAAATATTTGTCCAACGAATAAATGAATGAATTCGATGTTACAATCACTGCTCTCCACTTAGTTCTTTTCTTTAGCTCTGAAAGTTAAGGTAAGGAAAAGATAATCTGGAGTGACTTAGAAAGTAAAGCAAGAGAAACATTTAGGTTGGTGCAAAACTAATATATATATTAGGACCTCACTTTCAATATAATACTAACCTTTTTAAAATTTTATTTTATTTTAACTTCTGAGATACATGTGCAGGATGTGCAGGTTTGTTACAAAGGTAAACATGTGCCATGGTGGTTTGCTGCACCTATCAACCCATCACCTAGGTATTAAGCCCCACATGCATTAATACTAACCTTTTTAAAATGCAATGCTTTGCCACACAATTAACTGCCTTGCTTTTATATCCTGATAAACATATGCTTGTGGTTAGGTGGTCTTTATAGTTTAAGATGATGTAAACATCAGATGCCTGTGGAACTGAATTAGGATCCTTTTCAACTTTCCATTTAGGCAAATCGTGTCATGTATTTATTAAATAAAAATTGAATATTTGGAGTAGCACTTATGCTTGGAAACAAACTTCATAAGGCACAGTTAATTCCACTGAGGAACACACAGTTTTTTTCTTGCATTTAGTATTTAAATATTTTTTCTTCATTTTTTAAATTTTACTTTTCATTTTTGTGGGTACATGGTAGGTGTATACATTTATGGGTACATGACATATATTGATAGACATACCAGGTGTAATAATCACATTGGGATAAATGGCGTATCCATCACCTCAAGCATTTATTATTTCTTTGTCTTATAAACAATCCAATTATACTCTTTTACATGTACAACAAATTATTGTGTATATCAACTAATAGATCTTATTGTGCTATCAACTAATAGATCTTATTCATTCTAACTACATTTTTGTACACATTAACTATCCCCATTTCCAGCCCTCCACTACACTTTGCAGCCTCCGGTAACCATTATTCCACTCTGTATCTCCATGAGCTCAGTTGTTTTAATTTTTAGCTCCCACAAATAAGTGAGAACAAGTGAATTTTGTCTTTCTGGGCTGGGCTTATTTCACTTAACATAATGACCCCTAGGTCATCCATGTTGTTGCAAACGACAGGATCTTATCTTTATGGCTGAATAGTACTCCATTCTGTATATGTACCACATTTTCTTTGCCCATTCATGTGTTGATGGATGCATAGGTTGTTTTCAAATCTTAGCTACAGTGAATAGTGCTGCAATAATCATGGGAGTACAGATATCTCTTTGATGTACTGATTTCCTTTAAGTATATACCCAGCAGTGGCATTGCTGGATCATGTGGAAGTTCTACTGTAAGTTATCTTGAGTTACCTCCAAACTGTTCTCCATAGTGGTTGTACTAATTTACATTCCCACCAACAGTGTACAAGGGTTATGCTTTTTTTTTTTTCTATAGCCTCGGCAGCATTAGTTTTTGCCTCTCTTTTGGATAAAAGTAATTTTACCTGGGATAAAATTATATTTTATTGTAGATTTTATTTACATTTCTCTGATGATCAATGATGTTGAACACGTTTTCATATGCCTGGTTGCCATTTGTACATCTTTTGAGAAATGTCTATTCACATTTTTGTCCATTTTGTAATTGGGTAATTACATTTTTTCCCTGTAGAGTTGTTAGAGCTCCTTACATATTTTGGTTATTAATCCTTTGCCAGAAGTATAGTTTGCAAATATTTTCTCCCATTCTACGGGTTGTCTCTTGACTTTGTGGATTGTTTCCTTTGCTGAGCAGAAGCCTTTTAACTTAGCATGATCCATTTGTCTATTTTTGCTTTGGTTACCTGTGCTTGTGGGGTATTTATTACTCAAGAAATCTTTGCCTAGTCCAAAGTCCTGGTGAGTTTCCCCAATGCCTTCTTGCAGTAGTTTCATAGTTTGAGGACTTAGATTTAAGTCTTTAATCCATTTTGATTTAATTTTTGTATATGGTGAGAGATAGGGGTGTAGTTTTATTGTTTTGCATATGGATATCCAGTTTTCTTAGCCCCATTTATTGAAAAGACCGTCCTTTTTCCAGTACACGTTCTTGGCACCTTTGTTGAAAACGAGTTTACTGTACATATGTGGATTAGTTTTTCGGTTCTCTATTCTATTCCATTGGTCTATGTGTCTCTTTTTATGCCAGTCCCATGCTGTTTTGGTTACCATAGCTCTGTAGTATAATTTGAAGTCAGGTAATGTGATTTCTCCAGTTTTGTTATTTTTGTTCAGGACAGTTTTGGCTATTCTGGGTCTTTTGTGGTTCCATATAAATTTTATGATTGTCATTTTTTATTTCTGTGAAGAATGTCATTGGTATTCTGATGGAGATTGCATTGAATCTGTAGATTGCTGTGGGTAGTATGAACATTTAACAATATTGATTTTTCCAATCCACAAACATAGAATTTCTTTCCTTTTTTCTTGGTGTTCTCTTCAGTTTCTTATATCAGTGTTTTATAGTTTTCATTGTATAGATCTTTCACTTCTTTGATTAATTCCTAGGTATTTAATTTCATTTGTAACTGTTGTAAATGGGGTTACTTTCTTGATTTCTTTCTCAGATTGTTTGCTGTTGACATATAAATACTAATGATTTTCTATGTTGATTTTGTATCCTGCAACTTTACTGAATTTTTTAATCAGTTCTAATAGTTTTTTGGTGGAGTCTTTATGTTTTTCCAAATATAAGATCATATCATATGCAAACAAGGATAATTGGACATCTTCCTTCCCTTTTGTATGCCCTTTCTTTCTTTCTCTTGTCTGATTGCTGTGGGTCTGTCATATATACCTTTTTTGTGTTGAGCTATGCTCCTTTTATTCCCAGTTTTTTGAGAGTTTTTACTGTAAAGGCATGTTGAATTTTATCATATGCTCTTTTAGCATCAGTCAAAATGATCGTATGGTTGTCCTTCCTTCTGTTGATATGATGTATCACATTGATTGATCTGTGTATATTGAACCAGCCTTGCATCCCTGGATCAAATTACACTTGGTCATGGTGAATTACCTTTTTAATGTTTTGCTGAATTTGGTTTGCTAGCATTTTGTTGAGGACTTTTGCATCAATGTTCACCAGGGATATTGGCCTTTAATTTTCTTCTTTTGATGTGTCTTTGTTTCATTTTCGTATCAGAGTAATACAGGCCTCATAGAATGAGTTTGGAAGTATTTCCCAGGTCCTGGAATTTTCTTTGCTGGGAGAGTTTTTTTTTTTTTTTTTTTTTTTTGAGACAGGTTTTCACTTCTTTACCTAGACTGGAGTGCAGTGGCAAAATAATGGCTCACTGAGGCCTCGACCTCCCAGGTCCAAGTTAAACTCCTGCCTCAGCCTCCTGAGTTTGTTTTTTTCTTAGTCTGGCTAAAGTTTTGTCAATTTTGTTTACCTTTTCAAAAAAAAACAACTTTTTGTTTCATTTATCTTTTGTATTTTTTTATTTCAATTTCATTTATTTCTTCTCTGATCTTTATTATTCCCTTTCTTATACTAATTTTAGATTTGGCCTGCTCTTACTTTTCTAGTTATTTAAGATGTATCATTAGATTGTCTATTTGAAGTTTTTTACTTTTTTGATGTAGTTGCTTATTGCCATAAACTTTTGTATTAGTACTGCTTTCACTGCATCTCATAAGTTTTGTTATGTTGTGTTTCCATTATCACTTGTTTTAAGATATTTCTAAAATTTCTTCTTACTTTCATTGACTCACTGGTAATTCAGGAGCATATTGTTTAATTTTCATGTGTTTCTGTAGTTTCCAAAGTTCCTCTTGTTATTGATTTCCAGTTTATTCTATTATGGTCAGAAAAGATACTTCATATAATTTCTTTTTGGGGGGAATGTTTTAAGACTTGTTTTGTGGCCTAACATATGGTTTTATCCTTGAGAATGATCCATGTGCTGAGGAAAAAAATGTGCATTTGGCAGCCATTGAATGAAATGTTCTGTAAATATCTATTAGGTCTCTTTGGTCTATAGTGCAGATTAAATCCAATGTTTCTTTGTCAATTTTCTGCGTGAATGATCTGTACAATGTTGAAAGTAGGGTGTTGAAGTCTCCAGCTGTTATTGTAGTGGAGCCTGTTTCTTTCTTTAGCTCTAATAACATTCACTTTATCTATCTCGGTGTTCCAATGTTGGGTACATTTATATTTACAATTGTTATATCCTTTTGCTGATTTGACTTCTTTGTCATTATATAATGGCTTTCTTTGCCTCTTTCTATAGTTTTTGTCTTAAAATCTATTTTGTCTGATGTAAGTATAGTTACTCCTGCTTCTTTTTGGTTTCCATTGGCATGAAAAAGCTTTTTCCATTCTTTATTTATAATCTATTTGTGTCTCTACAGGTTAAGTGTGCTCTTTGTCATTAACAGATCATTGGGTCCTGTTTTTCTTTTAAATCCATTCAGCCCCTCTATGTTCTTTCTTTTCTGAGACAGCGTCTTGCTCTGCCACCCATGCTAGAGTGCAGTGGCACAAATACAGCTTACTGCAGCCTAACCTCCTGGGCTCAAGCAATCTTCCCACCTCAGCCTCCTGAGTAGCTGGGAAAACTCTATGTCTTTATAGAGTTTAGAACATTTATGTTCAGTGTCATTATTGATAAGTAAGGACATACTCTTGCCATTTTGTCATTTGTTTTCTTGTTGTTTTGCAGTTTTCTCTTCATTCTTTCTTTCCTGTTTTCCTTTTAGTGAAGGTGATTTTCTCTTGTGGTATGTTTTAATTTATTATTTTTTATTTTGTGTGTGTGTGTATCTGTTGTAGGTTCTTGATTTGAGGTTACCATGAGGCTTGCAAATAATATCTCATAACCCATTGTTTTAGACCGATGACAATTTAATAAAGATTGTATAAACAAACAAATTAACAAATAATCAAACAGGAAACTAATAAGAACTCCAACTTTGTTCCCCCAATTTTAAAATTCTTGTTGTTTCTATTTAGACCTTATTGTGTTTTCTATGTCTTGAAAAGTTGTTGTAGTTAATATTTTGGAGAGGTTTATCTTTTAGTCTTTCTACTCAAGACAAGGGTAGTTTCTACACTACAATTACAGTGTTGTAATACTCTGTGTTTTCCTGTGTACTTACTATTACCATGTTTTGTATCTTCTGATTTCTTATTGTTCATTAATATACTTTTCTTTCTGATTGAAGAACTCCTTTTAGTATTTCTTGTAGGACAGGTATGGTGCTGATGAAATCCCTTAACTTTTGTTTGTCTGGGAAAGTCTTTATTTCTCCTTCATGTTTGAAGTATATTATTGCTGGATAAACTATTCTAGGATAAAAGTGGTTTTTTTCAGTACTTTAAATATGCCACGCTCTTCTGACCCATAAGCTTTCCACTGAGAAGTTTGCTGCCATACATATAGGAGCGCCTTTGTATGTTATTTCTTTCTTTCTCTCTTGCTGTTTTTAGAATCCTTTCTTTATCCTTGACCTTTGGAAGTTTCATTATCAAATGTCTTGAAGTAATCTGATTTGGGTTAATTCTTCTTGGTGTTCTACAACATTTGTATATTTGAATATTGATATCTTTCTCTAGGTTTGGGAGGTTCTTTGTTATTATCCCTTTAAATAAACTTTCTATTTTTCTATCTCCTCCTTAAGGCCAATAGCTTTTAGATTTGCCCTTTTGAGGCTATTTTCTAGATCTTATAGGCATGCTTCATTGTTTTAATTCTTTTTCATTTTGTCTCCTCTGACTGTGTATTATCAAATAACCTGTCTTCAAACTCACTAATTCTTTCTTCTGCTTGATCATTTCTACTATTAAGAGACTCTGGTCCATTCTTTAGTATGTCAATTGTATTTTATAGCTTTAGAAGTTGGAACTCACAGACATAAAGGACAGGTAAATAATGAGATAATTTCAATATAATGTCATAAATGCTGGTGTGGAATTGAAGGTACAGTGTGGAAGCCTAAGGGAAAACAGTTCTACAGCTGCCTGGAAAAGTCAAAGAATGCTTCGCAGAGAAGGTAGAATTTTAACTGAGAGATGGAAAGTTGAATGAACATGATACCAGGCAAAACATGCTGATAAGATTTCTTGATGGATTTGGCACATAATGTGAGCCCTGGTAAAAGGTGTGATGGTGTAAAAGTGAATCTACAAAGGAGGAAATAGCATGAGAAAAGGCACAGTCACATGGTCTTTAAAAATACAGGATTGGTTTGAATGATCACAAGTAACATGAGTGTATTGAAAGATATGGAAGATTAGGCTAACAGCTAATTGAAGCTGTTTCTGTGATATCTAGAGGAGCTAACTAGGAAAACATACTGTTACATTTCCAGTCCCACAGTGCACAGCTGGTTATCAGTTAAGAAGAAAATTTAAAAAACCTAGCTAAACTACAGTATGCATAACTCACTTGTTATTGTTCGCAGAGATATTTAAATTTTATAAGAGGATGTCCAGAGAGAACAATGCATTAGATAGTAGAATTTTTGGCACAGGGACATAGATTAGAATTAAACTGAGGAGTTTCTAGAAAGTTTTCCTGCCCTTACAATGTCGTTTCTATCTGGCATGCTAACTCACTGCCCTAGCAGATTTTAAATTCTTCCTTCAGTATTTTGTTTAAAAGAGACAATACATTTAGTTTTTAGGAACACAAAATAATCATTCTTTTTTATTGGAATTCCAAATACCCCCAAGATATAAAAAGAAATAACGTGGTTTAGAAAATACTTGGTTAAAAAAGGAATTAAATCAGCCATTCTTTACCTGTCAAAGCAAAGAATAATACATAAAGAAAAAAAAAACTCCATCTGTTTTGAGTCATGAAGTCATCCTCCAGGCTCCACAGAGAGCTTATATCCAAGTGGGAGAGAAAGTGAATCTTACTATGAAACTCAATTCCAAAGAAGAGGATCTTTTCCTTGAGGCCTCCTGAGGGGATAGATCTTCTCCTCTCATCATTCTAGGTTACTAAGCTACAGATATGTGTAAAGGTTAAATTGCAATACCTCAACCAGAACATTTAAGGCCTGTTTATTGTTCATATCCTCAGCATCAAACTAAAAAACAGTGCTTTAAAAACAGAACTTGAAGAACAGCTATTAAATAAAACAAAGTAAAGTGAAAACGAGTTCAATGTAGAAACATGAAGCAAGTAAAACAATTTGAGCATTTAAATATGACTCTATAACCATTTAGAGAATAGAAAGTTTAATGCACCTGCATTTTCATGTCAAATTAGCTCTATCTTAAAACCAACTGAGGTTTCTATATATTTATTATTAATATTAACATACATATATTTACAGATATTTCAACAAAGTTTTTAAATAAATTATTGGATCTTGAGCACTGTGTTAAGTGATTGGTGATGATGAAAGGATTCTTTCTCTTTTGCTTAGAATCTAACTAAGGAAGCAAGTCATGTACTCGAAGATATGAAGTAATGTATGGAAGTCATTTGGTACACATGTATGTATTTGAGCTGCAGATATTTCAAGTAAGGGAATGGTTACTGAGTGACGGGGTTAGATTGGACAGTCTTTATAGAGAAGAACCTGGATCTTCAAAAGAAGGAAATTTTGGGTTTTCAATGGTGGAGACAGAAGAAAGAAAGCATTTTAGATATAGGGAGGAGGAATGAGTGAAATGGAGGCAGGAATGTGGTATGTGAGCGAAAGAAGGCCGGTTTGACAGAGTTGGAACCAGTGATCATGTTGGGGATTAGTGAGTGTTTAGGATGAATAGGTAAGGTGGAGACAGTTGATGGAAGAACTGGAATGCCAGGTTGATAAGTTTTGACTTGATCCTACAAGCAAATGGATGCCCTTGTAGGGGAGTGTCATGCTGAAAGAAGTGCCTTTTATTTTCTTCAATTCATTTGTTGACATTATCATAATTTATTTTAACTCTTCCTTTTTCTAATTCAGCATGCCACTCTGGGGGAGCTGGAAAGGAGACAACTTTCAGGGTATGTGTCACCCTCCAACCACCTAGTCCTCTGGTCCGTGGACATCCATACTCAGTGGTCAGGAGAGGTCTTTTTAAACAGCCTTATGATTAATTTGTCCATTCCCTGGGGAAGATGTGAATCATTCAGCCTGTAATTGTCAAAGGCACATAGGTCTGGCTTGGTGACTTGCTTTAGTCCTCAGCATGAGTGTAAACTGGGTTGCTTTTCATTTTCTTCAACACTACCTCTTCCCAGTATGACTTCATCTGAAATTATGCAAAGTCCTAATATCTCAGACATATCCCTATTGAAATGGAAATACAAACATGCATCAAAATGCCAAATAGGGATTAGTTGGGGATTATCCATTTTATTGTTCCCCCCAATTCAATTCAGGTTAGCTCAATAACTATTTATTGAACACCCCACCAGGAATTTATGGACTGCATAGAGACAAAATTTTATCCACATAAAATAAACATATAAGCACACAAAAATGAACAAACCACACAGTTAAATATCAATATGGAATGCATTTGATTAGGTGCCAGGATATGTGGCACAGACAATTGTAAGAATGGACTACAATAATCATTTATTTAGAAAGACATAGCCCTCCCCCACCAAGTGGTATTAATGTTATGGATGCTAAATCACTTACTGTATCACATCTTTGAATATCTCAAATCTGGTATCAGCACAGATGAAAATTCACAGCGAATGAACTCATTATCAAAAGAATGTTTCCAAATGGGCTTTTTCTTCTTGCTTTTGAGTTTTGCCTTTACAACATTCCTTCCGAGTAGAGCTGAATAGTCCTTTCATTGAGTGCCATTTTTTTCCTTACAAGTAATAGTCTCAATTTCTCACTAAATATATTATCTGGGTGCTTTTATGCAACAACCTCATTTTCATTTGAAGAGTAGACTTTAAGGTTATGAAGGAAGAGAATGGAGAGGTGGAATAAGATGGTTGAATAGAAGCCTCCACTGATCATCCCCTCCCTCTCCGCACAGGGACATCAAATTTGACAACTATCTACACCATAAAGCATCTTCATAAGAACCAAAAATCAGGTGAGCAATCACAATATCTGAATCACTGATGCAACCTCTCCCCCATCCTCTAGTGGTAACCCTGTCATGCAGAGACAGAATCAGTGCACCTAGAGGAGGGAGAATGCAGCAATTGTGGGACTGTTCGTTGAATGCACTGTTGCCCTGTCACAGCAGAAAGCAAAACTGGACTGAATTCATCCAACACCCACTGACGGAGGAAACATTTAGATGAGCCCTAGCCAGAGGGGAATCACTCATCCCAGTGGTCAGAACTTTAGTTTCTGCAAGCCTTGCCACCACAGGATGAAGTGATTTGGGGTCCTAAATAAACCTGAAGGGCAATTTAGGTCACAAAGACTGCAATTCCTAAGGCAAGTCCTAGTGCTAGGCTAGGCTCAGAGTCAGTGGACTTGGAAGGCACATGACCCAGTGAGACACCAGCTGGGGCAGCTAAGGGAGTGCTTGCACCACCCCCTCCCACAACCCCCAGCAGCATGGCTCATAGCAATGAAAGTGACTCCTTCCTTCTGCTTGAGGAGAGGAGAGGGAAGAGTAAAGAGGACTGTGTCTTAAAGCTCAGCCCCAATAGGATAAGGCACTGGGTAGAGTCATGAGGCCTCCTTTCCAGGGCCTAGCTCCAGAATGACATTTCTAGACCAGAAGGGAACCCACTGCCCTGAAGGAAAGGATTCATTCCTGGCAGTATTCATTAGCTGCTGATTAAAGAGCCCTTGGGCCCTGAATAACCAGCAGTGATACTCAGGTAGTATGCCATGAACCTTGGGGGAGATTCTGAAACATACTGGCTTCTGGTTAGACCTAGCACATTATCAGCTGTGGTGACTATGCAGAGAGAATCCTGCTTGAGAAAAGCAGAGGGAAAAGTAGAGGGGATTTTGTCTTAGATCTTAGGTACCAGCTCAGTGACAGTGGGGTGGAGCAACAAGCAGACTCTTGGGGTCCCTGTTTCTAGGACTTGGCACTTGGACAACATTTCTGGACCTGCCCTGGGCCAAAGGGGAGCCCACTTCCCTGAAGGGTGAGCCCCAGGCCTGTCAGCATTCACCATAAGCTGAAGAGCTCTTGAACCTTAAGTGAAAATTGGTGGTAGTCTGGCAGTATTCCTCAAGGGCCTGTGATGGTGGTGTCGGTGGGGAACATTTCAGTTGCCTGTGGAAAGGGAAGGAAAGAGTGGGAGAGACTTTGCATCATTGTTTAAGTGTCAGCTTAGCCACAGTAGAATACAGAACCAGGTAGATTTCTAAGGTTTCTCACTCCAGTGCCTGGCTCCTGGATGTCATCTCTGAGCATGGCATGGACCTGGAATAACTTGCTGCCCTGAAGAGAAGGATACAAGCAAGGATGGCTTTGTCACTTGCTGATTGTAGTGTCCTAGGGCCTTGAGAAAACATAGGCAATAGCCAGTAGTGGTTACAGCAGGCTTTGGGAGAGAGGCCCAGTACTGTGATAGTTGCAGATATGACCCAGCATAGTCCCAGTAGTGGTGGCCAAAGCGGTGCTTCTTTTCCCTGACCCACAGCTCCAGGTGGCTCAGCAAAGAGAGAGAGAAACTCTGTTTCTTATGGAGAAAGTAAGGAAAGAGAACAAGAGTTTCTGACTGGTAATCCAGATAATTATTCCAGATCTTATCCAAGAACATCAAGGTGTTTGTTACCTCTATGAATCTGCGAGAACCACAGCATTACTAGGATTAGATTGTCCCCTAATGCAGATAAAGCTTAGATTACAACACCCAAGTCCCTTCAAATACCTGGAAAACCTTTCCAAGAAGGACGGGTACAAACAAGCCCAGAATGCAAAGACTACATAAATAACTCTACAATGCTCAGACACTGACAAACATCGACAAGCATGAAAACCATTTAGGAAAACATGCCCTCACCAAATGAACTAAATAAAGCACAAAGGAACAATCCTGAAAGAAACAGAAATATGTGACCTTTTGAACAGAGAATTCAAAATAGCTGTTTTGAGGAAACTCAAAGAAATTCAAGAGAACACAAAGAAAGAATTCAGAATTCTATACAAATACATGGAATTTAAACGCTCTTGAATAACCATTGGGTCAATGAAGAAATGAAAAAAGAAATGGAAAAGTATCTTGAAATGAATGATAGTGGAAACACAACCTACCAAAACCTATGAGATACAGCCAAAGCAGTACTAAGAAGGAAACGTACAGCTGTAGGTGGAAAAGAACAACTTCAAATAAACAATCTAAGGATGAATCTTCAAGAGGTAGAAAAGTTCTTTAAAAGAAAGAGGATCTAAATAATTAAAATCAGGGGTGGACAAGGAGACATTACAGCTGATACTGCAAAAGTTCAAAGGACCATTAGTGGCTATTATGAGAAACTCTATGCCAATAAATGAGAAAATCTAGAAGAAATGGACAAATGCCTAGAGACATACAGCCTACCAAGATTGAACCATAAAGAAATCCAAAACCTGAACAGACAAATAACAAGTAATGAGATTGAAGGCATAATAAAAAGTCTCCCAATAAAGCAAAACCCGAGACACAATGGCTTTACTGCAGAATTCTACATAACATTTAAAGAATGACTAATACCAATCCTACTCAAACTATTTCAAAAATTAGAGTAGTGAATACTTTCAAATTCATTCTACAAGGCCAGTATTAATTACCCTGACAAAAACCAGATAAAGACACATAAAAACATTTTAAAAATAAAGTTAAAAAAACCCTACAGGGCAATATCTCTAATGAATATTGACACAAAAATTGTCAACCAAATACTAGAAAACTAAATTCAACAATACATTGAAAGGATTATTCATCATGGCCAAGTGAGCTTTATCCCTGGTATACAAGGATTGTCCAACATATGCAAATCAATTAATGTGATACATCATGTCAACAGAATGAAAGACAAAAACCATATGATCATTTGAATTGATGCTGAAAAAGCATCTGATAATATTCAACATCCCTCCAATATAAAAACCCTCAAAAAACTGGGGAACATACCTCAACATAATAAAAGCCATATATGTATGGCAGATTCACAGCTAGTATCACACTGAATGAGGAAAAACTGAAAGTCCTTACTCTAAGCTTTGGAACATGACAAGGATGCCCACTTTCACCACTGTTATTCAACATAGTGATGACAGTCCTGGCTAGAGCAGTCAGACAAGAGAAAGAAATAAAGGGCATCCACACTGAAAAGGAAGAAGTCAAATTATCTTTGTTTGCAGATGATAAGATCTCATATTTGGAAAAACCTAAAGACTCCACCAAAAAACATTTTGAACTGATGAACAAATCCAGTAAAGTTACAGAATACAAAATCAATATACAAAAATCAGTAGCATTTCTATATGCCGAAATGAACAAACGGAAAAAGAAATTGAAAAGTAGTCCTATTTACAAGAGCCACAAATACAATTAAATACCTAGGAATTAACTTAACCAAAGAAGTAAAACATCCCTATAATGAAAACAGTGAAGAAAGCAATTGAAGAGAACACCAAAAATGGAAAGATATTCCATGTTCATGGATTGGAAGAATCAATATTGTTAAAATGTCTATACTACCCAAAGCAATCTATAGATCAGTGCAACCTCTATCAAAATACCAATGACATTCTTCACAGAAAAAGAAAATCAATCCTGAAATTTATATGGAACCACAAAAGACCCAAAATAACCAAAGCTATCCTAAGAAAAAAAAAAAAAAACTGGAAGAATCACCTTACTTGACTTCAAATTATGCTACAGAGCTATAGCAATGAAAACAGCATGGTACTTGCATAAAAACAGACACATAGACTGTATTAGTCAGTCCTCACACTGCTGTAAAGAACTACCTGAGACTGGATATCCAAAATACAGGTAATAACTAATGCTGGCAAGAATGTAGAGAAAAGAGGACCTTTGTACACTGCTAGTGGGAATGTAAATTAATACAATCACTGTGGAGAACAGTTTGGAGGTTCTTCAAAACATTAAAAATAGAGTTAACATGTGATCCAGCAATTCCACTGCTGCATATATACCCAAAAGAAAGGAAATCAACATTGATCAAAGAGATATCTGCACTTCTGTGTTTGTTGCAGCACTGTTCACAATAGCCAAGATTTGTGTCCATCGACAGATGAATTGATGAAGAAAATGTGATACTTATACACAATGGAGTACCATTCAGCCATAAAAAAGAATGTGGTTCAGTCATTTGCAACAACATGAATGGAACTGGAGGTCATTATGTTAAGCGAAGTAAGCCAGGCACAGAAAGACAAACTTCACATGTTCTCACTTATTTGTGGCATCTAAAAATCAGAACAATTGAATCCATGGAGAAAGAGAGTTGAAGGATGGTTACCAGAGGCTAGGGAGGGTGATGGGGATTGGGATGAGGGAGAGATGGGGATGGTTAAGGGGTACAAAAAATAGAATGACTGAATAAAGCCTACTATTTGAATAAAGCCTACTATTTGATAGCACAGCAGGGTGACTATTGTTAATAATAATTTAATTGTACATTTAAAAATAACTAAAATTTGGGAGGCCGAGGCAGGCAGATCATGAGGTCAAGAGATTGAGACCATCCTAGACAACATGGTGAAACCCCATCTCTACTAAAAATACAAAAATTAGCTGGGCATGGTGGCATGTAGTCCCAGCTACTTGAGAGGCTGAGGCAGGAGAATTGCTTGAACCCGGGAGGCTTAGGCTGCAGTGAGCTGAGATCACGCCACTGCACTCCAGCCTGGCGACAGAGTGAGACTCCATCTCAAAATAAATAAATTAAATAAATAAATAAATAAATAAATAAATAAATAAATAAAAGAGTATAATTGGTTTGTTTGTAACATAAAGGATAAATGCCTGAGGGGATGGATACCCATTCTCCATGATGTGATTATTATGCATTGCATGCCTGTATCAAAGAATCTCATCTACCCCACAAATACATACACCTACTCTGTACCCACAAAAATTAAAAATTATAAAAAGAAGGAAATTAAAGAAAAAGAATGTGCTTGCTTCACCTGTAGATTGAGGCAACACTGGGATTTCTTATGGTGCTGCAGCTACAACTGGATATAAAATTTCTTTTTCGTGCCATTAAATATGTGCTTGTGCTCAGAGAAATATCTTGAGGTTGCTGAGTTTTTCTTGGCAGGTATGAGAATAGGTGGGATTAATTGGAGTGACTCTCTAAAGAAAACTGTTTTGGAATTATTTTGACAAGAAAGGATTTGCTAGAGTAGAAAGAGAAGCTGGTGTTTGAATAGTGTTAAAAGGCATTAGGTTCCTTGGCCTATCATCTCATAAGTACTCATCAATCATATCTCAATAAAGCCAAGAGATATAAACACAAGGAAAACAAAAATAAGCTCTGTGTGTTCTGTGGATGCTGCCTGGTTGTGAGCAAGGGCCTGAGGGAAAAAGATTTAGGGGATGATGAGAATTATAAGAGGAAAATGAGACAGACAGAAAGAGAGAGAGAGAGAGTGGGAAAGGGAGTTGCTTGTGCTGGAGTTTGCGGTATTGACAAGGCAATAGAGCAACATAGCATTTCTTGGAGTTTCAGAGGATTATTCAAAGGGGTAGGGTGTGAGAGTAGAGGACATGGATGATAGACAAAAAAACTTAGCTCATCTAGATAACTAAAATATTGCTTGATTCTCCAAAGTCCTTTTCTTTTTTTCCATGTCTGAAATATACAATGCATTCAAATCACATGAAAGGAGAACATTCTGGGTCTGCATTCACCCTGGCTGTTGCAATGTGAGGGTGGTTGGAGCTCTTCAAGGTATCAAAAAAGTATAATTGCAAAAGAGTGAAATACTTTTGAAAATTTATTGCTCAGTAACTACATTATATATGATGATGTAGGCAATCCCTATACTTTCTCTATAGCAAGATGCTTTTAAGGCTAACGAGGCAAGTTGGTGCATAAAATACATTCATATATAACCTAGTTACTAAGCAATTCTATTTTGAAAATATTTTATTTTTGAATAATATTGAATCTCCTTCCCCTAGTCTATCTTTTTTCCTAGTATTCTAAGGCAAGCCCCATTCCACACCCTAGCTATAAGCTCTCTTTATTCTTTCTCCAATCAAGCTCTTACATACCAAGAAGACATTAAAAATGCAGAGATGAATGTAGGGGGAGTGAGGAAGATGGGACAACACAACCCTGTCTGATTTTTCCTGGTCCCTGCTCCTAGGGAAAATCTTACTGGACAGGTCATGATTAATTTGTGTGGATTTCTAGAAACAACATAAAGTCAAGACATAATAGTCAATATTTTCCTTTTTGACATAAACAACTAATTATTTTACTAGTTTAGTCTAGCTAAAATATGACTGTAATTTAACTTCCAACAATTGGCTACATATCATTACATATCTTGGCTTATCTAATAGCATTCCTAGCTGTGGTATCATCCCAATATCACTAATTGAAAGTCTCAAATTAAAAATTTTTAGAGTTGCACCAATATGAAATGAGACCTAGAAGGCCATACAAGGCATCTGAGGGATATGCAAGGTTAGGTTGTTATGACTGAAAGACTTTCACTTGGATGAATATGGTAAAACTAGGAAATGTTCTAAGTCAGCATTAAAAATGCATGCTTTTTGGAGTTTGAAACACTGGAGAAGAGATTTCTTCTTGTATCTTCTTGATTTTCCTTGTCTTTATAGGTCTAGAAGGGTTGCCAGGATTCACACAGAACTCTGGAGCCTCCAGGGACTTTGGGGGCAACCCGACTTTTTATTTCTCTGCCTTCATAAGAAATCTACACGGAACTGAATGTAATGCTTTTTATTACTTCTAAGATGATTTTTTTCCCAAAAGTTTAATGAGACAGATGGGAGAAATAACTTTTTTCAGAGTAGCAGAGATAAGGGGTTATTTCCTATGTAACTGTCTCAACAAGACTCAAAAGGAAAGAAAAGTTCTGATTTAACTTCAGAAAGGAAAAGTAACTGTCACCTCTTGTTGATTGAATTTCATCATCTGTAATTCTGCCTTCTTTAGTTCTCACAGTCAAAGCAACATTTGTCAAGGAAGTGTAATGTAATAGTTGCTCCTTCTGTGGCCATGGATCAAATGTTAGCTTTCTGTTATGAAGAGAGCTCCAGTGTTCCCAGAATTTCAAAGGCATAAGTTTATCTCAGGTTCTGCAGGAAAGCTTTTTATTTATTTATCAAGGAATCTCTGTAGTAAAGGTTATGAAAATTCATAAAGTACTACGTGTAATATTCTGTCTGCCATGGTAAATAATCTCTTACAAATTTTCACTTGATGGAATAATCTTGAACTAGATTTGCTGTTAATGGAAATATTCTTTTTTTTTTTTTTTTTTTTTTTTTGAGATGGCGTCTTGCTCATCGCCCAGGAAAGGATCAGAAGAACTTTATTATTCACGACTCTTTGTAGAACTCATTAGGACATTGTTTTAACTCTTTATTTTTAATGTACCAGGGTACACTGGTGTGATGTACTGAATAATAGCTCAGTGACCTGGAAATATCATTGTAGTTTAAAATTGGATCTCTTCAGTCTTATAGGTGAGGTTGGCAAAGCTCATCTTTTTGTTTGTTTGTTTAGTTTTTTTGGGATGGAGTCTCGCACTGTCCTCCACGCTGAAGTGCAGTGACGCCATCTTGGCTCACTGCAACCTCTGCCTCTCAGGTTCAAGCAATTCTCCTGCCTCAGCCTCCCGAGTAGTTGGGATTACAGGTGTGCACTGCCACCCCCAGCTAATTTTTTTGTATTTTTAGTAGAGACGGGATTTCGCCATGTTGCCCAGGCTATTCTCAAACTCCTGACTTCAAGTGATTTGCCGGCCTTGGCCTCCCAAAGTGCTGGGATTACAGGCGTGTGCCACCATTCTTTGCCATCACTTTCAATGCTTTTTTTCATTGAAAACATGAACTGTATTTAATGTTGTATGTATTGAAAACATTTGTATGTAATACAAACACTGCATGTAATGTTTTATGTGTTTTCAATGCTTTTTCCCCACTGTAAATTCTTTATATTTAAAGTATGATTAGTTGTGGAATATTTTAAAAATCAATTTCAAGTGCACAGCTTGATAAATTTTGGTAAATTATACAATTTTGTAAACACCACCACAATCAATAAACAAAATGGTTCCATAATCCCACAGAGGTTTCTCATGTTCCTTTAGCTTGATCCCCTTTTCCCATTTCTGGACCCAGGTTTATCTGTTATGTGTCACTATAGCTTTACCCTTTCTAGAAATTTTTATAAATGGAATCATACTATATGAAATGTTTTATGTTTGACTTTTTTTTCCATTTAGCACCAGGTTTCCCAACCTTAACACTATTGACATTTGGGCTGGATAATTCTTTATTGTGAGGAGATGTCCTGTGCTTTATAGAATTTTGAGCAGCGTTTCTGACTTCTACCTACTGAATACCAGTAGTATCCCCTCCAAGTTGTGGCGACTAAAAATGTCTCCAGATATCACCAAGTGTTCCCTGGGGAGCAAAATCATTCCTGGTTGAGAACTACAGACTTACCATATTTTTTAGATGTATTGATGTTGTTGCATGTATCAATAGGTTACTCTTTGTTATTACTGACTAGTAATCCTATGTGGGCAAACATCTGGGTTATTTTCAGTTTGGGAAAATTACAAATAAAGCTTCTAAGAACATTCACATATGCATATTTGTGTGGGTTTATGTTTCCCTTTCTCTTGAGTAAATAGGAGTGGAATTGCTGGGTCATTTGGTGACTCTATGATTACCCGTTTCAGGAACCGCCAGACTGTGTTCCAAATGAGTATGCCATTTTCCATTCTCATCAGCAATGTTCCACATCCTCACTAACATTCGTTTTTCATCAGTTTGATTTGAGCTATCCTCTTGGTTACATAGCGGTATTGCACACAGTGGTATTGCATTGTGGTTTTGATTTGCATTTCTCTGATGACTAACAATGCTGAGCATTTTTTCTTACGTGCTTATTGGTTGTTTGTATATCTTCTTTGTCTTCGTATATTCTTGATACAAGAGCCCTTTGTCAGATGTATGTTTTGCAAACATTTACTCCCAAGCTGTGGCTTATCTTTTTGTTTTCATAGTTCTAGACAGCAAACTTTATTAATCTTGATAGAGTCCATTTCATAATTTTTCCCTTTTATACTTTGTATTATTGATGTCTGATTTAAATAATTTTACCTAACCCAATATCACAAAAATATTCTCATGTGTTTTCCTCTACAGTTTAATAGTTTTAGCTCTTATATTTAGATATATGATCCATTTTGAGTTAATCTTCGTGTATGATGTGCAGTAAGAGTCAAGGTTTATTTTTTCTATGCACCTATATACTTGTCCCAGTACCATTTGTCAAAAAGACTATTTTTCTCCATGAAATTACCCTGACTCATTTGGCAATATTAGTTAACTATATAAGTACAAAAAGTACCATATGCACTGAAAAAAATGTGTATTCTGCCATTTCCATGTGTATTATTTAAATATCAATTAAATTGAAGTGGTTGATAGTTTTGTTCAGATCTAAGGTTTTTGCTGATTTTTTTTTCTGCTTGTTCTATCAATTTCTGAGAACATAGTGTTAAAATCCCCAGTATGATTGAGGAATTACCTGTTTACCCTTTAATTTTGTCAGTTTTGCTTCATACATTTGGAAGCTTTGTTATTGGATGAATACACACTTATGATTGTTATGTCCCATTGAATTTACCTTTTAATTATGGTAATAATATTTTCATCTTTGGTAATGTATTTTGTTTTAAAATGTATTTGGTTGGATATTAGTATAGGTACTCTAGGCTTCTTGTGCTCACTGTTTGCATGGATCCACTTCAAGCTTACTCACATGGCTATTGGCTGAGTCTTCAGTTTCCTACCATGTGGGCCTCTCCATAGAGCTCTCATGACATGCCAGCTGGCTTCCCCCAGAGTGCGTGATCCAAGAGAGAAAGGGTATGAGTCATCAAGATAGATTTTTTTTAAAAAATTATCTTAGTAAGCATTTTTTTGTACTGAAAACTATGAATTTATTTATTTTTAGATTTTTAAATTTTTATTTGGGGGTACAAGTGCAGATTTTTTACATGCACATATTATGTAATGGTGAAGTCTGGGTTTTTAGTGTGCCCATCACCCAAATAGTGAACATTGTACCCAACAGATAAATTTTCAACCATCATCCCCATGATAAATTTTATAACTGAATCTCAGAAGTGCTGTAATTATTTTGACTATATTCTGTTGATCATCCAGACAAACCCTAGTACAATTAGGGACCATTTAAGAGTGCGAATACTAGAAGGTGGGGGTCACTGGGGCTAGCTTGGAGGCTGGATCCTAAAATGGTCTTTGAATACTCGCCTGGATAATGAATTTTATACTTAGAGGTCTTGATTCAAAGAATAATTTCTTTTCTGCCTAATGTTCCTCAGAAGCCCACAGTTGTATCACTCAGTCACTTGTAAGAAGATATTTAATAAACATATACTTACAAAAATTTACACTTTTGACATCCTCAGTATTGTGCTAGAGCCTATATTTGGGAGAAAGGTTTGTAAGAAATGTAAAATTTAACATAGTTTTAGCTATCAAATAAATCAACATTCAGTTGAGACAATATTAACATTTCTCTAATTACCATTAATCTAGTACAGACCCTCATTTTATTTCCCACTGCAGTGACATCTCCACTAATTTCCTTGGTTCCAGACAATGCCCCTTGAATCTCTCCTTTATTTTGCTGTCTGATTTATTTTTTCATAGGTCTGATTGTACAACTCTCTTATGTAAAATATTTGATGTTTCTTTATTTCCTATAGAAAAAAACCCAAATCTAATATCTTTGCAAAGTTATTAAAGATCCTTTAAAAAATCTGACACAAATATTTGTTTCTAGATACATAATTCACCACTTCTCCCACAATGCAAATTATATTGTAGTCTCATTTTTTCTGAAGTGTTTTCTGTAGAACCTTAGCTCTGATAAAGCTCTGTCATTAGCTCTGATAAAAAAAAGTTTCCATGGTCATATAAGTTTGGAAACTACTGCACACTATATTTCCTTCTTAGAAATGTATGCGAATCTGGCCGGGCGCGGTGGCTCACGCTTGTAATCCCAGCACTTTGGGAGGCCGAGGCGGGCGGATCACGAGGTCAGGAGATCGAGACCATCCTGGCTAACACGGTGAAACCCCGTCTCTACTAAAAATACAAAAAAATTAGCCGGGCGTGATGGCGGGCGCCTGTAGTCCCAGCTACTCGGGAGGCTGAGGCAGGAGAATGGCGTGAACCCGGGAGGCGGAGCTTGCAGTGAGCCGAGATTGCGCCACTGCACTCCCGCCTGGGCCACAGAGCGAGACTTCGTCTCAAAAAAAAAAAAAAAAAAAAAGAAATGTATGCGAATCTAATAGTATGTTAAACACTCTTAAAAAATCCTTCAGGCAAGAGGTCTATTTACCATTAATCAATTGTTTCAAAATTTATTTGATCACGAATGTATTTTTAATTTTTAATTTTCATGGGTACATAATAGGTGTGTATATTTATGGGGTACATGAGATATTTTGATACAGGCATACACTGTGTAATAATCACTTCAGGATGAATGGCATATCTATCACCTCAAATGTTTACCCTTTGTGTTACAACAATACAATTATACTCTTTTAGTTATATTAAAATGTACAGTTAAATTATTATTGACTACAGTCACCTTGTTGTGCTATCAAATCCTAGATCTTATTCATTCTTTCTATTTTATTTGTACCCATTAACCATCCTCAATTTTATCCCAGCCTCCAAGTAAATACCCAGCCTCTTAACCATCATTCTACTCTCTATCTCCATGAGTTCACTTGTTTTAATTTTTAGCTCCCACAAATAAGTAAGAATATATGAAGTTTGTCTTTCTGTGCCTGGCTTATTTCACTTCACATAATGACATCCAGTTCCATGCATCTTGTTGCAAATGACAAGATCTAATTATTTTTTATGGCTTAATAGTACTCCATAAGTACCACATTTTCTTTTTTTAAAAAAGTGGGGTACATGAGAAGTTTTGATACAGGCATGCAATGTGAAATAAGCACATCATGGGGAATGGGGGCATCCATCACCTCAAGCATTGTCGTTTGTATTACAAACAACCCAATTACACTCTTTAAGTTATTTTAACATGTGCAATTAAGTTATTATTGACTATAGTCATCCTATTGTGCTATCGAATAGTAGGTATTCATTCTGTGTGTGTGTGTTTCTCTTTTCCTTTTTAACATTTATTTTAAGTTCAGGGGTACATGTGCAGGATGTGCAGGTTTGTTACATAGGTAAATGTGTGTCTTGGAGGTTTGTTGTACGGATTATTTCATCACCCAGGTGTTAAGCCTTGCATCCATTAGTGATATTTTCTAATCCTCTCCCTCCTCCCACTCTCTGCCCTCCAGTAGGCCACAGTGTGCATTGTTCCTCTCTATGTGTCCATGTGCTCTCATGATTTACCTCCTACTTACATGAGAACATGTGGTATTTGTTTTTCTTTTCCTAAGTTAGTTTGCTAAGGATAATGGCCTTCAGCTTCATCCATGTTCCTACAAAAGACATGATCTCATTTTTTTAATGGCTGCATAGTATTCCATGGTGTCTATGTACCACATTTTCTTTATCCAGTCTATCATTGATGGGCATTTAGGTTGATTCTATGATTTTGCTATTGTGAATAGTGCTACAATGAACACACAGATGCATGTATCTTTGTAATAAAATGATTTCTATTCCTTTGGGTATATACCTAGTAATGGGATTGCTGGGTCAAATGGTATTTCTGTCTTTAGGTCTTTGAGAAATCCCCACACTGTTTTCCACAATGACTGAAACAATTTACACTCTTGCCAACAGTGTATAAGCATTTCTTTTTCTCCACTACCTCACCTGCATCTGTTATTAATATTTTTTGACTTTTTAATAATACCCATTCTGACTGGTATGAGATGGTGTCTCATTGTGGTTTTGATTTGCATTTCTCTAATAATCAGTGATGTTATGCATGTTTCATATGCTTTTCAGCTGCATGTATATCTTCTTTTGAAAAGTGTATGTTTATGTCCTTTGCCTACTTTTTATTGGGGTTGTTTGTTTTTTTCTTGTAAATGTGTTAAGTTCCTTATAGATACTGGATATTAGACCTTTGTCAGGTGCATAGATTGCAAAAATTTTCTCCCATTCTGTAGGTTGTCTGTTTACTCTGTTGATAGTTTCTTTTGCTGTGTAGACACTCTTTAGTTTAATTAAATCCCATTTGTCAAAGTTTGCTTTTGTTACATTTGCTTTTGGCAGCTTCATCATGAAATCTTTGCCTGAGCCTATGTTCTAAATGGTATTGCCTAGGTTTTCTTCTAGGGTTTTTATAGTTTGAGGCTTTACATTTAAGTCTTTATTCCATCTTGAGTTAATTTTTGTATATGGTGTAAGGAACGAGTCCAGTTTCAATCTTCTGCATAAAGCTAGCCTGTTCTCCCAGCACCATCTATGAAATAGAGAATCCTTTCCCAATTGCTTATTTTTGTCAGGCTTGTTGCAGATTAGATTGTTGCAGGTGTGTGGTCTTATTTCTGGGTTCTCTGTTCTGTTCCATTGGTCTACGTGTCTATTCTTGTACCAATACCATGCTGTTTTGGTTACTGTAGCTCTGTAGTATAATCAGGTAGAATGATGCCTCCAGCTTTGTTCTTTCTGCTTAGGATTGTTTTGGTTATTTGGGCTCTTTTTTGGTTCGACATGAGTTTTAAAATAGTTTTCTCTAGTTCTGTGAAGAGTGTCAATGGTAGTTTAATGGGAATAGCATTGAATTTATAAATTGCTTTGGGCAGTATATTATGGTCATTTTAACAATACTGATTCTTCCTAGCCATGAGCATGGAATGTTTTTCCATTTGTTTGTGTCACCTCTGATTTCCTCGAACAGTGGTTTGTAGATCTCCTTGTTGAGATCCTTCACTTCCCTTGTTAACTGTATTCATAGGTATTTTATTCTTTTTGTGGCAATTGTGAATGGCATTGCATTGCTGATTTAGCTCTTGGTTTGACTGTTGTGGGTGCATAGGAATGCTAGCAATTTTTACACATTAATTTTGTATCCTGAAACATTGCTGAAGTTGCTTATCAACTTAAGAAGCTTTTGACCTGAGACAATGGGGTTTTCTAGATATGGGATCATGTCATCTGCAAAAAAAGACAGTTTGACTTCCGCTCTTCCTATTTGAATACCTTTATTTCTTTCTCTTGCCTGATTGCCCTGGCCAGACTTCCAATACTATGTTGAATAGGAGTGGTGAGAGAGGGCATCCTTGTCTTGTACTGGTTTTCAAGGGAAATGTTTCCAGCTTTGCCCATCTAGTATGATATTGGCTGTGGGTTTGTCATATATGGCTCTTATTATTTTGTGGTATGTTCCTTCAATACCTAGTTTATTGAGAGGTTTTAACATGAAGGGATGTTGAATTTTATCAAAAGCCTTTTCTGCATCTATTATCATGTGATTTTTGTCTTTAGTTCTATTTACGTGATGAATAACGTTTATTGATTTGTGCATATTGAACCAACCTTGCATCCCAGGGATGAAGCCTACTTGATCATGATGGATTAGCTTTTTGATGTGCTGTTGGATTCGATTTGCAAGTATTCTGTTGAAGATTTTTGCATCGATGTTTATCAATGATATTGGCCTGAAGTTTCTTTTTTGTCATATTTCTGTCAGGTTTAAGCACATTTTCTTTACCCATTTATCTGTTTATGGATGCTCAGATTGCATCCAAATCTTGGCTATTGTGAACAGTGCTGCAACACACATTGGAAGACAGATATTTCCTTGATATAGTGATTTTCTTGCTTTTGGGTACATACCTAGTAGTGGAATTGCTGGATCCTATAGTAGGTCTATTTTTAGTGTTTTAAGGAACCTCCAAACTGTTCTCCATAGTTGTTGTACTAGTTTACATTCCCACCAACCATGTATAAGGATGCCCTTTTCTCCACATCCTCGCCAGCATTTGTTATTGTCTTTCTTTTGGATATAAACCATCTTAACTGGGGTGAGATAACTCACCGTAGTTTTGATTTGCATTTATCTACTGATCAATGATGTTCAGTACCTTTTCATATGCCTGTTTGCTACTTGTATGTCTTCTTTTGAAAAATGTCTATTCAGATCTTTCATCTATTTTTTGATTTAATTATTATATTTTTTTCTTACAGAGTTGTTTAAACTTCTTATATATTCTGGTTTTTAATCCTTTGTCACATGGGTTGTTTGCAAATGTTTTCTCCCATTCTGTGGGTTTTCTCTTCACTTTTTCTTTCTGTGCAGAAGAGTTTTAAATTAACATGATCCCATTTGTTCATTTTTGCTTTGGTTGTCTGTACTCGTGGGGTATTACTCAAGAAGTCTTTGCCCAGTCCAATGCCCTGGAGAGTTTTTCCAATACTTTTTTATAGTAGTTTTGTAGCTTAAGATCTTAGATTTAAGTCTTTAATCCATCTTGATTTGATTTTTGTATATGGCAAGAGATAGGTGTCTAGTTTAATTTGCCTGCATGTGGATATCCATTTTTCCCAGCATCATTTATTGAAGAGACTCTCTTTTCCCCTCTGTAGATTCTTGGCACCTCTGCCAAAAATGAGTTCACTGTAGGTGTGTGGATTTGTTCTTGGGTTCTCTATTCTGTCCCATTGGTCTATGCATCTGTTTTTATGCCAGTACCATGCTGTTTTAGTTACAATAACTCTGTAGTATAATTTGAAGTCAGTTAATATGGTTCCTTCAGTTTTGTTCATTTTTCTTATGATAGCTTTGGCTATTCTGAATCTTTTGTGATGCCACATAAATTTTAGGATTTTTTTTTATTTCTGTGAAGAATATCAATGGTATTTTGATAGAGATTACATTAAATGTGTAGATTGCTTTGGGTAATATGGACATTTTAACAATGTTGATTCTTCCAATTTAGGAACATGAAATATATTTTCATTTTTTGTTTCTCCTTCAATTTCTTTCATCAGTGTTTTATAGTTTTCATTGTATAGACCTTTCATTTCTTTAATTAGTCCCCAGGTAATTAATTTTCTTTTTGTTTACTGTAAATGAGATTAGTTTTTTTTAAAATTATACTTTAAGTTTTAGGGTACATGTGCACAACGTGCAGGCTTGTTACATATGTATACATGTGCCATGTTGGTGTGCTGGACCCATTAACTCTTCATTTAACATTAGGTATATCTCGTAATGCTATCCCTCCCCCCTCCCCCGACTCGAGATTAGTTTTTTAATTTATTTTTCTGATTCTTCCCTGTTGGCATATAGAAATGCTACCGGTTTTTGTATGTTGATTTTGTATTCTGTAACTTCACTGGATTTGTTCATCAGTTCGAATTGTTTTTTGGTGGAGTCTTTAGTTTTTTCCCAAATATAAGGTCTTGTCATCTGCAAACAAGGAAAATTTGACTTCCTTTTCAATTTGGATATACTTTATTTCTTTCTTTTGTCTGATTGCTCTAGCTAGGACTTCCTGTACTATGTTGAATAACAGTGGTGAAAGTGGGAATGCTCGTTGTGCTCGTTGTCTTCCAAATGTTAGAGAAAAGGAGTTTAGTTTTTGCCATTCAGTATGACACTAGCAGTGGGTCTGTCACATATGACTTTAATTATGCTCAGGTATTTTTCTTCTATACCAAGTTTTTCTTTAGGGTTTTTATTATGGAGAGATGTTGAATTTGATCACATGCTTTCTCAGAATCAATTTAAATGATCATAAGGAGCTGGGCATGGTGGCTCACAACTGTAATCCCAGCACTTTGGGAGGCTGAGGCAGGTGGATCACCTGAGGTCAGGAGTTCGAGACCAGCCTGGCCAACATGGCAAAACCCCGTCTCTACTAAAAATACAAAAATTAGCTGGGTGTGGTGGTGCATGCCTGTAATCCCAGCTACTCTGGAGGCTGAGGCAGGAGAATCACTTGAACCCGGGAGGTGGAGGTTGCAGTGAGCCGAGATTGCACCATTGCACTCCAGCCTGGGCAACAAGAGAGAAACTCTGTCTTACTAAAAAAAAGAAAGAAAGAAAGAAATGATCATAATGTTTTTATTCCTCATTCTGTTTATATGATACATCACATTGATTGATCTCTATATGTTGAATCGCCCTTGCATCCCAGGGATAAGTCCCATTTGGTCATGATGAATGATCTTTTTAATGTTTGTTTAATTTGGTATAGTGATATTTTGTTGAGGATTTTTGCATCAATATTTATCAGAGATACTTTAGTTTTTTTTTTATTTTGATGTGTCTTTTTCTTGTTTTGGTATCAGGATAATACTGGCCTTGTAGAATGAGTTTGGAAGTATTCTCTCTTCTATTTATTAGAATAGTTTGAGTAAGATTGGTATTGGTTGTTCTTTAAATGTTTGATAAAATTCAGCAGTGAAGCTATTGCATCCTGGGCTTTTCTTTACTGGGAGGCTTTTTATCATGGCTTTGATTTTATTACTTATTATTTATCCTTTTAGGTTTTAGATTTCTTCATCTTTCAATTTTGGTAGGTTCTATGTATCTAAAAATTTATCCATTTCCTCTAGATTTTTCAATTTATGACATATAGTTGCTCATAGTAGTCACTAATGATCCTTTGAATATCTGTGCTATGAGTTGTAATGGCTCCCTTTTCATTTCTGATTTTATTTATTTGGGTCTTCTCTCTTTTTTTCTTAGTCTGGCTAAATGTTTGCCAATTTTGTTTATCTTTTCAAAAAAAACTTTTCATTTCATTGATCTTTTATATTGTTTTCTTTGCTTTAATTTCATTTATTTTTTTCTCATCTTTATTTATTTTTATCTACCAATTTTGGGTTAGTTTGCTCTTCCTTTTGTAATTCTTTTAGGTGCATTGTTAGGTTATTTATCTGAAGGTTTACTACTTTTATAGTGTTGGAACTTATGGCTATAAACTTCTCTTTTAGTGGTTCTTTTGCTGTATCCTATAGACTTTGGTAAGTTGTGTTTCCATTATGATTTGTTTCAAGAAATTTTCAAATTTATTTTTAATTCCTTTATTGACTTACTGGTCATTCAGGAGCATATTGTTTAATTTCCATTTTTTTTTTTTTTTTTTTTTTTTTGAAACAGGGTCTCACTTTATCACTCATGCTGGAGTATGTTGGCATGATCTCAACTCACTGCAACTTCAACCTCCCAGGTTAAAGTGATACTTCTTCCTCAGCCCCCTAATTAGTTGGGACTACAGGTGTGCACCACCACGCCCTGCTTATGTTTGTATTTTTTGTAGACACGGGGTTTTGCCATTTTGCCCAGGCTGGTCTTGAATTACTGAGCTCAGGCAATTCTCCTGCCTTGGCCTCCCAAAGTGCTAGGATTACAGGTGTGGAGCCACCATGCCTGGCCTCCATGTGTTTGTTATTGACCTCTAGTCTTATCCTACTTTGGCCAGAGCAAATACTTGATTATTTATTTTTTTTGAATGACTTAAAACTTGTTTTGTTGCCTAGTGTATGGTCTATCCTTGACAATGATCCATGTGCCGAGGAGAAGTTTGCATATTCTGTAGCCATTGGATTAAATATGTTGTAAATATCTGTTAGTTCCATTTGGCTGATAGATTAAGTCAAATGTTAGTTGATTTCCTGTGTGGATTGTCTGTTCAATGCTGAAAGTGAGGTGTTGAAATCTCCAGCTATTATTGTATTAGGGTCTGTCTTTCTGTTTAGCTCTAATAATATTTG